>NC_000016.10:28486486-28801693 GCF_000001405.40 Homo sapiens
GGCCCTGGGAAGGAGAACACAGGAACATTCAGGAGGACCTAGGCTGACCATGGGACAGCCTCTCCCCACACTCCCTGCTCCACCTGCTTACCTGGGGTAGAAGGCAGTGAGGGAGAGGAAGGTGACCTCCCCAAGGCCTGATGAGATGCTAGCGAAGACCACACCTGGGGGGAGGACAAGCACTGGGATGGTCACACCACACCTTGCCACACTGCCCAGGCCTCTAATGTGTCTGGCCATGGCCTCCTCAGTATCAGCTCATAGAGGCTCCAATAGATCCCATGCATAGGCCAGGTTCCAGGTCTGAAGCAGAGCCCCACTCCCCTGCGTGTCCCTTCATGGAGAGTGGCACCTCCATCCACCCAGTTATCAGACCAGGGGCAGACATGCACCCTTGATGTCTCTGCCCCTTCATCAGTCTTTTTCTTTTCTTTTCTTTTTGGAGACGGAGTCTCGCCCTGTCACCCAGGCTGGAGTACAGTGGCGTGATCTCGGCTCACTGCAACCTCTGCCTCCCAGGTTCAAGAGATTCTCCTGCCTCAGCCTCCCGAGTAGCTGGGATTACAGGCTCCTGCCACCACACCCAGCTAATTTTTGTATTTTTGGTAGAGACGGGGTTTCTCCATGTTGGCCAGGCTGGTTTCGAACTCCTGACCTCAGGTGATCTGCCTGCCTTGGCTTTCCAAAGTGCTGGGATTATAGGCATGAGTCACTGTGCCTGGTCCATCACAGAGTCTTGACTTTGTTCACCTCAATCTCCATCTAATTCATCCATTTTCTCCCATCTCCTCCACTGCCTACCCCTCCAAATTGTCCCAGTCTCCCATCGCCTACTGCTGATAGCCCTAGCAGGCTTCTAAGGGTGACAGAATGAATCCCTTTCCTCTGGGAGGCTGGGGAGACTCTTCCCACAAATGCTCTGATGTGGTTCCTCGGGGCTCCCCATCTGACACAGAACCACACACTCACCACACAGGCTGGTCCCCACAGAATGAGAAAAGGCAACCAGGACGAAGCTTCCAGCAGCACAAATCCCACTGACGAGAACCCGGGGGCTGAGGGGGTGAGAAGGGAAGGGAGGGGGAAGGTCGGTCTCTACTCTCAGCATCTCAGCCATCCCAGCCTCCCCTTTCTCAGCTCCTGCCCACCCTGCCTCCCACTACCCTCACCCAGACCTGTAGGGCAGCAGGTGAAGGCCAAGAGGAGCCAACAATTTGATGACGAGTGTGGGGAGGATGTCCGCCAGGAGCACAGCCTGGGACAGGAGAATAGAGTGAGACCGCAGAGCTTCCAGGGGACAACCCTCCCAACCACGTGGCCAAGGAGAGGCAGGAGCTGGCCAAACAGGCCTGCTACAAACACAGGCTCTGGAGTCAGGCACGCCTGGGTTCAAGTCTCAGCTCTCCCACTCCTTAGTTGTGTGTCAAGAGTTTATACTCTCTGAGCTTCAGTTTCCTCATCTGGAAAATGGGAATATCATAGCACCTAGCTCACAGGACTGCTGTGTGGCTTAAATGAGCTAATATATGGTGCAGACAGAAAGGACTCAGAAACTATATATATATATATTTTGAGAGTGAGTCTCATTCTGCCACCCAGGCTGGAGTGTAGTGGCTCGATCTTGGCTCACTACAACCTCCACCTCCTGGGTTCAAGTGATTCTCCTGCCTCAGCCTCCTGAGTAGCTGGGATTACAGGCGTGCACCACCATGCCTGGCTAATTTTTGTATTTTTAGTACAGATGGGGTTTCACCATGTTGGCCAGGCTGGTCTTGAACTCCTGGTCTCAAGTGATCCATCCGCCTCAGCCTCAGAAATTATATTAAGGTCTCAATTATTTTATATATATATATTTTTTAATTTTTTTCTTTAAGATGGGGGTCTCACTATACTGCCCAGGCTGGTCTCAAACTCCTAGGCTCAAGTGATCCTCCCACCTTGGTCTCCCAAAGTGCTGGGATTACAAGTGTGAGCCAGTGCGCCCAGCCCAGGTCTCAACTGTTTTAATCATGACAGTCCCAGCTGGGTAGTGAAGGGCTGGGAGTGGGGTCTATAGACCCAGGGGCCCTGGGTCAGGCAAGGACCAGGTGAGATGAGTACGCACAGCCGTAGAGACAGAGTTGCAGTCAAATCGTGATGAGCTGTTGTGGGGGATCGGCGTTGGGCCTGGGTCCACCTAATGGGAGAAAAGCATGTCTTTCACCCTGGAGGCAGAGGGATAGACACACAGAGCCTGGCTCCCGTCCCAGCTCTGCCTTCACTTGAAGGATGGCTTTGGGTCAGCAGTGACTGACTTCTCAGGACCTCAGCGTCTCTGCATGCACAATGAAGAGGGGGTTTCCATATGAGTCTCACACTACTAGACCACAGGCCACAGATGGCCCTGTAAATGGACTTTGTTTAGATAACACATTCAAGAGCTTTCTTTTTTTTGAGATGGTGTCTCACTCTGTTGCCCAAGCTAGAGTGCAGTGGTGTGATCTTGGCTCATTGCAACTTCCACCTCCTGGCTTCAAGCAATTCTCCTGCCTCAGCCTCCTGAATAGCTCAGACTACAGGTGTGTGCCACCACACCCAGGTAGTTTTTGTATTTTTAGTAGAGTCGGAGTTTCACCATGTTGGCCAGGCTGGTCTCGAACTCCTGACTTCAAGTGATCCGCCCGCCTCAGCCTCCCAAACTGCTGGGATTACAGGTGTGAGCCACTGTGCCCAGCCAGAGACTGGAAACTTTACCCCACCTTGTCCCACCCCCTCATCTTCCCACAGGGACTAACCATGGTGGTGGTGGTAGAGAGTCACTTACATGGCTCTGGTTTCCCGATGTCCTCTTGTGGCTAAGGATGTCGTGGGCGGCACTCAGCATCACCACATAAGAGAAGTTGTTGCAAAGGCCCAGCAGCCTGGAAGGAGCAGGACAGGTCTCAACTCCCTCCTCATCCTGCAGCCATCTGTAGCCTTTGTGCCAAACCTTCCCTTACCTGTGCCCTTCAATCAGCCCCCTCTTTTTTTTCCCTCTATCACCAGATCCCATCCTCATTCAATGTTGGGGTCAAAAATACAGGCTTTGGTGCTTGGGCAAGATAGTGAGACCCCCATCTCTACAAAAAATTTAAAAATTAGCCAGGTGTGGTGGCTTGCACTGTAGTCCCAGCTACTTGGGAGGCTGAGGTGGGAGGATTGCTTGAGTCCAGGAGTCAGAGGCTGCAGTGAACTGTGATCATGCCACTGCACTCTAGCCTGGGTGACAGAGCAAGACCCTGTCACAAAAATAAAAAATAAAAAGGAAGAGGCCGAGTGCAGTGGCTCACACCTGTAATTCCAGCACTTTGAGGGGCCGAGGCGGGCGGATCGCCTGAGGTCAGGAGTTCGAGACCAGCCTGAGCAATATGGAGAAACCCCGTCTCTACTAAAAAATACAAAATTAGCTGGGCGAAGTTGCACATGCCTGTAATCCTAGCTACTCAGGAGGCTGAGGCAGGAGAACCACTTGAACCCGAAAGGCGGAGGTTGCAGTAAGCCGAGATTGTGCCATTGCACTCCAGCCTGGGCTACAAGAGCGAGACTCTATCTCAAAAAAAAAAAAAAAAAAGGAGAGTGGTCACAGAGAGTTTCTGGGAGAGGCCTTGGAGGCTGGAAGTGAATCCAAGTCTGTGATCCCAAAGCCCCTATGTCAGGGCGGGGCACGGTGGCTCACGCCTGTAATCCCAGCACTTTGGGAAGTGGAGGCAAGCGGATCACCTAAGGTCAGGAGTTCTAGACCAGCCTGACCAACATGGTGAAATCCTGTCTTTACTAAAAATACAAAAAATTAGCTGTGTCTGGTGGCACGCACCTGTAATCCCAGCTACTCGGGGAGCTGAGACAGGAGAATAGCTTGAACCTTGGAGGTGGAGGTTTCAGTGAGCCGAGATTGTGCCACTGCTCTCCAGCCTGGGTGATAGAGTGAGACTCTGTCTCAAAAATAAAATAAAATTAAAAAAAAAAAAAAAAAAAGCTGGGCGCGGTGGCTCACACCTGTAATCCCAGCACTTTGGGAGGCCGAGGCGGGCGGATCACGAGGTCAGGAGATCGAGACCATCCTGGATAACGCGGTGAAACCCCATCTCTACTAAAAATACAAAAAAATAGCCGGGCGTGGTGGCAGGCGCCTGTAGTCTCAGCTACTCCGGAGGCTGAGGCAAAAGAATGGTGTGAACCTGGGAGGCGGAGTTTGCAGTGAGCCGAGATTGCGCCACTGCACTCCAGCCTGGAGGACAGAGAGAGACTCCGTCTCAAAAAAAAAAAAAAAAAAAAAGGTTCAGGCCCGGCATGGTGGCTCATGCTTGTAATCTCAGCACTTTGGAAGGTTGAGGTAGGAGGATCACTTGAGGCCACGAGTTTGAGACCAGCCCAGGTCCCATAGTGAGACCCCCATCTCTATAAAAAAATATAAAAATTAGGCAGATGCGGTGGTGCACACCTGTAGCCACACCTACTTGGAGGCTGAGGTGGGAGAATCACTTGAGCCCAGGAGTTCCAGGCTGCAGGGAGCTGTGATTGCACTACTGCATTCCAACCTGGGAAACAGAGCAAGACCCTGTCTCAAAAAGAAAAAAAAATAAGATAAAATAAAATAAATTAAAAAAATAAAAAAGTTTTAGTAGTGATGCATTTATTTAAACGTTCACTAGGAAAACGCTGGTTTTCCAAGTGGAGTCGTGATTTAAAGTTTTCTTTTTAAAAATATGTGCACTAAAAAACGTTAAGGCTGAATTGGCTGGAAGAAAAAAGTAAATAATCCTACAGGTGGTAGGTATGAGGATCTTGCTAAATCCGGAAGGTGATAAGGAGTGAAGTTTGGAAATTTTACATGCTGCCCCTGGGGCAAACCAGTGGATTCAGTAAATATTTGTGGGTTCAGCTCCTTTGCGCAGCTTAACTCTTTCTTCCCCCTTTCCTCCGGTCACTTCCCTCTTCTCATGCCATTGTCACTCGCTGAAGTCTCAGGCCACTCACCAGAAGCCCACCGCGTTCTTCCAATGCGCGCCCTGATGGTCCAACAGAGGGAGCCGGGGCTCCGGGACGGTCTCCTCCCCTGGGAGAGCGAGAAGAGGGCATGACCCCCACCTACTCTCAGGTGCACGACCGCTCCTTGCGTGTCCTCCCGGGGCCGAGTCAGCTCTCATTCCCCTCAGGTGGGCTGCGAGCCAGAGGTGGTCGTTCCATGAGGGTGGGCGGGAATACTCACCCTCGGAATCCGAAAAGCGCCGCCGCGAGCCTGCACAGCCTCCCATCGCATCAAGTTCAGGTCCCCCGAGGGTCCAGGGTCATAGAGTGTCCAAAGGGGGCTCCCACGGGAGGGATGAGGGTCTGCGACAGGTGACAAGGATCAACGCCCGATTGCCGGTCCCAGCTCCGGCTTGTCTAGGGCACTCGCGCCCCGCGATCCATCAAGGAAGCTGGGGGCTCCATCTCGAGCGCCCTACGACCCACCACGCCCCACCCATCGTACTCTCCCCCGCCCCGTCTACAGCAGGGACCCTGAGGCCTGTACCTTTAAGAGCAGCAGAATGTTCTGCACTATGCAGAGGCCGTTTGTCGGATCACGTGACAGCACCCGCGTGTTCCCCCATCACGTGCTCAGAGGTTTTCCCTACTTCCGGGTCCTCTCTGTCTTCGCTTTGGGCCTTCTCGGCTTCGGAGCGTGAAAAAGGGAGGGGCTGGAGAACCCTGGAACCGCAGGTTTTAAACTGGAGCGGGTGGGAGCAGCAAGCAGAGCCGTGACCTTAGATCAGTGGCGCCCAAGACCGAGACAGTAGCCTGCCAGCACCAGTTATGACTGTGGGAGGCTTCAGCTCCTTTCCTTCAGCACTCACTTGCCAGAAACAAATATGGCCACCTGCCTACTCCCTTTTTTTTTTTTTTTTTTTTGAGGCAGGACTGTTTCTGGTTGCGAACAAAGACGACCAGCTTCAGGTCATTCTTATCCCCATCTGTTGACCTTACAAATTGTTTTAGAGACCTAAGTAAACATAACACTCATCTAAAGGGATTTCGTGAATGATCTATTGGCAGTATCCAAGATGTTAAGAGATCCCTATTTCCAAATTATCCTAGAACCAAAAAATATCACAGCACTTCAACCCCTGGTGTTACAGATGAGAAAACCAAGGTACAAATATATATATATATATATATAACAAAATTAGCCGGGCATGGTGGCGCATTCCTGTAGTCACAGGTACCTTGGAAGCTGAGGTGGGAGGATCACTTGTGCCCAGGAGGTTGAAGCTACAGTGAGCTATGATCACGCCACTGCACTCCAGCCTGGGTGACAGAGTGAGATCCTGTCTCAAAAAAAGAAAAAGTAAAAAATAAAATAAAAAAAATATATGTATATGAAAAAAATTGGAAAGTTGCTGACAATCATTCATACAATGTTAGACCTAAAGGTGACCTTAGAGACCTGTATGGTGATAAGAAATAGAGCACCAGAGGCAGGGAGCCATTGGGTTGGCTCCAGGCTGCTGCAGGATTCCTGCCTCCATCAAAGGTGGTGCTTAGACCAGATTTTTTTTTTTTTTTTGACAGGGTTTTGCTCTGTTGCCCAGGCTGGAGTGCAGTGGCAGGATCTTGGTTTGCTGCAACCTTGACCTCCCAGGCTCAGGTGATCCTCCCACCTCAGCCTCCCGAGTAGCTGGGACAGCAGGTGCGCACCACTGTGCCCAGCTAATTTTTGTGTTTTTTGTAGAGACTGGATTTTGCCACGTTGCCCAGGGTGGCCTCAAACTCCTGAGCTCAAGCAATCCACCTGCCTTGGCTTCCCAAAGTGCTAGGACTACAGGCGTGAGCCACTGCACCTGGCCAGACTAAATGATTTTAAGGCCTAAGATTCTGATGCTGTGATTTCATAGAATTGCCCTAATTGGAATAGGAAAGTGGGGCTGGGGAGGGGAGAAGGAGGGTATGGGGAAGAGAAGTAGAGCAAGGTCACTTTATGTAGTTCCAAATAAGGAATCATACCCTTACCTTCTTCTAGGTGGAAAGCGGCATCCTGCATTCTCTTCTTGTCCTTGGCCTCATCTCTGCTATGGGCTGTGCCACCTCTATATGCTCTTTCTCACCACCAGGCCTTCAGAATGCAGTTGGAAATGTGCCCTCTCGTCTGGGTGTGGTGGCTCATGCCTGTCATCCCAGCACTTTGGGAGGCCAAGGTGGGCAGATCACCTGAGGTCAGGAGTTCGAAACCAGCCTGGCTAACATGGTGAAACCCTGTCTCTACTAAAGATACAAAAATTAACCAGGTGTGGTGGCACGCACCTGTAATCCCAGCTACTCGGGAGGCTGAGGCAGGAGAATCACTTGAACCCAGGAGGCAGAGGTTGCAGTGAGCTGAGACTGCGCCACTACACTCCAGCCTGGGTGACAGAGTGAGACTGTCTCAAAAAAAAAAAGAAAAGAAAAGAAAAGAAATGTGCCCTCTCTAGTGTGCCTCCCAGGTCACTCAGCTGATGGAAAATGGAATCCTACTAACGTGCAGGGCTCTAGAAATTCAGCAGCGTTTCATACATGGCATCTGCCATCAAGGAAGTCACAGGAAGGTGGGAGGCAGACACAGATATCCACAATATAAAGTTTAGCCAAGTTCTTTTTTGCAAGCCTAATCATAGGTGAGGGGATGCACCCCAGAGCCACCAATCCGGCCCCTTCCGCCCCTGGGGGAAGCATTAATGACGCCGAAATGTGTCAGAGCTCCCACCAGCCCCCTCTTCACTGCTACTCTTTCTTCCCAGGCAAAACAGGAACCACAAACCCCAGCTTCCTCTTGCAGAGTGGCTGTGGCTTGTAGGGGAGGCAGAAATGGCTGAGGTGCGGATACGAGACCTGAGTCACTTGAGCTGCTGTTGCCACATGTCCCCTCCCTCTCCCCCTCCCCAGTTCTAAGGTCTCCTGCTCCCACTTTGTCCTTTCTGGCCTCTTGCTTGTCCTTTATTTCCAAATGTGCACCTGAGTCCCCTGTGTGATGTACACCCATTTCCCGGGCTGCAGTGGGGGCTACTGTGGGCATCAGGGGCCGTGGGCAGGGCCTGGGGTGGGGACGCATCAGGGAGACAGGGGAAGAGGAAGTGCCTTTGGTCCTGGGGAAGGTTGGCTTGTCTTGGTGGGTGGGGACGGTCATTATCAGCTTTCTGGACACACAGACAGAGACAGACAGGATGGACTTCCTCCGGCTATACCTCCCTGGGCTGCACCAGGCCTTGAGGGGGGCACTGGTGAGAAGGGCAGACAGCTGCCAGATACTTGCACCCCATTCCCTGGGGCCTCACTTCCGGGCACCTCCCCTGGGGCCTCACCTTTCCCCTCCTCCTTCTGATCTCCTCAAACTGGAGATTGCTTTCTCAGGTTCAGGCAGACTCCTGGCCTAATATTTTCTGAATTTCAGTCCCCACCTCCAACCATGCGTCCTCGTACCCCTAATCGATGCCCCTTCTGGCTCCTTCTGCAAATCCTCTTCTTCTCCTTTCAGATCCCAGTACCCTCTTCCTTAACCTGGGCTCCTCCAGCCAGGGCCCCCAGGGAAAGGGCTGGGACTCTCCTCAATGACTCTCCCCTCTCTCTCTCTTTTTTCCTAGGATTCCCTCGGCACCTTTGTCTCCTACCTCCTGGGAGATGCAGTCCCCACTGTAGAGCGGGAGGCGCAGGCGGCTGAGGAACTGGGGGTGGTGGCGGTGGGAAAGACAGGGAAGATTGTAGAGGAGGAAGCCCAGGAGGACCTGGAGGGCCTTAGAGGCAGCCAAAACGAGGGGGCTGGAAGGCTGAGAGGGCCTGGAGATGACAGAAGACATGAAGTGGGGAGCTCAGCTGTAGAACAGACCTGGGGCTGGGGAGATGGCAGCTCCCATGGGTCCCAAGCAGAGAGGCAGGACAGTGGGGCTGGGGAGACAGCCAAGGCTGCCAGGTGCCAGGAGCCAAGCGCCCACTTGGAGGCCAGAAAGAAATCCAAGGCAGGGTCTGGGGCTTGCCAAGACAGGAGCGGCCAAGCCCAGGAGAGGCAGGAGTCCCATGAGCAGGAAGTGAACAGAGAAGAGAGGCTGAGAAGCTGGGAACAGGAGGAGGAGGAGGAAGAGGTCAGGGCAAGAGAGCCAGGGATGGCCAGAGGGGCGGAGTCAGAGTGGACCTGGCATGGGGAGACGGAGGGGAAGGCTGGTGCTGTTGGGCCAAAGGCGGCAGGGGACAACCGGGAGATGGAGCAGGGGGTCAGGGAGGCAGATGCAGGGGAAACTGAGGAGCCTGGGGCCGAAGGGGCTGGGAAAGGAGAAGAGGTGGTAGTGGTGGAGAAGGCCTGTGAAAGCACTAGGGCATGGGGGACGTGGGGCCCAGGGGCAGAGCCTGAGGACTGGGGAATCTTAGGCAGAGAGGAGGCCAGGACAACCCCAGGTAGGGAAGAGGCCAGGGCAATTTTAGATGGGGAGGAAGCCAGGACAATCTCAGGCGGGGAGGAGGCTGAGACAGCCTCAGGCGGGGAGGAGGCTGAAACAGCCTCAGGCGGGGAGGAGGCCGGGACAGCCTCGGGAGGGGAGGAGGCCGGGATAGCCTCAGGCGGGGAGGCTGGGACAGCCTCAGGAGGGGAGGAGGCCGGGACAGCCTCAGGAGGGGAGGAGGCCGGGACAGCCTCAGGAGGGGACGAGGCCTGGACAACCTCAGGCAAAGAGGAGGCTGACCTGCTGGGAGTCAGACAGACAGAATATGGAGCAGTCCCAGGAGAAAGGCTCCTAGAGGCTACTGGAAAAGTCTGGGTCCTAGAGGAGGAGGGGGATGAGGAGAGAGAGGCTGAGGTGAGCCCTTTCCCCAAACAGCCCCAGGTCCTGGGCACTGAAAGAACAGAAGAGGCTGCTGAGAGCCAGACCGCAGGGAGGGAAGCTGTGGGAGGCCAGGAGGCAGGGGAGAGCTTTGAGGGCCAGGTAGACCTGCGTGGTAAGGAGGCTGAGATGAGGCAGGACTTGGGGATCAGGGCCGACCGGGCCAGGATGGAAGAGCTGGTACAGGCAGAGGAGGCCCAGGAGGAGAGAGGGAGCAGCAGGGATCCAGTGGCTGAGCTGCCCTCAGATGGAGAGGCTGAAGGCACTGCCGACTTGGAGGCAACTCCAGAGGCCAGGCCTGAGGAGGAGCTCACAGGGGAGGAGAGTGAGGCGGCCCAGACTAGCTGTGGCCTACTGGGCGTGGAATGGGGTGGCCTCACACACAGCGTCACCAAAGGCCAAGGACCTGAGCTGATGGGGGGCGCCCAGACCCCAACTAAGCAACCCGAGGAAAGGGAGGCAGGGGAGGTGGAGCTCATGGGAGTTCTGGCCCTGAGCAAAGAGGAGCAGGAGAGGAGCCTGGAGGCAGGTCCCAGGCACGCGGGGTCTGTAAAGCCTGAGGCCTCCGAGGCCTTCCCAGGAGCCTGGGAAAACCGCACGAGAAAGGACATGGAGAGAGGAAATACTCAGGAGGATGCGGCCGATGGCGAGCAGCGGGAGGAGGAGGAGACTGCGGGAGGCCAGACCCTGGCGGCTGAGGCTGAAGGAGACCGAGAGTCTGAACTATCAGAAGTCCCAGAGGCAGGCGGGGAGGGGCTGACAACCCAGGACGCGGGATGTGGAACTGAGGAGGGAGAGGCATCTGTCTCAGAGAACCAGGAGCTGGACGGAAGCACAGGGGCAGACGCAGGGCCTTGCCCGTCACTGGGAGAGGCCTATGCCAGAGAAACTGAGGATGAGGAGGCGGAGGCTGACAGAACATCCAGAAGAGGCTGGAGGCTGCAAGCGGTGGCTGTGGGCCTCCCGGACCGTGAGGATGCACAGACTGGCTCTGTGGCTGCTGGGATTATGGGGGGTGATGTGGTCCCACACATCAGCGCTGCTGGCGCTGGTGAAGCTTTGGAAGGGGTGCTTGGGCAAGGCTGGGACTCGAAAGAAAAGGAAGAGGCAGCAGCAGGAGAGCATGCAGGTGGGCAAGAATTTGGTCTGGAGGGCTCAGCAGAGGAAGAGGTGACTGGCAGAGGCAGCCAAGTAGAGGCTTTTGAGTCCAGGGAGGGAGGACCTTGGGGAGGGCGGGTAGAGGCCGAGGAATCTGCAGGCGCAGAGGACAGCTGTGGGCTGGATCCCGCGGGCTCCCAGACAGCGAGGGCAGAGGGGATGGGAGCCATGGTGGAGGCTGGGGGGCTTCTAGAAAAGTGGACGCTGTTGGAAGAAGAGGCTGTTGGATGGCAGGAGAGAGAACAGAGGGAAGACAGTGAGGGGCGGTGTGGGGACTACCACCCTGAGGGAGAGGCACCAAGGCTCCTTGATGCAGAGGGTCTCATGGTGACCGGGGGCCGGAGGGCAGAGGCCAAGGAGACTGAGCCAGAAAGCCTGGAACATGTCAGGGGCCAGGAGGAGCAGCCAACACACCAGGCCCCTGCAGAAGCTGCGCCGGAGTCAGTCGGGGAAGCCGAGACGGCTGAGGCCATGGGCAGTGCCAGAGGAGGTGCTGCCAACAGCTGGAGCGAGGTGAGGGCTCTTGGTGGGGTCTCGGGGGGAACGAGTGGAATCCCGAAGCCGGCCCCATGGTCCTCTGTGCCCCCTTTCCTGCAGGCCCCGCTCCCCGGGTCCCTCCTAGACGTCTCTGTCCCAAGGAGTCGCGTGCACCTCTCGAGAAGCTCCTCACAGCGTCGCTCCCGGCCCTCTTTTCGTCGGACTCCGGCCTGGGAGCAGCAGGAGGAGCCCCCAGCCCCCAACCCTCCTGAGGAGGAGCTGTCAGCTCCTGAGCAGAGACCCCTCCAGCTGGAGGAACCCCTGGAGCCAAGCCCTCTGAGGCATGATGGGACCCCGGTGCCAGCCAGGAGAAGGCCCCTGGGACACGGGTAGGCACAGGGCAACTCAGCTGGGGTGGGGAAGAGACCGCGGGCACCTGGGAACCTGTTCTCACGGGCCTGACTTCCGCCTCCAGGTTTGGCCTCGCGCACCCTGGCATGATGCAGGAGCTGCAAGCCCGTCTGGGCCGGCCTAAGCCCCAGTGACTGAGACCCGGTGCTCTGGGAGCCAGGCCCTGAGTGGGTGCCAGAAGGCTTGCTCCAATGCCACTGAGCCCTGCTCCCTCTGCCACTGTGGACACATCCTCTCCACCCTCTGGGCCTCAGTGTCTTGATGTATCATTCATGGAGCAGGCAAAACCAGACGTCTGGGAAGACCGTGAACTTAAGGAGTCTGATTCTCCGACACAGGCTGGTGGACCACCTACCCCACTGAGACCACCTCTCAGGGTGCCTGCCCTGGTTCCTCCCCAGCCTGAGTCAGCTGTCTGGACTGCAAGGAGGCTGGGCACGGGGGCTCACGCCTGTCACCCCAGAGCTTTGGGAGGCCAAGGTGGGAGGATCGCTTGAGACCAGGAGTTCGAGACCAGCCTGGGCAGCATAGCAAGATCCCCATCTTTTAAAAACAAAATAAAACAATAAAGACTGCAAGGAAGACTGAGGGAACAGCGACCATTTTCCTTACAGGCCTTCCTCTCTAACTCCCACTTCCCAGCCCAACTCCCTGCACCAAGACCCTCAGAACTGGGCGGGGATAACACAAACCTCTGGAGCTGCATCCAGGCCAAAGGAAGGCGGTTGGGAGGGCTTAAGGAGCACTGTTCAGAATCAGAGATGAGCTGCCTTGAGCTTCCAACACGGTAGCTCGGCCTCAGGATGCTGCTGGTTACTATGGCAACTGCCTGCCGGAGCAGGACATAGTAGGGGAAGGTGGGCCAGAGACCCCAAAAATGTAGGAGCAGAGAGGGGTTCAGGATGGCTAGAGGTTGCTGACCCCGTTCCAGGCTGCCCTGCCCTCTGGGTGTCAGACAGCCCTTACCCGAAGAGAAGCGGAGGCCAGGGGTGGATGAGAGTGCTTTATTGGGCACCCAGCATGGGGGCTTGGCCCGAGGAGGACCATCGGGCCCCAAGACAATAAATAAACCATCATCTCCCTAAACAATAAATAAATATCCAAGAAATAAATAGCTGGCGAGGACCAGAGGGGCTTTCAGTTACTGGGTAGAGCCTGGGGCAGGGGGCTGGAAGAGCCCTCCCTTGTCCAAGGCTGATGATGCGAAGGCTGCCCTGATGCCAAGACTCCAGTCCTAAAGTTCTAAAGGGTGGGGGGCAGGGGGCTAAGAAGCCACCGATCAGGGCTGGGGGCTCAATGTTGGGAACCCCAAGGGCCAGACTGAGTGCCCAGCCTTGGACAGCAGCAGCAACTCCCGCACGGCCCGAGATAAGACGAGCTCCAAGGAGTGCAGCAGGCGGTAGGTGGAGAGGAGCTGGGGCCAGGACACCTGGGCCGGGCCCTGTAAGGCGCTGCCCAGTGCCCCTGGGAGCAGCCCCTTCCTCTCCTCCTCCTCCTCCTCCTCTTCCTCCTCCTCCTCCTCCGGGAGGTTGAATCCTGCAGCCAGCACCTGTGAGGAGAGGCCATGGGTCAGGGAGGGGCCAGGCCGAGAACCTGAGAGGAATCCTCATTCCCTATTCATGCCCAGCGGTTCCCAATGACATCAGTGACCACAAGGTCATGATTTCCCCGGACATTCCCTGCTTGATCTTCCATGATGTCACCTGCTAACGCGTCTCACCTGATCTTTCAGTTCGAGAAAATGGAAGTCAAGGAGCAAGAGGATGCTCACAGAGCTAGATCACCCCAAGGACTGCCCCGAGGCGTGGGGTTCAGGAAGTTTCTCTCTGCTGTGAAAGTTGCTTTTGGGTCGGGTCAGCAACAGGCAGAGGGTGACATAGCTCAGATTCCCTGCTGCTTGCCATTCCTCTCTCTCTCTCTTTCTTGGGAGCCCCGCTCTGTCGCCCAGGCTGGAGTGCAGTGGGGTGATCACGGCTCACTGCAACCTCTGTCTCCCCAGTTCAAGCAATTCTCCTACCTCAGCCTCCTGAGTAGCTGGGACTACAGACGCGCACCACCACGCCCGACTAATTTTTGTATTTTTAGTAGAGATGGGGTTTTACCATGTTGGCCAGGCTGGTCTCGAACTCCTGACCTCAAATGATCCACCCGCTTTGGCCTCCTAAAGTGCTGGGATTCCAGGCGTGAGCCACCACGCCCAGCCCTGCTGCTTGCATTTTCTATTCTCATTTCATTAAGTGTAAAATTCTGATTTCCCTTTGAAAGGTTCTGGAGGATCTGGGTGACATCAGAGAATCAGAGGGAGAAAGGAAACAGGAGGCAGACGCTGTGCTGGGCACTCAGGACACACCCCGAGTGACCTCACAGCCCAATGGCCTCCTGTTGAAGATAGAGCCCCAGGAGAATGTGAAGATTGAGGGGCAGCACCAGGGCCTGGTGTGGCTGTGTGTGCGCCTGCACACACGCACACACTCACACACATACTCATTCTCACAACGCACCCACACTCATTCCCATACAGTCACATTCACACAAAACACATTCATGGCTGGGCACAGTGGCTCACGCCTGTAATCCCAGCACTTTGGGAAGCCGAGGCGGGCAGAGCGCGAGGTCAGGAGTCTGAGACCAGCCTGGCCAACATGGTGAAACTAAAAATACAAAAAAATTAGCCAGGCATGATGGTGCACGCCTGTAGTCCTAGCTACTCAGGAGGCTGAGGCAGGAGAATTGCTTGAACCTGGGAGGCAGATGTTACAGTGAGCTGAGATCGCACCGCTGCACTCCAGCCTGGGCGACAGAGTGAGACTTAGTCTCAGAAAAAAAAAAAAATCGTTCACGTACCCACATACTCTCACACTCACACTCATCCTCACACACTGACATACCTATACCCAAACTCTCACCCACACACCTCACTTTCACACTCACAACACTCACATTCACACACCCACCCACACACTCCCACACTCTTACACTCACAGTCCCATACACTCACAGTCTCACACTCATGGACCTACACACACACGGTCACGCTCACACTCATACAGACCCACACACACTCACAGTCACACCCACACACTCACACACTCACAGCCACACACTTTCACACTCAGACCCACACACTCACAGTCACACTCACACACGGACGCACATACACACAGTCATGCTCACACTCATACAGCCCCCCCACACACACACTCACAGTCACACCCACACACTCTCACAGTCAGGTACACTCACACAGACCCACACACTCACTCTCACACTCACGGACCCACACCCTCACACACAGTCATGCTCACACTCATACAGACCCACATGCACTCACAGTCACTCCCACACACTCTCACACTCACAGACCCACACTCACACACTCTCACAGTCACACTGTCACACTCATGGACCCACACAGTCACACTCACTCTCCCACACTTACGGACCCACACAGTCACTCTCACACTCATGAACCCACACACTCATGGACACTCAGTCACACTCACACTCTCACACTCACACACACTCAGAGCATGGGATCACTGAATGAGCCAGCGAGTCTTCTTTCCCACGTGGTCTGGGGTGGTGGAGGGTGGCCGGGCTCTACCTGGAAGCGGAGGTGCCGCTGCAGATCGCGGAGGTCCAGCCTCATGGCCCACAGCTGCATCCTCTCCATGTTGGTCCAGCGGCCCTGGGTCCCCAGCCCTCCCAGCAGGGCATGGAAGGGCTGAAGCGTGGTGGAGATGAAGCAGAGACGCTCCGGGTCCTGAAGGGGAGGGAGATGGTCAGGAAAGGTCCACAGGCCAAGGATGGCCATATCACACCCACCCCCTCCCTATCCGGGTCTCCTTCCCATTCCACGCTCCAGCCTCCAGTCCATCCCTGTAGCTCTTCCCCCACCTCAGCCCAGCTGTGTCCCCATTCCTTCCATCTCCACTGTCTGGGACATTTGTCCCATCTCCTTTTCCAGCCTCCCTTTCACTCCTATGCCAATGATCTTCTCTAACCCACCCCCTCTCAGTCCCTGAAGCACTCTCCATCCACAGCCCTGTTCCCTTCCCTCCTCCACCATCCCATCATACCTCCTGCCCATGTGTTTCCATCCCATCTTCAGCCTCATTCCCATTCCTAACCCCAACTCCATCCTTCCTCCATGTGCCCAGACTCACTCTTTCCATCTTTCCATCCCATCTCCAACCTCATTCCTAACCCTATTCCATTCCCTTCCCCACCAGCAATCCCCATCCCTTCTCCATCCCATGCTTAACGTTCACCCTCATCATCACCTTCTCATCTCTAACTATCCGCATTCTCACCCCCAGTGCCACCTCCACCCACCCTCCATGCTGCTGTGATCTGTCTCCAGCCTCATTCCAGTCCCATGCCTGCCGCGTTCCATGCCTAGCTCCACTCTTACCTCTTCCCAACCCCACTTCCTTATTCCAGCTTCATCTTTATTGTTGGTTTGTTTTGAGATGGAGTCTCGCTCTGTTGCCCAGGCTGGAGTGCAGTGGCGCGATCTCATCTCACTGCAACCTCCACCTCCTGGGTTCAAGTAATTCTCCTGCCTCAGCCTCCCGAGTAGCTGGGATTACAGGCGCACAGCACCATACCCGGCTAATTTGGTATTTTTAGTAGAGGTGGGGTTTCTTCATGTTGGTCAGGCTGGTCTCGAACTCCTGACCTCAGGTGATCCACCCACATCAGCCTCCCACAGTGCTGGGATTACAGTCGTGAGCCACTGCGCTCAGCTAATTTTTGTATTTTTTAGTAGAGATGGGGTTTCGCCATGTTGGCCAGGCTGGTCTTGAACTCTTGACCTCAGGTGATCCGTGCTCCTCAGCCTCCCAACGTGCTGGGATTACAGGCATGAGCCACCACGCCTGGCAGTTTATTTATTTTTCTGAGACAGGGTTTCCCTCTGTTCTCCATCCTGGAGTCCAGGATCATAACTCACTGCAGCCTCCAACTCCTGAGCTCAAGCAATCCTCCCATGTCAGCCTCCTGAGTAGCTGGGACCAAAGGTGTACACCACCATGCCTGGCTAACTCTTAAATTTTTTTTTGTAGAGACAAAGTTTCACTATGTTGCCCAGACTGGTCTTGAACTCCTGGCCTCAAGCAGTCCTTCCACCTGGGCCTCCCAAAGTGCTGGGTTTATAGGTGTAAGTCACCATGCCTGTCTTTCATCTCTATGTCCAATGACATATTCAGCCTTATCCAGGTTCTATCCCCAATGCATCTCCAGCTCAATCTCCAGCCTCATCTTGCACCCTGGCCCCAGCCTATCACAAGCTTCCCGCCCCACTCCACCAGCCCTCACTCACAGAGAGGCGGCGCCAGGCCTGGAAGGTCAGGGAAACATCAGGGAGCTGCTCTCCCAGGGGCAGGAGGTACAGGTTCACTCCTGGCAGGTGAGATTCCGCCTGGGGGGCAAGGTCTGTTAGTGGGGGCCAGAAGGGATTGGGGGTCTGCCCATCTCCAGCGCCAGCTGCATTAGGGGGACTTACAAAGCGGTGGGCCTGGCCCCGAACCTCGGAGAGCAGCTTCCTGGCGAGATGCAGGCTGACTGTGAACTCCCTCCGCAGCTCCTGCAGGCTCAGCTGGGGCCTCCCTGGGGGCCTTGGGAATCCCCAGACACCAGCTTGAACCAGGAGCAAGGGAAGCAGCAACAGGCTGAGCCCTGGAGAGATGGGAAGAGGGTGGCAAGACAGGGAGAGAGCTTGAGAAGGAAGGGAACATGCCTTTTCTGAGCCTGTGCTAGCTGTGAGCACGGTGCAGGCACTTTGACCAGCATCATTCCTCTGCCTCCTCAAAACCACAATGGAGGCTGGGTGCGGTGACTCACACCTGTAATCCCAACAATTTAGGAGACCGAGGCGGGCGGATCACCTGAGGCCAGGAGTTCAAGACCAGCCTGGCCAACATGGCGAAACCCTGTCTCTACTAAAAATACAAAAATTAGTTGGGCGTGGTGGTGCATGCCTGTAATCCCAGCTACTCAGGAGGTTGAGGCAGGAGAATCGCTTGAACCTGGGAGGCAGAGGCTGCAGTGAGCTAACACCACTGTGCTCCAGCCTGGGCGACAGAGCCAGACTCTGTCTCAAAAAAACAAAACAAAACAAAACAAAACAAAACCCCACGATGCAGCCAGCACGGCCCCCATATGGCATCTCCGCATGGTGTGCCCACTTTTGCAAAAAGACCAGAAGCCTGATCCTTTTTTTTTTTTTTTGAAACAGAGTTCTGTTCTATCACCCAGCCTGGAGTGTAGTGGTGTGATCACAGCTCACTGTAGCCTTGAACTCCTAGGCTCAAGTGATCCTCTCGCCTCAGCCTCCCAAGTAGCTGGGATCACAGGGACACACCACTGTGCCTAACTGTTTCTATTTTTTTGTAGAGACAGGGTCTCACTATGTTGCCCAGGCTGGTCTTGAACTCCTGGCCTCAAGAGATCTTCCCGCCTCAGCCTCCCAAATTGCTGGGATCACAGGCATGAGCCACTGTGCCGGGACAGAGACTGGATTTTGACCCCCATAAACTCCCTTGGCCAAATGCCTTTTTCAGTGAGCAACCTGCACAACCACGTGTGGCAGCCTCAGTGCTATTGTTCTCCCCAATTTGCAGGTGAGGCTCAGTGAGGTTGACTTGCCCAAGGTCAAATAGCCAGAAGGTGGGAAGCCAGGACTGGATTCCAGGTTTTTCCAAATGCAGAGCCCATGGGTTTTCCCCAGAGAATGCAGAGGGAGGCAGCCATCTGCCCCAGGAGTGGGCACACCATGTTCTGGCAAGGATTCTTTGGGCTCAGCCAAGCGGCTCTGATGGCTTGAACTGGCCATGAGGTCCCCAGGGATGGGCTGGCAATGCCAGAGGCTCTATTCCAGGGAGTCAAAAGGACAGGTTTGTCCAGTTTCCACCACGGCAGGTGGATCCTAGCAGGGTAACCTGCCTGGGGCGAATCCACAGTATGGGAGCTTTTTTTTTTTTAAGACAGATTCTCACTCTGTCACCCAGGCTGCAGTGCAGTGGCGCGATCTCGACTCACTGCAACCTTCACCTCCCAGGTTAAAGCAATTCTCCTGCCTCAGCCTCCTGAGTAGCCACCACGCCTGGCTAATTTTTATTATATTTAGTAGAGAGGGGTTTTGCCGTGTTGGCCAGGCTGGTCTCCAACTCCTGACCTCAGGTGATCCGCCTGCCTTGGCCTCCCAAAGTGCTGGGATTACAGACATCAGCCACTGCGCCCAGCCCAGAATGGCTGAATTCCGAGTGTGCTTCCTGACCTGTGTTTTCCTGGAAAGAGGGGCAGCGGATGGGCGCTCTAGGAAGAGGGCAGCATTCATCAATTTCCCCCTCAGGGAGAGGAAATCTAGCAAGCACAAGAGTTACACAATTCTCCTCGAAACACAAACCAAAACTGGCCCGAAGTCCATCCTGCTCTCCCTTCTCTCCCTGCCTCTTCCCTGTCCTCTCTCAATCTCTAACCCCTGGGCTCTGCTCTTCGAAATGTCCCCTGATAAAGGTGAAGGGGAGCTTCTAGGGACATCTACCTCCCTCGTGGGCTTGCAGATGTGGTGGGCGATGCCTAACGTAAGATCTCTGGCATTCAGACTCCCTGGTTTTGGGGCCACTCGGACCCTCTGACATCCTGGAGACTTAAGGCAGAGTGGGGTTCTTCCTAGCTCAATGTTGGGGACAGGGTGGGTGCCCCCAGGCCCTGGTGGATCAAGCCCAACCGTAAGTGAGCTGTGCCATCTCCAACCTGACCTCTGGAGACCCCAGACCCCCTCCTTACCCTCTGCAGCTGATCCTGGGTCATTGGCTCTGGCCTTTGAAGGCTCTGTCTCCATCCTCCAGCCTTTGGTCCCTACCTGCCCTACGTGGCATGTTACCTTCTCCACTGCCTACTGCTCTGGTTCTAGCCCCTGAGTTCTGCAGCCACCAGCCGCAGATTGGACCTCTTTCCAACATCAAACTAAAGACCTTTGACCCAGTGAGGCTGCTGACATCTTGGTCCCAGTGCTCCACTTGTGCCAGCACCTCGTTCTGCTCTTCCTCCAGCCGGCCCCATTCTCAGTCTTAGCCAAGCTGTTTGGCTTCTGCTTATTCACTCCAAACTCTTCATTTATCTGCCTAGACCTGGTCCTTGTCAAATTGCTGGTCCAACCCTCCCCATTCCCACTAGCCAAGGCCTCCTTCTCATCCTCTGCCCAGCCCTGGGTCAGACCACCACCCCACTGCCCCAGGCCCCCACCCAGTCATGCCAGCCTCCCTTCCCATGCAGCAGCCAGCCGAATCCTCAGTCTTGGCCAAGTTGCTGCTCTCAGCTCTCGACCCCCCATCTGCACCAGCCAAGCTCGTCCATTCTCTGCCCAAACTCAACCAAGCCCCCCACCCCTGGCTTCAAACTCACGCCAGCCAAGGTCGCCTGCCGTCTGGCCCATGGCGGGGCCCAGCCTCTTTGGTCAGCCATCTCCTGGGTAGGGGGGGTCTTATACTGGGGGCTGTGCCCGGTTTCACTTTCCGTCCTGCTTGTACTTTCAGCTTTGTGTTCACTCATTCTTCCCTCTCGCCACCCCTTGCTAAAATGGGGAAATGTAATTTCCCTTCCCGGAGGGGGTGGGAGGTATGATGGGGGGTGACGGGAAGCTGGGGTTTCGGGACATCCAAGCTCCAGACTCACTGCTAAGCTCCCACGTCCAGCCCTGTCCTCAATGTCCCATGCTTGGGTGAGCCATCCAGCCCTATTCACTGGTTGATCCCAGAGTCCCAAACCCCCTCCTGATTCTCGGCTCTGCCACCATCATCCTAGGGTCTACTGTCCTTCCAAAGATGGATAGCCAGGTAAGGGGATTGCCCACCCGAGGGGATTCGGGGTTTTGAGTCATCTGACTCCCTTATGGTTTACCAGATGGCTGAGGGAGGTGGCGCAGAGAGAGTCAGTGCTCAGTGGGTGGCTGGGATGCACCTTTGCATGGGGCCAGGCAGAGGCTCAGCGTGAGGGTGGGATTGGAGCTCAGTTTGTAACTAGGGTCAGGGCTGGATAAAACCAGGTCCGAGGCCATATCTGGGACCAGGGTTAGGGTTTTTTCCAGGGCCAAGGGCTCTGTCTCCATCTTTAACCTGAGTCAGATATAGGATTTGATTTCAGTCTATAATCAGGATCAGGAATCAGTGTACAGCTGAACTCACAGCCTAGTCCCGGGCCAATGTCCCGGCTGTGTCTGTGTTTAGGGTCAGAGCTATCAGTGACCTGGGGCTTTGCTTGTGGCCTATAGGGTTGGGTCTAGAGCTTGGTCTTTGGCCAAGGTGCTGACTGGGACTGGGACTCAGCAGGGGGTCCAGGCTTGGGCTGGGATGAGAGCTCAGTCAGTGACCAGGATCGGGGCTCAGCCTGTGGCCAGGCTTGAGTTGAGTGAGGTCAGGATCAGGGCTCAACCAGGTCCAAGAATAATCTTGGTGTTTCTGCTCTGTAGAGGCCATGGTCAGGGCTGGGCCACATGGACCACAGGTCTCCCTTCCAGCACAGCCCCACCCTCAGCCCCGCCCTGGATTTCCCATCTTCAGGGAGAGGATGGGGTTTCTTGGTCTTCCCCAAGAACAACTGCTGCCACTTTCTTTTTAGGACCTGTGGGGTTTCCCTGCCGGGTCCCTGGTGTGAGATAGAAACCAGGCGGGGCTTCCCCTTCCTGCTCTCTGCCTCCTCGGCCTGCCTGGGCACTGCCCACCAGGCCACTTGGGAACGAGCGCACCAGGGAAATACCAACATCTGCCGAGGGAGCAGCCCCACAGGCCACTGGAGACGGACAGGGAACTGGGGCTGGAGTCCAGCCCCTGTTTCCTCTGCAGCACCCCCCAGTGGTGGCAGCTCACTCCCCGGCAGCCTATGCAGCTGGGGCTCCCCACAGCGGGTCCTGGAGGCATGCCACCTGCTCACCCCCTTGACCACATGGGGCCTCGCTTCGGCTCTCTCCATGGCCCCTCCCAACCTCTACTGTCACCCAGAACTGCCTTACCTCTCACATCTTGAACCCTGGCTGGGCGACTCTGCTCTCACCTGTAATCTCAGCACTTTGGGAAACTGAGGTGAGAGGATCCCTTGAGGCCAGGAGTTCCAGACCAGCTTGGGCAAAATAGCAAGACCCCGTCTCTATTAAAAACACAATAAAATAAGGCCAGGCGTGGTGGCTCATGCCTGTAATCCCAGCACTTTGGGAGGCCAAGGCGGGTGGATCACTTGAGGTCAGGAGTTTGAGACCAGCCTGGCCAACATGGTGAAACCCCGTCTCTACTAAAAATACAAAAACTAACCAGGCATGGCAGCAGGCACCTGTAGTCCCAGCTACTTAGGAGGCTGAGGCAGGAGAATCGCTTGAACCTGGGAGACGGAGGTTGCAGCGAGCCAAGATTGCACCACTGCCCTCCATCCTGGGCAACAGAGCAAGACACTGTCTCAAAAAAAAAAAAAAAAAAAAAAGAAGAAAAGAAAAGAAAAAGAAAGGGTAGGGGGCAGTTGGCTGGGTGCCGTGGCTCATGCTGGTAATCCTACCACTATGGGAAGCTGAGGCAGGAGGATCAATTAAGCCCAGGAGTTCAAAGTCAGCCTGGGCAACATAGTGAGACCCCCTTCTCTAATTAAAAAAAAAAATCTTAGGCTGGGTGCAGTGGTTCATGCCTGTAATCCCAACACTTTTTTTTTTTTTTTTTTTTTTTTTGAGACGGAGTCTCGTTTTGTCGCCCAGGCTGGAGTGCTGTGGCGCGATCTCCGCTCACTGCAAGCTCCGCCTTCCGGGTTCACACCATTCTCCTGCCTCAGCCTCCCGAGTAGCTGGGACTACAGGCGCCCGCCACTGCGCCCGGCTAATTTTTTGTATTTTTAGTAGAGACAGGGTTTCACCGTGGTCTCGATCTCCTGACCTCGTGATCCACCCGCCTCGGCCTCCCAAAGTGCTGGGATTACAGGCGTGAGCCACCGCGCCCGGCCTAATCCCAACACTTTAGGAGGCCGAGGCAGGCAGATAATGAGGTCAGGAGTTCGAGACCAGCCTGGCCAGCATGATGAAACCCCGTCTGTACTAAAAATATAAAAAAATTAGCCAGGCATGGTGTCTTGCGCCTGTAGTCCCAGCTACTCAGGAGGCTGAGGCAGGAGAATTGCTTGAACCTGGCAGGTGGAGGTTGCAGTGAGCCGAAGTCACACCATTGCACTCCAGTCTGAGCGACAGAGCGAGACTCCATCTCAAAAAAAAAAAATTTGAACCCCATCTTCTCTTAGGGCTCCCTGACACACCCCAATCCCTTGCTGCTCCTTTGTGTTTTTTTTTTTTTTGAGATGGAGTCTCTCTCTATTGCCCAGGCTGGAGTGCAGTGGCGTGATCTCAGCTCACTGCAATCTTTGACTCCTGGGTTCAAGCGATCCTCCTGCCTCAGCCTCCCGAGTAGCTGGGATTATAGATGTGTGCCACAGTGCCTGGCTAATTATTTTTTTTAATTTTTATTTTGTTGAGACGGAGTCTGGCTCTGTCACCAAGGCTGGACCGCAAGCTCCACCTCCCGGGTTCACGCCATTCTCCTGCCTCAGCCTCCCGAGTAGCTGGGACAACAGGCGCCCGCCACTACGCCACGCCAATTTTTTGCATTTTTAGTAGAGACAGGGTTTCACTGTGTTAGCCAGGATGTTCTTGATCTCCTGACCTCATGATCCACCCACCTTGGCCTCCCAAAGTGCTGGGATTACAGGCGTGAGCCACTGCACCCGGCCTTATTTTTATTTTTATTTTATTATTATTATTTTTTGAGACAGAATTTTGCTCTCTCACCCAGACTGGAGTTCAGTGGCATGATGTTGGCTCAATGCAACCTCCGCCTCCTGGGTTCAAGTGATTCTTGTGCCTCAACCTCCCGAGTAGCTGGGACTACAGGCATGCAACACCACGCCTGGCTGATTTTTGTATTTTTAGTAGAGACAGGATTTTACCACGTTGGCCAGGCTGGTCTCGAACTCCTGGCTTCAAGTGATCCGCCAGACTCAACCTTCCAAAGTGCTGGGATTACAGGTATGAGCCACCGAGCTTGGTCTGTATTTTTAGTAGAGACGGGGTTTCACCATGTTGGTAAGGCTGGTCTCGAACTCCTAACCTCAAGCAATCCGCCCACCTTGGCCTCCCAAAGTGCTGGGATTACAGGCGTGAGCCACCACGCCTGGCTTCCTCTTCTCTTCTTAACCTGGCTTCAGCCAGTGCCTACAGCCTCATGCCTCATTCTCAACCTATGCCAGCTCTAGCAACTTGCTGCTTGTGTGGAGGTGATGAGCCATCTGGTACTTCCTGGTCCTTGTGCAAGCTCTTCTGTCTGCCTGGAGTTCCCTCTCCCCAATCCCTGTACCATACTCTTCGTCTCTGGCTGCCCCACTGAATGGCTATCCTTTCCTGCCATAATTCTTGTCTCAAATGAACATTTCACTTTTACATTTTTTTTACATTTTTAAACTTTTTTTCACTTTTACATTTTATTAATTTAAAAAATCATTTACTTATTTTTGTAGAGATTGAGTCTTGCTCTGTTGCCCAGGCTGGAGGCAGTGGTGCAATCACGACTCACTGAGGGCTCAAGCAATCCTCCCACCTCAGCCTCCTGAGTAGCTGGGATATAGGTGCGCGCCATCACACCTGGCTATTTTTTTAATTTTTTGTAGAGATAGGGGCTTCCTATGTTGCCCAGGGTGGTCTCGAACTCCTGGCCTCAAGCAATCCTCATGTCTTGGGCTTCCCAAAGTGCTGGGATTCAAGGCGTCAGCCAACACGCCTGGCCCCATTTACTTTTTTGTCTGTCTCCATTCATTAGAATACAGGTTCCACAAGCCAGGTGGGTTTTGGCTGATGGGCTGAGGCCTGGGTTAGTGCCAGCAGGAAATGGAAGGAAGGTAGTGAGGGATAAGGATAGACAGAAGGGAAATTGGGTAGCCTGGGATGTAGACACCTGTGTGTAGCCACCCCTTCTGGTCACCCCAGGGGAGTCACTGGCCTGCTCTGGACTTCATTTTCCTCATTGAAAAGTGAGAGCAGGCTGGGCATGGTGGCTCATGCCTGTGATCTTAGCACTTTGGGAAGCTGAGGTAGGAGGATCACTTGAGCTCAAGAGCTCAAGACCAGGCTGGGCAACATAGCAAGACCTCGTCTCTACTAAAAACCAAAAAAATTAGCTGGGCATGGTGGTGCGCACCTGAAGTCCCAGCTACTCCGGAGGCTGAGGTGGGAGGATTGCTTAAACCCAGGAGGTCAAGGCTGCAGTGAGCCATGATTGCACCACTGCACTCCAGCCTGGGTGACAGAGCGAGACCCTGTCTCTAAATAAAATAAGAAATAAATAAAAAAGAAAAGTGATAGCAAATCATTATTATTACATAGGGAAATTAAAACCCGAAAAAAAAAAAGAGAGAAGAAAAGAAAAGAACCATGCACCAATTTTCGGGTTATTTTCCAAGTCCTGTTACGGCTCTGACCCTGTGGGGCACTCCGTGGGCTTGCCTGGGAATCCTGAGCTCAGTGACAGAAGTTGGAGGCTTCAGATGTGACATGAGGATGGAATCAGGGAGGGGAAGTCTTGTTCAAGGTCACAAAGCCGGTCGGTAGCAGAAGGAAGACTGGAACTCAAGTCCCCTATCTTCAGCGTGGGCCAGTGCGGGGAATCCCTGCACTCCATGATGTCAGCTGCAAGGCCTGGAACTAACCCCTCGGTGAAACCAAGATGCTTTTGTGAAGACAGGAAGGCTGGGGGAAGGTAAAGCCAGTCTGGAGCGCAGCTCTCTCCTCAAACTCCCGAGCACAGATGGTGAGACCCCGAGGCTACGACAGCTCCTGTCCCCCAGGAAAGGTGCTGTGGCTGAGACCCACAGTCCCTGGACCTCTGATTCCTGGACTGCCCTCCCTTTATGCACACAAACCTCATGCCACACTAGGCCTGGACTCCGCCCAGATTTCTCCAGCAACGTGCACTCAGACAGCAGCAAGAGGCTTGTGTGTCCAGCCCCCTCCAGCCCACCTTTGGGACTGCCTCTAAGTGTTTTTTTGTTTTGTTTTGTTTTGGTTTGTTTGTTTTTGAGATGGAGTCTTACTCTGTTGCCCAGGCTGGAGTGCAGTGGAACCATCTCAGCTCACTGCAACCTCTGCCTCCTGGGTTCAAGCGATTCTCCTGCCTCAGCCTCCCGAGTGGCTGGGATTACAGGTGTGCGCCACCACACCTGGCTAATCTTTGTATATTTAGTAGAGATGGGGTTTCGCCATATTGGCCAGGCTGGTCTCGAACCCCTGACCTCAGGTGATCCGCCTGCCTCAGCCTCCCAAAGTACTGGGATTACAGGCGTGAGCCACTGTGCCCTGTCTGCCCTTAACTGTTATATCTGTCATGGGACCAACAACCCTGGGAAGGAGAGCCTGGAGAGGAGAAAATGCTTCTCTCCCTTGGTCTCACCTCTTTTTTCCTTGTAAGGGGGATGCTGGGTACCCCCATACTCTTGCAGCCATGGCAGGCACCTGGGGAGGGCTGAGAGGAAGAGATTGAGGGGCCACTCTTCCCAGACATAAATGACATGTGAATGCAGGCCTGGGAAGACTGAGTTCTGAGGGTGTGGGAAGGTGAGAAGCCAGGGCTGTTGAGTTCAGAGAAGGAAGAGCTTGCAGGAGGCAGGGGCTGCAGAGGAAAATCACCAGTCTGCGCATGAAAAGTCCCAGTTCAATTACTGGCTGGGCTCTGCCACTTCCTGTGTGTGCCTGCTTGGGCAAGATGGCCACACACTCTAGGCTTCAGTTTCCCCCTCTGTCAAACGAGGCCTATGCTCCCAGCCTTGCCCACCATCTGTCCCAAAATGAACTTGGGGCCGGGCGCGGTGGCTCATGCCTGTAATCCCAGCACTTTGGGAGGCCAACGTGGGTGGATCACCTGAGGTCAGCGGTTCGAGACCAGCCTGGACAACATGGCCCTGTCTATACTTAAAAAAAAAAAAAAAAAAAAAAAAAGAATTAACCAGGTGTGGTGGCGGGTGCCTATAATCCCAGCTACTAGGGAGGCTGAGGCAGGAAAATCACTTGAACCCGAGAAGCGGAGGTTGCAGTGAGCCGAGATCACGCCATTGCACTCCAGCCTGGGCGACAGAGGGGGACTCAGTCTTAAAAAAAAAAAAAAAGACGAACTTGGAAGTGGTCATGTGTCCAAGCCCCCCCAGCTGAGTTGGGAGCCAGACAGACCTCCGCCCCTCCCTTCAGAGCTCCAGCACTTCCCAGTGTGTGACCTTGATCAAGGCCTGAAGCCTCTCTGTGTTTGTTGGCTCAACTGCCAGTTGAGGACGATGCTTATGGCAGCTGGAGAGGACTTGCCGTGACCACTATGCATCTAAAACAGCCCTGCCACCGAAGAGCTCTGCGATCTCAGACAAGTTACTCAACTTCTCTGTGCCTCAGTTTCATCATCTAGAACGTGAGGGAAATAATACAAATGCATACAACTGCTTAAAGGATTCAGTGAGTTACTGTGTGTAAAGCACTTAGAACAGGGCCTGGCCTGTGGTAAGACTCACAGGTTTTAGCTGTTATTAGTAGCACAAGGCCTGACCCACAGGAAGTTCTCCAGACACATCAGTTGTCATAAAGAAATGCAAGGGAAAAAAAGAATTAGCTGGGTTGGTGGCACATACCTGTGGTCCTAGCTACTCGGGAGGCTGAAGTGAGAGGATTGCTTGAGCCTGTGAGTTCGAGGCTGCAGTGAGCTATGATTACACTCCTGCACTCCAGACTCGGTGACAGAATGAGACTCTGTCTCCCCGCTCCCCCTGCAAAAAAAGGCAAAGGAGAGCCATGCAGGGAGAAGAGGATGGAGTCATAAGTCAGAGCAGAGTTCAGGCCAGAGGCAGAAATCTCAGGGGCCTGGCCAGTCAGGCCCTGGGCCAGGGTGTGCGCAGCCTCAGAGGCGAGGACCACTGGGTGGGACTCAGGTCCCAGGCCAGCTTGGTGGGGTGGGCTCTACCCCAAGTGCTGCTTGTATTCAGAGCCCTCTCCTTGCACAGCGGCAGGCACCTCTGGCCGGCTCATCAGCCTCCCTGGGATGAGGACGCAGACATACTGAGCCCCAGGACAGGCCCTGCCCAGGGTCTGAGAGGGGAGGCAGACCCTGGGCCGACACGCCTGGTCCTCCAGTGGCCCCCAGCTCCCAGGCTAATATGGGACCCCATTCCTGTCCCAGCACCCTCAGCTGGCTGCCTCCATGGGGGCTCAGTCACTCCTGACTGTCATGTCCTGTCCACTGCCCAGGCGAGTGCACCGTTTACTCCTCAGAAAGAGGACACACCTGGAACACATGTCCACTCGCTGCTCATATTTTTATGTATTGGTTGATTTGTACAAAAGAATCTACGGGCCGGATGCGGTGGCTCATGCCTGCAATCCCAGCACTTTGGGAGGTCGAGGAGGGTGGATCATTTGAGGTCAGGAGTTCGAGGCCAGCCTGGCCAACATGGCGAAACCCTGTCTCTATCAAAAATACAAAAATTAGCCGGGTGTGGTGTCTCATGCCTGTAATCCCAGCTACTCAAGAGGCTGAGGCAGGAGAATCACTTGAACCCGGGAGTCGGAGGTTGCTTTGAGCCAAGATCCCACCACCGCACTCCAGTCTGGGTGACAGGTGAGACTCCGTCTGAAAAAAAAAAAAAAAATCTATGAACCATATATGTTTCTGCTGCCCCCCTACCTTGCTTCCTCTGCCTCAGTTCTGGTTTGGGGTCCCAACAGGCTGCCTGCAGGACTCACTCCCTAATTCCCATGGCTCCATGTTCCTTTTCTCTTTCTTGAGACAGGGTTTTGCTCTGTCACCCAGGCTGGAGTGCAGTGGCACAGCCTCGACCTGCTGTGCTCCAGTGATCCTTCCGCCTTAGCCTCTCCAGTAGCTAGGTCCACAGGCATGCACCACCATGCCAGGCTAAATGTTTTATTTTTTGTAGAGATGTGGGTCTTACTATGTTGCCCAGGCAGGTCTTAAACTCTTGGGCTCAAGTGATCCTCCTGCCTTGCCCTCCCAAAGTGCTGGGATTACAGGTGTAAGCCACTGTGCCTGGCAAGAATTTTTCTTTTTCTTTCTTTCTTTTTTTGAGGCCGTGTGTCCCTCTGTCACCCAGGCTGGAGTGCAGTGGCACAATCATAGCTCACTGCAGCCTCGACCTCCTGGGCTTAAGCGGTAAGAATCTTGATTATTATTTACTTTGAGCTCCTAGATCCAACCATTTCTGAAGCAATTACTTCTGAAATGTTCAGTTTCATGAGTCAATCCTGAGTTTTTGTTAAGTCAGTTCGATCTGTTTCTGCCACTTGCACCACATGTTCCCCCCATTTTGATCTACTCTTCCAAATTAATTTTCTAATGTTAAAAATCAGACTAGATAGGCTGAACACAGTGCTCATGCCTGTAATCCCAGCACTTTGGGAGGCCAAGGCAGGCAGATTGCTTGAGGCCAGGAGTTCAAGACCAGCCTGGCTAACATAGTGAAGCCCTGTCTCTACTAAAAATATAAAAATAATTAGCTAGGTATAGTGGGCACCTGTAATTCCAGCTACTCAGGAGGCTGAGGCATGAGAATAGCTTGAACTGGGAGGCGGAGGTTGCAGTAAGCCGAGATTGCACCACTACACTCTAGCCTGGGCGACTCAGCAAGACTCTGTCTCCAAAAAAAAAAAAAAAAAAAAAAAAAAAAAATCACACTAGATAAAGAAATCACGGCCGGGCACAGTGGCTCACACCTGTAATCCCAGCAATTTGGGAGGCTGAGGCGGGTGGATCACTTGAGGTCAGGAGTTCAAGACCAGCCTGGCCAACATGGTAAAACCCCGTCTCTTCAAAGAAAAAAATAAAATAAAACACACAATTAGCTGGGTGTGGTGGCATGAGCCTATAGTCCCAGCTACTCAGGAGGCTGAGGCAAGAGAATCACTTGAACCCGGGAGGTGGAGGTTGCAGTGAGCCAAGATCATGCCATTGCACTCCAGCCTGGGTAACAGAGCGAGACTTCATTTAAAAAAAAAAAAATGACAAAGTCAAACAGTATATTACTGTGGAAAGAGTCTTGTGTCAGAAGCCAGCAGCAAGGGCAATTTAGATTTAAAAAAAGTGTCAATATTTCAGCCAATATTTACTGAGCACCAAGTCAGTACGCCCCAGCCATTGTTCTAGGCATTGGAGATACAGAGGTAAATGAAGCTGATACAAAGCTCTGTGTGTTTATATTGAATAAAATAAAATAACCACTAAAATAGAATCAGATGCTTATATGTGCCAGGCACTTCTCAACTATTGGCTTATTTAATCCTCACAATAGGCCAGGCATGGTAGCTCATGCCTGTAATCCCAGTGCTTTGGAAGGCTGAGGCGGGAGGATCACTTGAGATCAGGAGTTTGAGACCAGCCTGGCCAACATGGCAAAACCCCATCTCTACTAAAAATACAAAAAAATTAGCCGGGCATGGTGGCGGGTGCCTGTAATCGCAGCTACTCGGAAGGCTGAGGCAGGAGAATTGCTTGAACCCAGGAGAAAGAGGTTGCAGTGAGCTGAGATTGTGCCAATGCACTCCAGCCTGGGCAACAGAGTGAGACTCTATCTCAAAAAATAATAACAAATAAATAAATAATAAAATCCTCACAATAGGTTATCTATTATCTAGGTTATTGCATGTTTTACCTACAAGTAATATTATTGTTCATGTTTTTAAAATATTTTATTAATTGTATTTTATTGTACTATGTTTTATTGTATTATTTTATTGTTTCCTGAGGCTGAAGCTGGGGCTGGGGCCAGGGCTGGGGCTGGTTATGTTCATTTTATACAAAAGATGAAACAGGCCCAGAGAGGTTAAGTGACCTGCCCATGGTCACAGAGCTAGACTTCAATTCCAGGCAGTGTGGCTTTCTTTCTCTTTTTTTTTTTTTGAGACAGAGTCTCACTCTGTCGCCCAGGCTGGAGTGCAGTGGTGCAATCACGGCTCACTACAACCTCCACCTCCTGGGTTCAAGCGATTCTCCTGCCTCAGTCTCCTGAGTAACTGGGATTACAGGTGCGCGCCACCACACCCGGTTAATTTTTCTATTTTTAGTAGAGACAGGGTTTCACCATGTTGGTCAGGCTGGTCTCCAACTCCTGACCTCGTGATCCACCTGCCTCGACCTCCCACAGTGCTGGCATTACCGGCGTGAGCCACCACGCCTGGCCAGCTTTCTTAACTACTATATGATGCTGCCTGGTGTGGCAGCCAGCATTTACTGACCCTCCCCTGTATGCCAGACACTCTTCTAGCAGCTTTACATGCAAAACTCATGTACAGTAGTTCCCCTCATCCGAGGTTTCATTCTCTTCAGTTTGAGTTATGCTTGGTCAAGTGTGGTCCCAAAATAGGTGAGTCCACGAGTTTCAAGTCAGGGCTAAGTTAAAGATAGGTGAATACATTACAATAAGATATTTTGCCAGGCGCAGTGGCTCACACCTGTAATCCCAGCACTTTGGGAGGCCAAGGCGGGGGGATCACGAGGTCAGGAGATCGAGACCATCCTGGCTAACACGGTGAAACCCCGTCTCTACTAAAAATACTAAAAAATTAGCTGGGCATGGTGGCGGGCGCCTGTAGTCCCAGCTACTAGGGAGGCTAAGGCAGGAGAATGGCGTGAACCTGGGAAGCGGAGCTTGCAGTGAGCTGAGATCGCACCACTGCACTACAGCCTGGGCGACAAAGCGAGACTCCGTCTAAAAAAAAAAAAAGATATTTTGAGAGAGAGAGAGGGAGAAAGAGAAACTACATTTACATAACTTTTATTACAGTATATTGTCGTCCTATTTTATTATTACTTATTATTGTTAATCTCTTACTGTACATAATTTATACATTAAATTTTCCCATAGGGGCCGGGTGCAGTGGCTCTCACCTGTAATCCCAGCACTTTGGGAGGCCTAGGTGGGTGGATCACCTGAGGTCAAGAGCTCGAGACCAGCCTGGCCAATACGGTGAAACCTCGTCTCTACTAAAAATACAAAAATTAGCCTGGCGTGGTGGCAGACACCTGTAATCACAACTACTCGGGAGGCTGAGACAGGAGAATCGCTGGAACCCAGGAGGAGGAGGTTGCAGTGAGCCGAGATTTCACCACTGCACTCCAGCCTGGGCGACAAAGCAAGGCTCCGTCTCAAAAAAAAAAAAAAAATCCCATGGGCATATATGTATAGGAGAAAACAGTATATACAGGGTTCGGGACTATCTGTGGTTTCAGGCATCCACTGCGGGGGTCTTAGAACATGTGCCCCATGGATAACAAGAGGCTACTCAGACAATCTATTTTACAGATGAAGAAACTGAGATTAAACAAGTGACAGAACTGAAATTTTTTTTTATAGAGATGGGGTCTCACTGTTGCCCAGGCTGGTCTTGAACCCCTGGGCTCAAGTGATCCACCCTCCTTGGCCTCCCAAAGTGCTGGGATTACCAGCGTGAGCCACTGCGCCTGGCCCAGAACTGAACTTTTTTTTTTTTTTTCTTTTTTTCTGAGACAGAGTCTTGCTCTGTCGCCCAGGCTGGAGTGCAATGGCGCAATCTTGGCTCACTGCAACCTCTGCCTCCTGGGTTCAAGCAATTCTCCTACCTCAGCCTCCCAAGTAGCTGGGATTACAGGCATATGCCACCATGCCCTGCCAATTTTTGTATTTTTAGTAGAGATGGGGTTTCACCATGTTGGCCAGGCTGGTCTCGAACTCCTGACCTAGTGATCTGCCCTTCTTGGCCTCCCAAAGTGCTGGGATTACAGGCATGAGCCACCACGCCCGGTCAACTTTTTTTTTTTTTTTTTGAGACACAGTCTCGCTTTGTTGCCCAGACTGCAGTTCAGTGGCGTGGTCTCGGCTCATTGAAACCTCCACCTCCCGGGTTCAAACAATTCTCCCTGCCTTAGCCTCCCGAGTAGCTGGGATTACAGGCACCCGTCACTACGCCCAGCTAATTTTTGTATTTTTTTTTTTTTTAGTAGAGATGGGGTTTCACCATGTTGGCCAGGCTGGTCTTGAACTCCTGACTTCAGGTGATCTGCCTGCCTTGGCCACCCAAAGTGCTAAGATTACAGGCGCGAGCCACCGCACCCAGCCCAGAACTGAAACTTGAACCAAAGCAGCCTGGCTCAAGTGTCCACATACTTAACCACTAGTCCATACTGCCTGTAATGGATGAACAAGAGAATGAAGAGAGGGCAGGGCCGGGCCCAGTGGTTTACACCTGTAATCCCAGCACTTTGGGACGCCACAGCAGGCAGATCACTTGAGGTCAGGAGTTCGAGACCAACCTGGCCAACATAGTGAAACTCTGTCTCTACTCAAAATACAAAAATTAGCAGGGTGTGGTGGCAGACACCTGTAATCCCAGCTACGCTGGAGGCTGAGGGAGGAATGCTTGAACCTGGGAAGCGGAGGTTGCAGTGAGCCGAGATTGCGCCACTGCACTCAAGCCTGGGCCACAGATCGAGACTCTGTCTCCAAAAAAGAAAAGAAAAGAAAAGAACAGATCCTATGCATATCCATTCTGAGAGCACAATGGAGCCTACTGGCCCCACCTCCCACACCTTGACCCAGTGGCTGGACCTGTCCGTGTTCCCAGCACGGAGAGTCTTGCTGTGATGACAACAGTGTGCAATGGATGTCAAAAGCAGGCAAGAGACCAGAGGTGGTGGCTCATGCCTGTAATCCCAGCACTTTGGGAGGCTGAGAAATGTGGATCATCGGAGGTCAGGAGTTTGAGACCAGCCTGGCCAACATAGTGAAACCCCGTCTCTGCTAAAAAATACAAAAATTAGCTTGGTGTAGTGGTGCATACCTGTAATCCCATCTACTCGGGCGGCTGAGGGAGGAGAATTGCTTTAACCTGGGAGGCAGAGGTTGTAGTGAGCTGAGATCGTGCCACTGCTCTCCAACCTGGGTGACAGAGCGAGACTCTGTCTCAAATTGGAAAAAAAAAAAAGAAAAGTTAAAAAGGCAGGCAAGGAACGGAGAGACAACGAGAGGGTAAAAGGGAAGAGTTGGGTGTGGTGGCACGCGCCTGTGGTCCCAGCTACAGTGACTCAGGAGGCTGAGACAGGAGAATCACTTGAACACAGGAGGTGGAGGTTGCAGTGAGTCAAGATCATGCCACTGCACTCTGACCTGGGCAACAGAGCAAGACTCCATCTCAAAAAAATACAACAAAACAAAACAAAACAAAAATAATGAATAAATAAATATAAATGACAGGGTGAAAGAAAAGGTGTGGGAGTCAGGAAGTCTCCCAACCGCCTGGGACTCCACGCATTCCCCACCAGAAATCTCATAGCCGTTCCCCTAATTCTCCTATTGCTCTGGTAATTCAGGGGTAGGAATATGCATTCCAAGCTTTCTCAGTAAATGTCAGGACGTTCTTAGAACCTAGCTGTCAGAAAGGGAGGTGGGGCAGGGGTCAGAGTTCACAGCCACATCAAGCTTCCCCAGTGCACTTCTTTGACCCTCATCCTGGCTCACACCCACCTCTGCAGGTGATGCAGCTTGTGGGTAAACTGTTCCTGCTCACCAGGCGTCTGCCATGCAGAGCTAGTTGGTCAGGACATCAACGTCTTCACCACCATCGTTGCTGGTCTGAGCCTCAGAAGACTACAGTCCCACTTGGTACTGAAGGAGAATAGAGCAGGCCCAGCTAACTCAAATAGCAGCAGCAAAGTTATATCGACCACCCCCGTCACTCTGTTCTCATTTAAAGAGGAAGCAGGCAGGCGCGGTGCCTCACGCCTGTAATCCCAGCACTTTGGGAGGCCAAGGTGAGCGAATCCCTTGAGGCCGGAGTTCAAGACCAGCCTGGCCAACATAGCAAAACCCTGTTTCTACTAAAAATACAAAAAATTAGCTGGACGTGGTGGTGCATGCCTGTAGTGACAGCTACTCAGGAGGCTGAGGCAGGAGAATTGCTTGAACCTGGGAGGTGGAGGCTGCAGTGAGGTGAGATTGCACCACTACACTCCAGCCTGGGCGACAGAGTGAGACCCTATCTCAAACAAAACAAAACAAAATAAAACAAGGGGAAGCAGATATAGACACAAACTACCCTAAAATAGGTGGGACTGTAGCAAGAGGTGCAAAGGGTATAAGCTCTGGGTAAGGAGAGAGTCATTCTTATGAGGAGATGTGGCAGGTGAGCCTCCTCTGCCTGTAGGCAGCCATGCGCGATGCCGCTCATACAAACTTGCTGTCTTTCACTGTCCACTCGAGGGAAGCTAAGAACCCTCCTGAGCTGAGGGCTTTGCTTGAATCATCCTGGTGACTACAAAGGGACGAACAGGATACAGGGGTCTTCGCTCATTGCAGATGGGAGCTGGGGAGCTGTAATTCTAGGGCTGTTATTGCTGGAGAGCTGTGCTGGACCTAAGGGCTCTTTTCAGAGCGGTTATCTTTCCTGGAGACCAACAAGCCATGGGAACCCTGGGAAAACCTTTACCAGGACCCCAAATTAAAGGCCATCGGCACCATTTGGCGTCCATGGACAGGTGAGCCTCAGATCTGCCACCTCTCGAGATCTGGTGAACCAGGACATGAAAACAGGGCCCCTGGCTTGGTGGCCAGTTCATTGTCCCCATGCCCAGGATGGGAGCACACCTCGCTGGCTACATCCTCATTCTCCCTCCCTTTTCTCTCTCTCATTCTCAATCTCTCTCTCTCTTTTTTTTTTTTTTTTTTTTTTTTTTAGAGACAGGGTCTTGCTCTGTGGCCCAGGCTGGAGTGCAGCGGCATGATCTCGGCTCACTGCAGCCTCAATGTCCCAGGCTCAAGAGATCCTCCCACCTCAGCCTCCTGAGTAGCTGGGACTACAGGTTCATGCCACCATGCCTGGCTATTTTTTTATTTTTTTAGAGATGGGGGTCTCACTATGTTGCCCAGGCTGGCCTTGAACTCCTGGGCTCAAGCGATCCTCCCGTCTCTGCCTCCCACAGTACTGGGATTACAGGCCTGAGCCTCTGTACCAGCTCCATCACCCCTTCCCTCAGATGTTTTTCTCTGTAGTTTCTAATAACCGAGTGATTGCACTTTTCCTGCTCTTAGTGCAGAAATGCATGCTTATACTTATTTCGTGCCTTTGTAGTCTGCTTCGGCTATTTGGGCAATTGTTTCTATTTTATGTTAGGCAGGATACTTTCAATCTTTTTTTTTTTTTTTTTAATTGAGATGGAGTTTCGCTCTTGTCGCCTAGGCTGGAGTGCAATGGTGGGATCTTGGCTTACTGCAACCTTCGCCACCCAGGTTCAAGTGATTCTCCTGCCTCAGCCTCCTAGTAGCTGGGATTACAGGCACCTGCCACCACACCTGGCTAATTTTTGTATTTTTAGTAGAGACGGGGTTTCACCATGTGGGCCAGGCTGGTCTCAAACTCCTGACCTCAGGTGATCCACCCAAACTGCTGGGACTACAGCGCGACCCACTGCGCACGGCCCTGTTTTGAATCTTTTGTTGTTTTGAGAGGTCCCGCACTGGGGTGACTCTTGGACCCCAGAGTCATGTGTTTCCTGCTAGACTGTGGGCTGGAGTCCCACCCTAGGGGGACATTGTGGGCTAGAGTCCTATTGTGACTGTTGGCTGCACCCTTCCCCCCACCTTCCTGCTCTGGGGGTTTTCCAGACCCTCGGTGGCTGAAACCTAAATGCTCCGAATTCGTTGGCATCTCTGTATGCTCTGTTAGCGTCTTTTTTGGTCATCTTTGTCATCCTTCTTTTGCCCAACACCATAACGCTGTCTTTGCTTTTCGTGGAACTCAGACTATAAGTCCTGTCCCCTATTTTCACCTCTCCTTCCTATTTTCACTGCTCCATCTGTACTTTGCTTATGAAAACATCTCTTTGATTGCATTCCGTTTGCTGGTCATGTCTCATAAGTCACTTTGGTTGCACCTTGCTGGCTATACTCACTCCCTCTTTGCAAGAATTGGTGGCGATTGCCCTGCTGAGCTTTCTTAAGGAAAAAGAAAGGTGGCAATTTGAATGGGAAAATAACTGTGCTCTAGCTAGACTTAGAAAACCCTCTGTGTCTAGTAGAGATCCTTGGTGTTTTTTTCTATTTTTATTAGATAAGGTCTCGTTATGTTGCCCAGGCAGGTCTCGAACTCCTGGCCTCAAGTGATCCTCCCACCTCGGCCTCCCAAAGTGCTACGATTACAGGCATGAGCCACTGCGCCCAGCCTAGTAGTAGAGTAGAGAACCTTGTTAGACAGGGGAACAAGAATGAAGGACCTGCCACCCAAGTGCCTTTTAGGCAATTGGAGCAGATTCCTTCATGACCCCTTCCTAGCTGCTTCCCCTAGGACACCCATGCCTGCCTCCCACCCCGACTCCCTGCCTCCTCAGTTCCCTGATTCTCAAGAGGGTTCCTCCAGTCCTCTAGTGCAGGATTCTACACCAGGTCATCAGACACCCCTCCTTATCCAACGAGCCCCAGCCTATAACCCCTGCTTCTGGAGGAAGTAAATTTAACCAGTACCACCAGGAGTGGGACCCCATATCAGCCCCTGAGGTTGAACCTATGTCCATTGAGGGAGGTAGCTAACAGAACTGGGAGGACACTCAGAGTACATGTGCCTTTTTTAAAATGTCTGATTTGGCTTTCTGCCAGGAGAAATTTGGCCAGGTTTTGGAGGATCCAGGGAAGTTTATAGAGGCGTTTGCTAAGCCGACCATGTCCTTTGACTTAACTTGGCATGACTTGCAAATATTGTTTGCAAGTAGGTCACTCCTGACCTCAAGTGATCTGCCAGGCTCGGTCTCCCAAAGTGCTGGGATTACAGGCATGACCCACCATGCCTGACCTGGGACTTGTTTAATAGAAGGTATGAGGCTGGGCACAGTGGCTCATGCCTGTAATCCCAGCACTTTGGGAGGCTGAGGCAGGAGGATCGCTTGAGGCCAGGAGTGTGAGACCGGCCTGGGTAATATAGGGAGAACTTATCTCTGCAAAATAAAAAATAAGAAATCCAGCTGGGCATGGTGGCTCACGCCTGTAATCCCAGCACTTTGGAAGGCTGAGGCAGGTGGATCACCTGAGGTCAGGAGTTCGAGACCAGCCTGGCCAACATAGTGAAACCCCATCTCTACTAAAAATACAAAAATTAGCTGGGTGTGGTAGTGCACGCCTGTAATCCCAGCTACTTGGGAAGCTGAGGCAGGAGACTCCCTTGAACCCAGGAAGCAGAGGTTGCAGTGAGCCAAGATCGTGCCACTGCAGTCCAGCCTGAGTAACAGAGTAAGACTCCGTCTCAAAAAAAAAAAAAAACAGGATGTTGCAAAGAAGCCAGCTCAAACCAGCTAGGACTAGGAATCATAATACATTTGCATAAGACACTTCCACCAGCACCATGACAATTTACAAGTCCCATGGCAATAAACCCAAAAGGTACCTTATATGGTTCCAGGAAAACCCTGCCCCCTTTCCAGAAAGTTTGTGAATAGCCCGCCTCTTAATTAGCATGTGATTAGAAGGACGTATCAGTAGAGCCTCAGTAGAGCCAGCAAGCGATCAGGGAGTGCCCTCTGCCTGTGGGACAGCCCTGCTCTGTCTGTGGAACAGCCATCTTGTTGTACACTGTTGCACAAATAAACCTGCTTGCTTTCACTGTCCGCTCACTCTTGAATTCTTTCCTCCGTGAAGCCCAGAACCCTCCTGAGCTGAGCCCTGATTTTGGGGTTCTCTTGCATCCTCACTGATGGCTGATCCTCCAGGAGGCCTTTCCTGGTCATCTGACAAAGATTCCCTCCTTGGCCAAGCTAGCCAGACACCAACATAGTTTTTTTTGTATTTTTATTTTGGGGCCAGGTTATGATGTAGCAGGACAAGCCACAGACAAAACTCATCAGACACCGGATTAAAGAAGGAAGAGGTTTATTCGGCTGGGAGCGTCAGCAGACTTGCGTCTTAAGAGCCGAGCTCCCTGAAAAAGAAATTCTTGGCCTTTTTAAAGGCTTACAACTCTAAGGGGTCCACGTGAAAAGGTCGTGATAAATCGAGTAAGCGGGGAACGTGACTGGGGGCTACATGTATCAGCTAACAGAACAGAAAGCTTTGCAATGCTTTTTCATACAATGTCTGGAATTTACAGATAGCACAAGTAGTTTAGGTCAGGGGTTGATGTTATTGTTATTACTTTTTTAACTCCTAGGGCCGGGTGGTGGTGCCAAGTTTGTCTGGCTATTTATCTTACTTTTGTTTCTTTTTAACTTTTTGCTTTTTTTCTTTCCTCCTGTCTTGTAAACTAGGCAAGGTGGGGGGAGAAGGACAGCAGGAGTAGTAGTGGTCTCCTTCCTTATTCCCCCTTATTAAAAAAGTAATAATAATAACATCAACCCCTGACCTAAACTACTTGTGCTATCCGTAAATTCCAGACATTGTATGAAAAAGCATTGCAAAGCTTTCTGTTCTGTTAGCTGATACATGTAGCCCCCAGTCACGTTCCCCGCTTGCTCGATTTATCACGACCTTTTCACGTGGACCCCTTAGAGTTGTAAGCCTTTAAAAAGGCCAAGAATTTCTTTTTCAGGGAGCTCGGCTCTTAAGACGCAAGTCTGCCGACACTCCTGGCTGAATAAACCTCTTCCTTCTTTAATCCAGTGTCTGAGGAGTTTTGTCTGTGGCTCGTCCTGCTACAATGAGACTGGCTAATTTTTGCATTTTTTGTAGAGACGGGGTTTCACCATGTTGCCAGCCTGGTCTCGAACTCCTGGGCTCAAGCAATCTGCCCATCTTGGCCTCCCTAAGTTCTGGGATTACAGGCATGAGCCACTGTGCCCTGCCAAACACCGACATAGTTTCTAATAGCTCAAGGTCTCATCCCTGGAATGACCCTCTAAAAGTGCCTGCCTGAGAAAACTCAAGCCTGCCAAAAGAACTTACTGTTTGTTCCAGCCAACACCTGAGGATAGGGCCCCATCTCCCAGCTCCTGTGGGAGAGTAAGAGCTCAACATCGCTGTTGATAAGCACCAGTTAGCAAGCCCAGATGGGTTTCACCTGGGCCAACCCCTCCCCTCTTCATGTGTTTTGTAATTTTTCACTGCCTTGACTTTACTGAACCCCTGCTCCTCACCCCCACTCCCATTCCCTCATTCTCTGTACAAATAGGAGTTCAGTTCACACTGGACTCTGTTCCCTATTGCAACAGTATATTACAGATTAAGATCTGTCCTTGTGACTTTAACTGCTGTCTGGCTTTGTTTCCCTCTTTCGCCCTCTTTTTTGGTTTTTGGTGTTTTTCTTTTAGAGATAGGGTCTCGCTTCTATCTCTAAATCTCTGGGTCCAGTCGCCCAGGCTGGAGTGCAGTGGTGCAGTCATAGCTCACTTCAGCCTCAATCTCCTGGGCTCAAGCGATCCTCCCACCTTAGCCTCCCGAGTAGCTGAGACTACAGGTGCGTGACACCATACGTGGATAATTTTCTTTTTTTTTTTTTTTTTTGTAGAGGCGGAGTTTCACCATATTATCCAGGCTGGTCTCAAACTCCTGGCCTCAAGCAATCCTCCCACCACAGGCTCCCAAAGTGCTGGGACTACAAGTGTGAGCCACCACGCCTGGCTCTGCTTATTTTCTTCAAAGTGTTATTAGTCCATAAATATTTATTAAGCACCTACTATGTTCAGGCACTGAGGAGACAATGGTGAAAAAATCAGCCAATAAATAAATAAGTAAAATACATAGCATGCCAGATGGTAATAACCTGCTCTTAAGGAAACAAACAGGAATTTCAGCATGACTGAAACTTCCTTCTGGCCTTTGCTTAAATGCCTCCTCAGTGAAGCATTGCTGAAATTCTTATTTGTTTGTTCACTTATAATTGTTTTTCTGCCCCCACTGGAAGGTAAATTCCATGAGGAAAGGACAGTATGTCTAGTTACCATGGTGTCTGCAGTTTTAGACTATTCCCTGGCATATGGTAGGTACTCAGAAAGTATTTGTCGAGGGAATAAATGATATTTCCCCAAACAGTTAAAGAAATGAACCTTTCTGGCCAGGCGCGGTGGCTCATGCCTGTAATCCCACTTTGGGAGGCTGAGGCAGGCAGATCACCTGAGGTCAGGGGTTCGAGACCAGCCTGGCCAACATGGTAAAACCCCGTCTCTACTAAAAATACAAAATTTAGCTGGGTATGGTGGCACACACCTGTAATCCCAGATACTCAGGAGGCTGAGGCAGGAGAATTGCTTGAACCTGGGAGACAGGGGTTGCAGTGAGCTGAGATCACGCCACTGCACTCCATCCTGGGCAACAGAGCAAGACTCCATCTAAAAAAAAAAAAGAAATGAAACTTTCCGAACTAGTTTCCAGAAAAGAGAACAGGATACAAAGCTGATATGAGAATTCCATGAAGTACTGATTCCATGAAGTGCTGACAAAGAAACATTAATTTTATAATTTAAATGTTTTTGCAGGGCAGTCATGGTGGCTCACACCTGTAATCCCAGCACTTTGGAAGGCCAGGGCAGGAGGATCACTTGAGCCCAGGAGTTCAAGACCAGCCTTGGCAACATAGTGAGACCCACCCCCTACCCATCTCTACACACACACACACACACACACACACACACACTATATATATATATACACACACACACATATACGCACACATATATATACGTATATATGTGTGTGTGTGTGTGTATATACAAAAATTAGGGTGTGGTGACGTGTGCCTGTAGTCCCAGCTACTCAGGAGGCTGAGGTGGGAGGATCACTTGAGACCCTGGAGGTCAAAGCTTCAGTGAGCCGAGATTACACCACTGCACTCCAGCCTGGGCAGCAGAGCAAGAGCCTGTCTCTAGAATAAAACATAAAATAAAAGTAAGTGTTTTGCAAAAGTTGGAGTTCAGTCATGGGAACAAAGGACAGACAGACCAGAGGATGGGGATTATCTTGCGATTCCACAGCAATAACTTCTTTTGTAATCAGAAAAGAAAAGAGAACTTTTGTTTTACAAAAAGAATAAAATGTTTCTCTAATAGTTGACAGAGCCCTGGATGCTGATTCCAGCCACCAAGGAGAGATCGCCTCTGTCAAGGCCGCTGATAGCAGGGCACTCAGGGACTGGGTGCTCTAATCTTGCTCCCCTGGGACTCCCTGAAGGCCACAGAACTCCCTAGAAATCAGGGGCATGGGTATCAGCACACTTAGTTTGCTCTTGGCTCAGCCTCCAACCAGCAGTGAACCCGTGACCCAGGTGTTTTTCCCTAGTGCAGGCTTTGGTAAATATCCAGTGTGATAATAATGGCTGTGGCTAGATTTTTTTTTTTTTTAGGCAGTCTCACTCCCAGGCTGGAGTGCAGTGGCTCAGTGGAGTGCAGTGGAGTGTTCTCGGCTCAGTGCAACCTTTGCCTCCTGGGTTCAAGCAATTCTTGTGCATCAGCCTCCCTAGTAGCTGTGATTATAGGCACGAGCCACCAAGCCTGGCTAATTTTTGTATTTTTAGTAGAGACGGGGTTTCGCTATGTTGACGAAGCTGGTCTTGAACTCCTGACCTCAGGTGATCTGCCCGCCTTGGCCTCCCGAAGTGCTGGGATTACAGGCGTGAGCCACCATCCTGGATAATATTTTTATATACAAACCAAGGTGGAGTTTCTCCTATTCACCTTTCACCGTGTCAAAAGACAAAATGACAACAATTTTGGATATAGATCTAATTGGCTTTTATTTGCAATTCATGAATTGGTACAGCTTTCATTCTACAAAACAGAATCAAGATCTCTCACTGGCCAAGGAAACAGAACAATAGGAAAAAAGCTGATTGGTTAACATGAGGTTCCTTCAGGTGACTTTTTTGTGAGAGTTAAAGCAAAGGGGACCAATATTACACTGACTCAGGTTGACTGGAATCTCCTGTTTTCAGGAAAAACTGGTCTGTTTGGGATCTATCTCCTTCCTTAAAGTTTCAGTTTGATTATGTGACATTTAGCATGAGTAACTACATTTTGGTTTGGTCTTATCTGTTGGGGCCTAAAGTGCAGCAGCTCAACCCAAAACAATGATCTCCCATAATTTTTTTTCTTCTTCTTCTTCTTTTTTTTTTTTTTTGAGACAGAGTCTCAGCTCTGTCACCCAACTGGAGTGCAGTGGTGCGATCTCGGCTCACTGCAACCTCTGTCTCCTGGGTTCAAGCCATTCTTCTGCCTCAGCCTTCCAAGTAGCTGGGATTACAGGCTCGTGCCACCACACTCAACTAATTTTTGTTTTGTTTTGTATTTTTAGTAGAGACGGGGTTTAACCATGTTGGCCAGGCTGGTCTCGAACTCCTGACCTCAGGTGATCTACCCACCTCGGCCTCCCAAAGTGCTGGGATTACAGGTGTGAGCCACCACGCCCTACCCTTCTTCTTCTTTTTTTTTGAGACGGAGTCTTGCTCTGTCACCAGGCTAGAGTGCAGTGGCGCTATCTCAGCTCACTGCAACCTCCGCCTCCCAGGTTCAAGCGATTCTCCTGCCTCAGCCTTCCAAGTAGCTGAGACTACAGGCTGCAGGCAAGTGCCACAATGCCCACCTAATTCTTGTATTTTTAGTAGAGAAGGGAATTCACCATGTTATCCAGGCTGGTCTTGAACCCCTGACCTCAGGTGATCCACCCACCTCGACCTCCCAAAGTGCTGGGATTACAGGTGTGAGCTGCCGTGCCTGGCCTTTTTTTTTTTTTTTTTTGAGATGCAGTTTCCCTCTAGTCGCCCAGGCTGGAGTCAGCTCACTGCAACCTCTGCCTCCTGGGTTCAAGAGATTCTCCTGCCTCAGCCTCCCAAGTAGCTGGGATTACAGGCATGCACCACCACGCCCAGCTAATTTTGTATTTTTAGTAGGGACAAGGGTTCTCCATGTTGGTCAGGCTGGTCTCAAACTCCCGAACTCAGGTGATCCGCCTGCCTCAGCCTCCCAAAGTGCTGAGATTACAGGCATGAGCCACCGCGCCTGGCTGGATGAACTTTAAAAAAAGTTTTAGTTAAGTGTTCCTTTTTTTTTTTTTTTTTGAGACAGGGTCTTGCTCTGTTGTTCAGGCTAGAGTGCAGTGGTGCAATCACAGCTCACTGCAGCCTCAAACTCCTGGGCTCAAACGATCCTCCCACCTAAGCCTCCTGAGTAGCTAGGACTACAGGCACACACCACCACACTGGCTAACTTCGGTATTTCTTTTTACAGTTAATTTCTTTTCCTTTCCTTTTTTTTTTTTTTTTTTTTTTGAGATGGAGTTCCGCTCTTGTCACCCAGGCTGGAGTGCAATGGTTCGATCTTGGCTCACTGCAACCTCTGCCTCCCAGGTTCAGGAAATTCTCCTGCCTCAGCCTCCTGAGTAGCTGGGATTACAGGGGTGTGCCATCACACCCAGCTAATTTTTGTATTTTTAGTAGAGATGGGGTTTCACCATGCTGGTCTCAAACTCCTGACCTCAAGTAATCTACCCACCTCAGCTTCCAAATGTGCTGGGATTACAGGCATGAGCCACCATGCTCAGCCTTTACAGTTAATTTATTTTATTTATTTATTTATTTTTGAGATAGAGTCTTGCTCTGTTGCCCAGGCTGGAGTGCAGTAGCACGATCTCCGCTCACTGCAACCTCTGCCTCCCAGGTTCAAGCGATTCTTCTGTCTCAGCCTCCCTAGTACCTGGGATTACAGCTGCCTGCCACCATGTCCAGCTAAATTTTTTTGTGTTTTTGATAGTGATGGTGTTTCACCATATTGGTCAGGCTGGTGTGAAACTCCTGACCTCAGATAATCCACCCTCCTCAGCCTCCCAAAGTGCTGGGATTACAGGCGTGAACTGCTGTGTCTGGCCTACAATTAATTTCTAATTATGACATATGACCATGGTTTTCCATTGTTGGTGGTTATATGCTGTAGCTTCCTTTTTAAGTATATTTGAGTGAAAAGGATAAGGAGGTAGTTTTTTTTTCTTTTTTTGAGACAGAGTCTTGCTCTGTTGCCCAGGCTGGAGTGCAACGGAACGATCTTGGCTCACTGCAACCTCTGCCTCCCGAGTTTAAGCAATTCTCCTGCCTCAGCCTCCTGAGTAGCTGGGATTACAGGTACCCACCACTGCGCCTGGCTGATTTTTGTATTTTTAGTAGAGATGGGGTTTCCCCACGTTGGCCAGGCTGGTTTCGAACTCCTGATCTCAGGTGATCTGCCCGCCTTGGCCTCCCAAAGTGCTGGGATTACAGGCGTGAGCCACTGTGACTGGCAGGAGGTAGTTTTTAAATGCTAAGTAAATATAGCATAATATATATAGTATAGTTTGAATGTATAGACAGCAGAAATCAATCACAAAAGTGCTATGGGAAAGATGAAGTTGGGAAAACCCTAAGGTAGATTATCAATAGTGGTAGCTGGAACTATTACTGTCATTAGCATTAACTTTAGGGGATTTTAGTTAAAAAATCAATTTTGGGGCTGGGCACGGTGGCTCATGCCTGTAATCCCACCACTTTTGGAAGGCCGAGGCAGGAGGATCACTTGAGGACAGGAGTTTGAAACCAGCCTTGGCATCATAGCAGCGAGACTTCATCTCTACGAAAAATTTAAAAATTAGCCCAGGAGGTCAAGGCTGCAGTGATTGCACCACTCCACCCCAGCCTGGGTGATAGACTGAAACCCTGTCTCAAAAAGGAGAAAACTGAGGGTGATTCTGAAATTTAAAAATGTACTCCTGTATCTGTGAGCTGGCCTTTGAGAAAGGGGAAGGTGGAAGAGAATCAGGTTGCTTGCAGAACAGACAGACAACCCCATGGTGAGTTTCTCAGTTCTCTGCAAGGAGTCGGGAGTCCTTTGAGTTACAGAAGCCTGACAGGGCCAATTCTGTAAGCCCCTGGGGTAGGACAGAGGTCAGTGATTTCTCTAGTTCTCAGGGGGATCCCCCCAAAATGGGGAAACAGACATGCAACCAGAAGAAAAAGAAAGGGTTTAGGAAAGGGGATGGAGACAGAAGAGGAAGAGTCTGGGTAGGATCCTTTCGGATCCAAAAATTCTGCAATTCCAAGAATTGCCTTAATTCCCAGAACAGCCACTTAAAGGCCTCTCAGGCAGAGGCTGTGCCAGGCGAGGGCGAGGCCAGGAAAGGCCAATCAGAGGCCAGGAGGGAGGGGCAGTGTGTGAGGACTCCTGGCTGGTGTCAAAGGACCCAGGACAGGGAGTGGCCATTCCAGCTAGGGACACAGTGCTTCCCAGCCTTCATTTTCTCTTTTGACAGAAGAGAGGCCAGTCTCACCATTTGACAGGTGAGGAAACCCAGGCCCAGAGGAGTAATTGACCAGAAATTAACGAGAGTTTAGGATTCTTCATTGTCAATACATGGTTCTTCCCAGGCATGTAGCAAAGGGGGAAAAATCCAGGCTTTAAAATTCAGATAGACCTGAGTTCATAATTCCAAGTCCTACAGGATGTGGCTGTGTGACTTTAGGCAAATTACTTAATGTCTCCGAACCTCAGTTTTCCGGTCTGAAAAAAAGGGGATCATTAATAGTATGTCCTATTGGGTTATCGTAAGGATTAAATGGAGCAAAGCCTATAAAACACTTCTCACAGAATAGGAGCTCCAAACACAGCAGAGATGTTTCCAGGATTTTCTGAAGCCAACACACCAGGTCTGTGCTGGGCTGAGGGCCGACTGCCTGGTGTTGCTCCTGCCATTTGCTCCCTGGGTTCTAGAGCTGATGGTGGCCCTATTCCTGGTTCCAGTCATATCAGGATTCTATTTGTCCCTCTCAGCAGCACAGGCCTCCAGCAGCATCCTGGTAACTCAGAAGGCATCCAATAAGCATTGATTGAGTTAATATGTAACTTGTATGGAAAGAGGAGTTGGAGGCAAAATCTGAAGGATTTCCAAGGTAGACTGTAAGATTCTGGGCCCAGGCTTCCGTGTGATCCCAGAGGAGGGTCGGCCTGGGGTGGAGGTCAGGAGATGGGTGGAGGATTGCAAGTTAAGGAAAACTTTGGTTTTTGTTTTTTTGAGACAGGTCTCACTCTGACGCCCAGGCTGGAGTGAGATCATGGCTCACTGCAGCCTCCACCTCCCAGACTCAAGAGATCCTCTCACCTCAGCCTCCTGAGTAGGTGGGCCCACAGGCACAAGCCACCACACCTGGCTAATTTTTAATTTTTTGTAGAGAGAGGGTCTTGCTGTGTTGCTAGGCTGGCCTAGAACTCCTGGGCCCAAGCAATCCTCCCACCTCGGCCTCCCAAAGTGCTGGGATTGCAGGTATGAGCTTCTGCACGCAGCCATCAGGGAGGAAGAGAAGGAAACATCTAAGCTGAGCCTCATGAGATGGGGTCGGGGGAGGAATTAAAGTCATCTCAGACAGAAAGGACCAGAAAAACAGAAGCTTATTTAAGGGCAGGTATGAGAGACAGATTTCAGCCCACATGAACAGACTTGCCCTGAGATAGAATTAGGCAACCTTTGCCGGGTGGTGTGGCTCAAGCCTGTAATCCCAACACTTTGGGAGGCCAAGGCAGGCAGATCACCTGAGGTCGGGAGTTTGAGACCAGCCTGGGCAACATGGTGAAACCCCGTCTCTACTAAAAATACAAAAATTAGCCAGGTGTGGTGGCCCACACCTGTAGTCCCAGCTACTAGGGAGGCTGAGGCATGAAAATCGCTTGAACCCAGGAAGCGGAGGTTGCAGTGGGTCGAGATCACACCACTGCACTCCAGCCTGGGCGACAGAGAGAGACTCCATCTCCCAAAACAAAACAAAAAAATTCAGCAACCTTTAAATGTAGCAAGTTCCCCCTCCATAGTGGTATTCAAACAAGCAGAGGCAATCCCACTGTTGCGTGGGGAGAGTTGGGCCAGAGGTCCTTAAATGTCCTTCCGGGTCATGGATTCATTCTGTGGCTGTGATTAGGCTGGACTCAAGGGAAGGGGATGGATACAGGTCCCCAAGGGTTCAAGCTGGTCGTAGTCTGACGTGCATCTGTTCCTGCTCTATCAGGTACTTCGGTCTTCTGTGGATGTCCTTGGGTCCCCATGAACCACTGACTCCAAGTTCTGCAGTGTGGGGCTTATGTGAAAGGGACAGGGGAAAAGGAAACAGGCTCTGCCCGGGGCCCAATCTCAGAGTTTTCTCCCCCGACATCTGTTGAGTCTGCATGTGGGCAATGTTTCTTGCTAGCTTCTTCGTGTATTCACTCTCTCTGGTTCCCTTTCATCATAAAACCCTGCTGTTGCCCAAGTTTTGGCTACCACGTGGCTAAGCAGCTCAATGCTACATTTCCCAACCTCTCTCGTAGTTGGGTGTGGCCATGTAGCCACATTCGGAGCAGATGTGATGTGTTCTACTTTTAGATTATGCCCTAAAATTGAAGAGGTGTGGCCTCCTCTGTCTCTTCCACACTCTTTCCACAGGCTGAGATGCAAACGTGATGGCAGGTATTGGAGTAGCTATTTTGGGCCTCAAAGTGGAAGCCATGTTTTGGGTGTGGCAGAACAGTGAGTAAAAATAGCTGGAATCCTCAACACAATGGAGCTGCCATTTGAACCCAGGAGGACTTGGGGCTAAGTAAGAGAGGAGTAACTTTGTATCCTGTTTTGATTCTTCATAATAGCAACCCAAACCTGTATCTCAATCAACAAATAATCTCAGCTCCAACCACACTTCCTGTTTGCCCCATATTTTTCTTCAACTCTGGTCCTGAGACATAGCACTGAATAAGAATCTCCCTCCCCCATCTCACTTCCCAGAACCCTGTCCCACAGCCCCCTTGGCCTGGGGACCCACCTCATATCTGAAGACAATAAGATCCCTGAATATGAGCCCTGAGTGAGCTAGGGCAAATCCCTTAATATTTCCTTCCCTCCTTTCCTCCTTCCCTCCTTCCCTCCCTCCTTTCCTTCCTCTTTCTTTCCCTCCTTCTCTCTTTCTTTCTCTCTCTTTTTCTTTTTTTGAGATGGAGTTTTGCTCTTGTTGCCCAGGCTGGAGTGCAATGGCGTGATCTTGGCTCACCACAACTTCTGCCTCGAACTCGAACTACTGACCTCAGGTGATCCGCCTGCCTTGGCCTCCCAAAGTGCTGGGATTACAGGTGTGAGCCACTGTGCCGGGGCTCGCTCTTTTCTTTCTTTCTTTCTTTCTTTCTTTCTTTCTTTCTTTCCTTCTTTCTTTCTTTCTTTCCTTCCTTCCTTTCTTTCTTTCTTTCTTTCTTTCTTTCTTTCTTTCTTTCTTTCTTTCTTCTCTTTCTCTCTCTTTCTTCTTTTTCTCTCCTTTCTCTCTTTCTTTTCTTTCTTCCTTCCTTTCTTTTCCTTCCTTCCTTCTTTTTCTCTTTCTTTCTTTCTTTCTTTTTCAATACATGGTTTCACTCTATTGCTCAGGCTGCAGTGCAGTGGCACCATCATGGCTTACTGTAGCCTCCAACTGGGTTCAAGGGATCCTCCAACTTCAGCCTCTGAGCAACTAGGACTACAGGCATGAGCCACCATGCTTTGCTAATTTTTAAATTTTTGTAGAGACAGGGCCTTGGTATGTTGCCTAGGCTGGTCTCGAACTCCTGGCCTCAAGCGATCCTCCCTCCTTGGCCTCCCAAAGGCTGGAAGGCTGAGGTGGGCAGATCATTTGAGGCCAGGAGTTTGAGACCAGCCTGGCCAACATGATGAAACCCCATCTCTACTAAAAATACAAAAATTGGCCAGGCGTGGTGGCTGACGCCTGTAATCCCAGCACTTTGGGAGGCCAAGGTGGGTGGATCATGAGGTCAAGAGATTGAGACCATCCTGGCCAACATGGTGAAACTCTGTTTCTACTAAAAATACAAAAATTAGCCAGGCATGGTGGCAGGTGCCTGTAGTCCCAGCTACTCAGGAGGCTGAAGCAGGAGAATAGCTTGAACCCAGGAGGCGGAGGTTGCAGTGAGCTGCGATCATGCCACTGCACTCCAGCCTGAGCAACAGAGTGAGACTCTGTATCAAAAAAACAAAAAAACAAAAATTAGCCAGGCGTGGTGGTGCTCACCTGTAATCCCAGCTACTCAGGGGGCGTAGGCACGAGAATTGCTTGAACCCGGGAGGCAGAGGTTGCAGTGAGCCAAGATGGTGCCACTGCACTCTAACCTGAGCAACAGAGTGAGACTCTGTCTCAAAAAAAAAATTGTAGAGATGGGGTCTTACTATGATGCTCAGGCTGGTCTCAAACTCCTAGGCTCAAGTAATCCTCCCACTTCGGCCTCCTAAACTGCTGTGATTACAGGCATGAGCCACTGCTCCCAGACTTTAGTTTTTGTTTGTTTGTTTGTTTTGAGACAGAGTCTCCCTCTGTCACCCAGGCTGGAGTGCAATGGCACGATGTCGGCTCACTGCAACCTCTACCTCCTGGGTTCAAGCGATTCTACTGCCTCAGCCTCCTGAGCAGCTGGGATTACAGGCACCTGCCACCATGCTTGGCTAATTTTTGGTATTTTTAGTGGAGATGGGGTTTCACCATGTTGGTCAGGCTGGTCTTGAACTCCTGACTTTGTGATCCACCCACCTCGGCCTCCCAAAGTGCTGGGATTACAGGCGTGAGCCACTGCCCCCGGCCCTGGCTTTTAATATTTTAAATCTCAGTTTTCTCTGACTTTTAGATGGCACTCATAAGTAGCGTTCCCGTCTATGAACAGGACACAATCAACAAAAACAGGTGCTGGGGAGGGCCGTGTTTCATGGGCAGTATCGCAAAAAAGCAGAAGAAATTCCTTTCCACTACGTAGGAGCCCACAGAAATGTATGCACTAAAATATATGCAAGCAAAAGCAAACAAACCAAAAGCTGCATTCACAGCGTAGACCCTGCAAGAGCAGGAACACTCCCTGCCCCAGATACATACACCAAACACAAATACACATCAAAGATGCTCTCTCAGGCTCATGAATGTGCAGGCACAGGCAAGCACACACATGCCCGAACAAAAACACACAAAGAACAAGGATGAACACACACCCAAGCTGTGGCTGCCGTGCGTGTCTATTTATTGTTGCTGCCACCCTGGAGGAGCCCCAGTTTCTTCTGTAGCTTTCTTTTCTGGGGGATCTTCCTGGCTCTGCCCCTCCATTCCCAGCCTCTCACTCCCCATCTTGCACTTTTGCTAGGGTTGGAGGCGCTTTCCTGGTAGCCCCTCAGAGACTCAGTCAGCGGGAATAAGTCCTAGGGGTGGGGGGTGTGGCAAGCCGGCCTGGATCCTGTCCTGGGTCCTCCTTCCTCCGCAGTCCCGTCTCTATTGCTGGGTGTAGTGTCCATGGTCTGGCCTCATCTGGGGGGTGAGGAAAAGCAGGTGGTAAAAGGGACAGAGATCTGGGTTCTAATTCTGCCTCTCCCACTCACTTGATTTGTGACTCCAGGGAAGGACCCACCCTCTCTATCCTCAATTTCTGTCTCTGTAAGTCAAATTTCCCTTCAATTGGAAAGGTTCTGTGTTCCCACTTTGCTCTGGCCACTAGGAAACTCACAATCAAACATATGTCTCGTTTTATTCTGCATCAAGACAACAGTTGCCTGATCCCTCCTCCCCACCCAATCACACACCTTCCGGCCTGTCCTTCATGGCAGAAGCACCACCTTGAGCTCTCTGGGCCCCCCGACTCCTTACCTCCAGCTCTGTCTCAGCGCCGTGCCCCTCGCTTCTTCCTCTCTGAATTCTGCAGCTTGGTCACCAGTTTCCTCTCGTGCCCGCCAGGGCTGGGGCGGTTGGTGTTGGCAGCAGCTTCTCTCTTGGTGCGACCTTTCCGGCCTCCACCTCCTGTAACCAAGGCAGGAGTCAGAGGTGAAGTGGGCATAGGCATGATGAGAGGCCCTGTCAGAGGAGAGGCAGGGGTTCAGGGTTGTGGGGATGGGAAGAGCAGGGAGAAGCCTGCTGCTTCCCCTCTGTGGAATGTGGGACCCCAGATGTGTGTGAGGTCCCAGGCTGAGTAACATAGCACTCCTGGGATAAGGGATTAGACAGGGGTGACGTGAGGGTCCAAGGAACAGGTTGGCTAGAAAAGGGTGAGTGGGCTGGGCAGGGTGGCTCACTCCTGTAATCTCAGCACTTTGGGAGGCCAAGGCAGGAGAATTGCTTGAGCCCAGGAATTTGGGATCAGCCTGGGAAACATAGTGAGACCCCATCTCACCACTGCAGGTGGTGTACACCTGAAGTTCCAGCCACTCAGGAGGCTGAAGCAGGAGGATCACTTGAGCCCAGGAGTTCGAGGCTGCGGTGAGTTGTTTGAGTTGTTGTGATCACACTACTGCACTCCAGCCTGGGTGACAGAGTGACTCTCTCAAAAAAAAAGAAAGAAAGAAACGAAGAGGAAAGGAAAGGAAATGAGAGGAAACAAGAGGGGTGGGTCCTGATTTCGGGAGAGGAGGAAGGACCGTGGAGATGGCTGAGTGGGCCTTACCGAGGTAGGAATGGGCCAGGCTATAGAGGTCAGATTCATCCAGGCTGGAGTCCTCGTCCTCCGGGCCTGGGGGCTGCTGGGGGGCGCTGGTTGCTGGTGGGAAGGTGGCCATCGTGCCTGGCTTGTCTTCCCTGCCTCTCTTCTTCTCCTAACGCTTTGTCTGTCTCTGCTTTCCTGGCCCCGGGCCTCTCCACTCCCTCAGCTTATAAGGCTGTGTCTCCTCCTCAGACCACAGTCTGGCTCCAGCCCATCAGGCCCTGTCTGATGCAATCTGGCCCCTTCCCAAAATCCAGCCCAGTAAACACAGTCATGAGACGGGAAGAGTCGGTCCCTGAGTCCAGCCCAACTCACCTCCTCCCTCCCAGGCTCACCCAGCTGGATATTTTCCATAGAGGAGGTCCCGCTTCTCGGCAGAAAGCAGGGAAGAGGCAGGATCTGGGCTAAAACACTCGTTGGGATCATGGCCTCACCTGATCGAGGGCTTCACCTGGGCCTGGGATGACGGCCACACAGCTAACCCCGGCACCCCAATTCTCGCTGAGATGCAGGACGTGAGGAAGGAGGGGGAAGGGATATCAGCACACTTGTGCCAGGGACAAGTCAGTGGCTTCCACCCAGTCACACTCAACATCTTGCTTGTCTTCTTTTTTTTTTTTGAAATGGAGTCTCTGTCGCCCGGCTGGAGTGCAGTGGTGTGATCTTGGCTCACTGCAACCTGCAACCTCCTCCTCCCAGGTTCAAGCAATTCTCCTGGCTCAGCCTCCCGAATAGCTGGGATTATAGACATCTGCCACCATGCCTGGCTAATTTTTGTATTTTTAGTAGAGATGGGGTTTCACCATGTTGGACAGGCTGATCTTGAACTCCTGACCTCAAGTCATCTGCCTGCCTCGGCCTCCCAAAGTGCTGGGATTACAGGCATGAGCCACACCCTTTTTTTTCTTTTTTCTATGAGAAACATCTTGGAAAACCCCTTAATATCCTGAAACAGGGTCCCCAGTAATGTAATCTCCCTCACCTAGGAGGAGGGTGGCAGAGGGTTGGAGAGTTCAGGGTCTGGAGCCAGTTGCCCTCAGTTCAATCCCCTGACCCACCACTTTCCGTGTGACCTTGGGCGAGTCCCTTCACCTCTCTGTGCCTTGGTTTCCAATTCTGTAAAATAAGGATGATAATAATTGTATCTTCTTCCTAGAGTTGGGGAGAGGATCAAATGAGATAATGTTTGAAAGACACATGCTACAGTGCCCGGTGACAGAGGGAGACCCTGTCTCAAAAACAAATTATAATAAAATAATATGTATTTCAAAATATGGATGTACTGAGGCAGAAGACACAATGAGGCCGAGCGTGGTGGCTTATGCCTGTAGTCCCAGCACTTTGGGAGATCCACAAAGTGGGTGGATCACCTGAGGTCAGGAGTTCAAGACCAGCCTGGCCAACATGGCGAAATCCCATCTCTACTAAAAATACAAAAATTAGCCTGGTGTGGTGGCAAGTGCCTGTAATCCCAGCTACTCAGGAGGCTGAGGCAGGAGAATCGCTTGAACCTGGGAGGGAGAGGTTGTGGTGAGCTGAGATCGAGCCACTGCACTCCAGCCTCAGCAACAGAATGAGACTGTGTCTGAAAACAAAAACAAAAACACAAAAAGCTGAACTTCTGCTTGTGTTTCTCCCTTGCCTGAGCCGGAATTGAATTTAGCCTTTGTTTTCCCAGATTTGGATGATGTATGAGTTCCTTAACACCCAGGAAATGAAAGTGAAGACAGGATACTTGAATGAAAACAGGATTGGGCCAATAATAACAGACCAGGTGATCAGAGAAAGAGGAAAATAATCTTAAATTAAGCAAAGATTGGCCTAGTGCGGTAGCTCATGCCTGTAATTCCAGGGCTCTGGGAGGGTAAGCTGGGAGGATTGCTTGAAGCTGGGAGTTCAAGGCCAGCTTGGGCAATAGAGCAAGACTCCATCCTTTTTTTGTTGGTTTGTTTGTTTTTGTTTTGAGACAGAGTCTCACTCTGTCACCAGGCTGGAGTGCAGTGGTATGATCTCGGCTCACTGCAACCTCCGCCTCCTGGGTTCAAGTGATTCTCCTGCCTCAGCCTCCTGAGTAGCTGGGATTACAGGCTTGTGCCACCACGCCCGGCTAATTTTTATATTTTTAGTAGAGACGGGGTTTCACCACGTTGGCCAGGCTGGTCTCGAACTCCTGACCTCAGGTGATCTGCCCGCCTCGGCCTCCCAAAGTGCTGGGATTACAGGCGTGAGCCACCTGGCCAGTATCTTTTTTATTTGTTTGCTTTACCATTATTTGTCCCCACTGGCATGCAACCGTTGGTTTAGTTTAGTTAATGGTTAAAGGAGTAGGCTCTGGAACAGGGCTTCTCAGGTCTAAAGCTTGGTTCTGCCCCCTAGTTAGCTGTGTGCTCTTAGACAAGCTTAGTCTGCATGTTTGTTTACTCGTCTATACAGTGGGATTAATGGCACCTAGGCTGGATAAGGTGAGGCACACCTGCAATCCCACTGTTTTGAAAGGCTGAGGTGGAAGGATCACTTGAGGTCAGGAGTTTGAGGCTGCGGTGAGCTATGATCGTGCCACTGCACTCGAAAAAGAAAAAGAAAAGAAGGTTGGGGCCGGGCACGGTAGCTCACACCTGTAATCCCAGCACTTTGGGAGGCCGAGGTGGGTGGATCACGAGATCAGGAGTTCGAGACCAGCCTAGCTAAAATGGTGAAACCCCGTCTCTACTAAAAATACAAAAATTACCTAGGCGTGGTGGTGTGTGCCTGTAATCCCAGCTACTCAGCAGGCTGAGGCAGTAGAATCGCTTGAACCCAGGAGGCAGAGGTTGCGGTGAGCTAAGATCGCGCCACTGCACTCCAGCCTGGACGACAGAGTGAGACCCGGTCTCAAAAAAAAAAAAAAATGCTTAGCGCAGTGCCTAGAAGATAATCAGTGTGCAATAAATGCTTGCTATTTTAATTATCATTATTCTCGGGGCAGGAATCTTGCCTGCCATATTGTATCCTCAATGCCTGGCACTCAGTCTGAGCTCAGTAAATGTCTAGTTGAATACATGAGGCTCTGCTAAGATCAGTGTTGCTTGCTCAGCTTCCACCTGCTCTGCAATGCAGGAACTGAGAGGCGAATTGTAGCCTCACAGGGGACCACAGAAACACTGTGATTGTCCCAGATGGAGCCAGGGAAGGAGGTCTCCCTGGCCTTGATCTTACAGGTGCTGGAAGAAAGAAGCCTATGAGAGAAGGAGGAAGGGCATGGTGGCTCACGCCTGTAATCCCAGCACTTTGGGAGGCCGACGAGGTTGGGTGGGTCACCTGAGGTCAGGAGTTGGAGACCAGCCTGGCCAACATGGTGAAACCCCGTCTCTACTAAAAATACAAAAATTAGCCGGGTGTGGTGGCGGGCACCTGTAGTCCCAGCTGCTGGGGAGGCTGAGGCTGGAGAATGGCATGAACCCGGAAGGCGGAGCTTGCAGTGAGCCCAGATCGCGCCACTGCACTCCAGCCTGGGCGACAGAGCGAGACTCCATCTCAAAAAACAAAACAAAACAAAAAAAAGGGCCAGGCGCGGTAGTTCACGCCTGTAATCCCAGCACTTTGGGAGGCCGAGGCGGGTGGATCACCAGGTCAGGAGTTCAAGACCAGCTTGGCCAACATGGTGAAACTCCGTCTTTACTAAAAATACAAAAATTAGCTGGGCGTGGAGGCATGCACCTGTAATTCAAGATACTCGGGAGGCTGAGGCGGAAGAATCTCTTGAACCCAGGAGGCAGAGGTTGCAGTGAGCCGAGATCACGCCATTGTACTCCAGCCTGCTGGAACCCCTCTAGCATGGATCTGCAGGGCTCTAGACGTGGCTCCATCTAGACGTAGAGGTGTGCTTTTTGTTACAGGAACAGCAGATTTGTATGCCTGCTGCCCTGTCACAGCCCTATTACACTGGACAGCAGGGATGCAGTAGAGAGAGTTTCATGATCACAGGGCACTGTGCAAGGGGATAGGAGGAGACCTGCGAATGCATCTCCCCAGGGAATTCTGGGATGGGGCTTTTAAGGGGATTATGGAGGGTGAGAGGCTAGAAAATTGGGGTCATTGGTCAGAGCAAGGGAAATGAAATCATCATGATGTGAAAAAGACATTTTTGGGGAGTTAGCTCCTGGTGGGGTCCTTCAGGCTGGCGGAGTCAGTCGCTTCACCGGCACGCAGGACCTGAAGGAATTTCTCAAAAGTAACATTTAATGTTTCATAACGTTCAAGTTGCTATCTCTAGTGCAGTTAAGGGGAACTATGATCTTGTAACCAGGTCTACGTGATTCTAGAACAGCAGGCACCAGACAACTAAGAGGAAGCAGATCAGGGGGCAGCTGACCTCATGATCAGCGCTGGGTGTGCTGCAAGCCTGGCTTGTTTCCATTTCTCCTCTCTGTTCTCTGATTAATTGCATGAGGTTTACAGGGATGGTTTCATTTTCCCATCCTCAAGCCTCCAGGTGCATGTAAAATCTGCCACGAGGAAGTTTATTTTCTTCCTGCTTAGAGTTACACCTTCGTGACGTTGCTAGGCACACCTATGACAACCCAGCGCCATCAGCTTGGAGTAAACGCAGAGGGCTGGGAGCTCCCAGGAGGGCACCTAACCTCTCTGGAGATAGGGAGATGAAGGCACACTTCCTGGAGGAGGTGAAGCTTGTTTTCTAATTCTTTTATTTTTAATTAATTAATTAATTTAATTTTAATTTTCTTTTCTTTTTTCTTTTTTTCTCTTTTTTTTGAGACAGAGTCTTGCTCTGTCACCCAGGCTGGAGTGCAGTGGCACGATCTCGGCTCACTGCAACCTCCGTGTCCCGGGTTCAAGCGATTCTCCTGTCTCAGTCTCCTGAGTAGCTGGAATCACAGGCATGCACCACTACACCCAGCTAATTTTTGTATTTTTAGTAGAGACAGGGTTTCATCATGTTGGCCAGACTGATTTCAAACTCCTGACCTCAAGTCATCCACCCGCCTCGGCTTCCAAAGTGCTAGGATTACAGGCATGAGCCATCGCACCCGGCCTATTTATTTATTTTTGAGACAGGTTCTCACTCTGTCGTCCAGGCTGAATACAGTGGAGCAACCTTGCTCACTGTAGCCTCGACCTCTAGGGCTCAGGGGATCCTCCCACCTCAGCCTCCCAAGTAGTTGGGACTTTAGGCACGCACCATCATGCCCAGCTAATTTTATTTTTTGTAGAGATGAGGTCTCCCTATGTTGCCGAGACTGGTCTTGAACTCCTTGGCTAAAGTGGTCCTCTTACCTCGGCCTCCCAAATAGCTGGAATTACAGGCGTGAGTCACCACGCCAGGCCTGGAGGCAAAGTTTGAACAAGAATGGCTGTTTGTGGGCCAGATGCAAAGGCTGACACCTGTAATCCCAGCACTTTGGGAGGCCGAGGCAGGAGGACTGCTTGAGCCCAGGAACTCAAGACCAGCCTGGGCAACATAGCGAGATCTCATCTTTACAAAAAAAATCCAAAAGTTAGCCAGGCGTGGTGGTGCATGCCTGTAGCTCCAAGTACTCAGGAGGCTGAGGCAGGTGGATGACTTGAGCCCAGGAGGTTGAGGCTACAGTGAGCCATGATCGCACCACTGCACTCCAGCCTAGGCAACACAGCAAGACTTCCTCTCTGTTGGATAGCCTGAGGGATGTACGAAGTCACTAGCTCAAAGGAACAGAAGCTTCCCAGGCTGAAGGCAGAATACGTAATTAAGGTGGATTGGACATCGCTGTGTTCCAAGAGGACACAAGAAATCTAAATGAGGTTAAACAAAATATATCCATATGATCTCACAACCCCATCCCAGATAAAAATGTCAAATCTGGCAGCTGCATTTGCAAGTTTTCTTGGCTGTGTGATATCATCGTTTTAAATATCAGTGGATGCTGTCTTTTTTTTTTTTTCTTTGAGATGGAGTTTTGCTCTTGTTGCCCAGGCTGGAGTGCAGTGGCGCAATCTCGGCTAGCTGCAACCTCCGCTTCCCGGGTTCAAGCGATTCTCCTGCCTCAGTCTCCCTAGTAGCTGGGATTACAGGCAGATGCCATGATGCCCAGCTAATTTTTGTATTTTTAGTAGAGACGGGGTTTCACCATGTTGGTCAGGCTGGTTTCGAACTCCTAACCTCAGGTGATCCGCCTGCCTCAGCCTTCCAAAGTGTTGGGATTACAGGCATGAGCCACTGCGCCCAGCCAGATGCTGTCTTTAATGGGTGGTTTGGCAACATTGATAAGATTTTGAAATGCTTATATCCCCCTGATATTGCAGTCCCACTTTCAGGAGTCTCTCCTACAGAAATCTTCCCAGAGGTGAGTAAAGAGGCAGGTACAAGGAAGTTCATTTGTTTGTAGTAGTGAAAAACAGGAAACCCAGCCTGGGCAACATAGCGAGACCCCATATCTTAAAAAAAAAAAAAAAAAAAGACTGGCATGGTGGTGTGTACTTGTAGTCCCAGCTACTCAGGAGGATGAGGCAGGAGGATGGCTTGAGCCATGATGGTGCCTCTGCACTCCAGCCTGGGCGACAGAGCAACACCCTGTCTCTAAAAAAAGCAAAAACCAAAAATCGGAAACAACCTAAATGTCCATCAGTAGGTGACTGATCAGTTTCCTTCTGTGAAACACTGTAGCCATTCAATACTCTTTAGAGAGAGAATGTATCTCTATCTCTGATGAGAAAGATGTCCATAATACATTCCTAATGAAAAACACAGGTTGCAGAACATCATGTACACTACAAATTATATTTTTGCATTAAATGTATAGATAACTATGAGTAATACACAGTTTTCACCATAATAGAGGTGTGACATTTTCTCCTGACAACTAAAATAGACAGCCACATAAAACACAGTAGTAGAAAAACCTAGAATAAGGCTGGACGCGGTGGCTTATGCCTGTAATGCCAGCACTTTGGGAGGCCAAGGCATGTGGATCACCTGAGGTCAGGGGTTTGAGATCAGCTTGACCAACATGGTGAAACCCCGTCTCTACTAAAAATACAAAATTAGCCGGGCTTGGTGGCACATGGCTGTAATCCCAGCTACTTGGGAGGCTGAGGCAGGAAAATTGCTTGAGCCCAGGAGGTGGAGGTTGCAGTGAGCTGAAATTGCGCCATTGCACTCCAGCCTGGGCAACAAGAGCGAAACTCTGTGTCACACACACACACACACAAAAAAAAAAAAAAAAAAAAAAAAAAAAGGAAGGAAAGAAAGAAAGAAGAAAAGAAAGAAGCAAAAAATCTAAAATAATAAATTTTATTACTGATGTCTTCTGGGAGATCAGCAAACCCGACCCCATTTAACAGAAGAGGAAAGTAAAGACCAGAGAGGCATGCATTCTCCAGTCTGCAAATGTTTAGGGTACTAACCATGTGCCAGGCACTTGCTTGGTGCTGGGACTATAAAAGTAAACATGGGGCCGGGCGTGGTGGCTCATGCCTGTAATCCCAGCACTTTGAGAGGCCGAGGCGGGTGGATCACCTGAAGTCAGGAGTTCGAGACCAGTCTGGCCAACATGGTGAAACCCAGTCTCTACTAAAAATACAAAAAATTAGCCAGCGTGGTAGTGGGCACCTGTAGTCCCAGTTACTCTGGAGGCTGAGGCAGAAGAATCGCTTGAACCCGGGAGGCGGAGGTTGCGGTGAGCCGAGATGGCGCCATCACACTCCAGCCTGGGCAACAAAAGCAAAACTCCATTTCCAAAAAAAAAAAGTAAACTTGGGCCAGGCGCAGTGGCTCTTGCCTGTGATCCCAGCAAGATAAGTATGTGATCACATACATTGGCAAGTATGGGATGATTCAGTACATATATCAATACTCTTGCATAGAAAAAAAGGAAATGGCTGGACCTGGTGCTGTAATCCCAGCACTTTGGGAGGCCAAGGCAGGCGGATGGCTTGACCCCAGGAGTTTGAGACCAGCCTGAGCAACATGGCGAAATTCCCATCTCTACAGAAAATACAAAAGTTAGCCAGGTGTGGTGGCTCGTGCCTGTGGTCCCAGCTACTCAGGTGGCTGACGCCAGAGGATCACCTGAGCCTGGGGAGGTCATGGCTGCAGTGAGCGGTGATTGCGCCCCTGCACTCCAGCCTGAGCAACAGAGTGAGACCCTGGCTCAAAACAAATTTTTTTTACAAAAACAAAGAAAGAAAGAAAGAAAGAAAAACGGAATATACATGGCTTGTGCTTACCAGGTGTAGACATAAAGATTTTTCCAAACCCTCTTGCTTAAAATGTATCTTTAAAGAAACGATTACTTTATAGTATAGATTTTCCTTCAAGTTAAAATTTTTATAGCAATTGGGTCATGCCATAAAGCTCTTAAATATCTGGAAATAATTTTAAGGGAGCATTTTGGGACAGGGCAGTGGGAGCAGTCCCCTACCCTGATCCAGGCTGTCTATAAAGAACTTAATAATTAAACTGATCCAAATCATTCTGCCTTTTATTATCACTATCAATTCTCAACAATGTCAGTAATAAAATATGCCTCCCTGCCACTGCGAACTGCTCCTAGGGAGTCCTCCTTACCTCTTAGCACTGTTAAAAAAAAACGAGGCCAGGCGTGGTGGCTCACGCTGTAATCCCAGCAATTTGGGAGGCTGAGGAGGGCACATTGGTTGAGCCCAGGAGTTTGAGACCAGCCTGGGCCACATGGCGAGACCTCGTCTATACAAAAAAATACAAAAATTAAGACCGGGAGCGGTGGCTCATGCCTGTAATCCCCACACTTTGGGAGGCTTAGGCAGGCAGATCACTTGAGGTCAGGAGTTCCAGACCAGCCTGGGCAACATGGTGAAACCCCTGTCTCTACTAAAAATACAAAAACTAGCCCAGCATGGTGGCACCTGTAATCCCAGCTACTCAAGAGGCTGAGGAAGGAGAATCACTTGAACCCCAGGAGGTGGAGGTTGCAGTGAGCCGAGATCGTGCCATTGCACTGCAGCCTGGGCGACAGAGCAAGGAGCTGTCTGAAAAAAAAAAAAAGAAGAAAAAAAAAACCCACCACACACAAAAAGCAAAAATTAGCTGTGTGTGGTGGTGTGTACCCATAGTCCCAGTTACTTGGGAGGCTGAGGAGGGAGGATCGCTTGAGCCGGGGAGGCAGAGGTTGCAGCGAGCCAAGATTGTGCTACTGCACTCCAGCCTGGGTGACAAAGCAAGACCCTGTCAAAACAAAACAAAACAAAACAAAAAAACCACACAAAAACCCCTGAGGTATCCATATTAGCCATTGATTCAGCCCATTCAATTTCTTTTATAGACAGTTTGATTAGTCAAGATCATACTTACAAAAAAACCCATAAAAATGTCTACCGTCCTAAACTTATCATATTTAAGCTCCAGTGAAAATTCTCAAATATCAAATCTGTTTCCAGCTGGGGTCACTGATATCTGATGTCCAATGCCGTCACTTCTGGGTTTTCACGTTCACCAGGGCTGGTCCTGGTCGTCTCCTCCACTGGGCTGTCTGGCCCATGCCCCACGGGGTCAACATGGAGGGGTCTTTAACACCCAGGTGTATGTCAAAAAAACAAGGGAGGGCAACATCGTGCTGTAATTTTTGGTTGGGATAACAATTCAGGTTTCATCTGCTCTGGCTGACTTTCTGCCTGAGCGCCCCTGCATGGAGGCACGCTCATCCAGCCGCCTGGTGGGTACCGGACTTCAAAGGTGGAGTTCTGCTGAAGGTCAAGAGGATCCCAGGGCTCAGTCAGGGGGACCTTGGAGCTCAGCTTGGCGGTTTGTCCAGCCTGCAGCATCAGTCCATCCTCTTAGGGAAGATGTATTCAAACAGTCTCTTGCAGGTCAAGTGCGTCTTCCTGGTGTCCTGATGGGTGGGGTGGTGGGTGGAGACCTGGGACGGCTTTGCTGCGGAGTGTAACGGGTGTAGACGGAGTGCCCTGAAAACAATGCGTTGTCCCACCCCACCCACCCCTGGGCCACAGACACCGTCCCCTACCCTCCCACCTCGGGCCAAGGGGCCGTGCCCCCCTACCCCATGCCCCAACCCATGTAGAATGAAGCGAGCCCAGACATCATTGTCGCCCTCCGCAACGGTGCATCTGTGCTCCCATTTTTGCAAGAAAAATTATTTTCTTTTTCTTTTTCTTTTTTTTTTGAGACGGAGTCTCACTCTGTCCCCCAGGCTGGAGTGCAGCGGCATGATCTTGGCTCACCGCCTCCACCTCCTGGGTTCAAGCGATTCTCCTGCCTCAGCCTCCCAAGTACTGAGCAGCTGAGATTACAGGTGCGGGCCACCACGCCTGGCTATTTTTTTTTGTATTTTTAGTAGAGACGAGTTTCACTATGTTGGCCAGGCTGGTCTCAAACTCCCGACCTCAGGTGATCCCCCCACCTCGGCCTCCCAAAGTGCTGGGATTACAGGCGTGAGCCACCGCACCTGGCCAGAAAAATTATTTTCATTATTGAAAATAAAAGTAGGGGGGGCAATGAGATGTAAACCAAACTCTCCAAAGTGGTTATATCCTAGACTGGGGTTCTGGATAATTTTTACTTTCTCCTTTATGGACTCCAGATCTCTGTAGTGTTGGACTTTTGCACAATGTATATCAGAAAAAAAGGCAACATTTAAGAGTTAATGTATTTCATCTTTTTCCTTTTGGATTGCAGGCACACTATGCCACCTTCTGGTCATGATATGGCTACGTGTGCCTGCAGCGGGGACAAAAACCATTAAATTGTGAATAGTTACAATTTCCTCTTTGCCATGGGAGGTCAGATCCTGAGAGAGCTGTGTGTGTGCGCGCGTGTGTGTGTGTGTTCTGAGAAATGGTCTCACTCTGTTGTCCAGGTTGGAGCGCAGTGCAGCGGCGTATTCACAGCTCACTGCAGCCTCAACCTCCTGGGCTCAAGTGATCCTCATGCCCCACCTCCCTGTCCCCCACCATACCCGGCTGATTTTTTTTTTCTTTGAGACAGAGTCTTGCTCTGTCACCCAGGCTGGAGTGCAGTGGCACAATCTCAGCTCACTGCAACCTCTGCCTCTCGGGTTCAAGCGATGCTCCTGCCTCAGCCTCCCTAGTAGCTGGGACTACTCGGCTAATTTTTTTTATTTTTATTTTTTATGAGGCTGGAGTGCAGTGGCACCATCTCAGCTCACTGCAACCTCCGCCTCTTGGATTCAAGCGATTCTCCTGCCTCAGCCTCACCAAGTAGCTGGGATTACAGGCATGCGCCACCACGCCCAGCTAATTTTTGTATTTTTAGTAGAGACAGGGTTTCACCATGTTGGCCAGGCTGATCTCAAACTCCTGACCTCAGGGGATCCACCCGCCTTGGCCTCCCGAAGTGTTGGGATTACAGGTGTGAGCCACTCCGCCTGGCCTGATTTTTACTTTTTTTTGAGACAGAGTCTCACTCTGTCACCCAGGCTGGAGTGCAGTGGCACGATCTCGGCTCACTGCAAGCTCCACCTCCCGGGTTCATGCCATTCTCCTGTCTCAGCCTCCCGAGTAGCTGGGACTACAGGCACCTGCCACCACGCCTAGCTAATTTTTTGTATTTTTAGTAGAGACGGGGTTTCACCGTGTTAGCCAGGATGGTCTCGATCTCCTGACCTCGTGATCCGCCCGCCTTGGCCTCCCAAAGTGCTGGGATTACAGGTGTGAGCCACCCCGCCTGGACTGATTTTTAAATTTTTTTTTTTTTTTTTGAGACAGAGTCTCGCTCTGTCACCCAGGCTGGAGTGCAGTGGCACGATCTCGGCTCACTGCAAGCTCCACCTCCTGGGTTCATGCCATTCTCCTGTCTCAGCCTCCCAAGTAGCTGGGACTACAGGCGCCCGCCACCACGCCTGGCTAACTTTTTGTATTTTTAGTACAGACAGGGTTTCACCGTGTTAGCCAGGATGGTCTTGATCTCCTGACCTTGTGATCCACCCACCTCGGCCTCCCAAAGTGCTGGGATTACAGGTGTGAGCCACCGCGCCCGGCTAATTTTTAAATTTTTTGTAGAGATGAGATCTCACTCTGTTACCCAGGCTGGTCTTGAATTCCTGGGCTCAAGCGGTCCTCCTGCCTCAATTTCAGTAGTAGCTGGGACTACAGGTGCATGCCACCACGCCTGGCTAATTAAAAAGATTTTTTTTGTAGAGACAGGATCTTGCTATGTTTTCCAGGCTAGAGTGCAGTGGCACAATCATAGCTCACTGTTGCCTTGAACTCTTGGCCTCAAGTGATCCTCTAGCCTCAGCCTCCCAAAGCAGTGGGATTGTAGGCATGTGCCACTCTGGCCCGAATAGATGAGGGGAGATCATTTAAGATGGCATTGCTCAGTCTCACTAGTGGGCATACATCTCAGAGAAATCTTCATATAGACCGCAGGGGAATAAGCATGAGGTTGTTCACTGTGGCATTGTTTGTGGTAGCCAGTAGTAGTTGGAGGCAACTTACAGGTCCATCATAACTGAAATGTTGCTGCCCACTTCGAAATATTGCATGGTTGCTGTAAGTCATAGGTAAAGTGTGCCCACAATGACAGGTGTTGAAAGCAGAGGGCTGAGGCCTGGCGCGCTGGCTCACGCCTGTAATCCCAGGAAATTTGGGAGGCTGAGGTTAGTGGATCACCTGAGGTCAGGAGTTTGAGACCAGCCTGGCCAACATGGTGAAACCCCATCTCTACTAAAAATATAAAAAATTAGCTGGGCGTCGTGGCGCGCGTCTGCACTCCAGCCTGAGTGACAGAGTGAGACTCTGTCTCAAAAAAATTTTTAAAATAACAAATAAATAGAGAGGCCGTGCAGAGCCCAATGACGAAGTGTGTCATTAAGTAGAAATAAGTAACTCAACCTTAGCACCAGCGATTAAAAAACAGAGAACCTTTGCAGTTGTTTAGGGAAGATGTCCCTACTTTGGCCTAGGGTGGATGTGGTGGAGGTGAAAAGTAGGTGGATTGTGTTATATGAATGAATATGTGTAAAGGATTTTGAACAGTGCCCGGTGCATAGCAAGTGCCTAACAAATGTGTTTTTATATTGCAGACACGTGGTGGATTGAATGAGGGAGGGGAGGGAAAGGGTGATGTCAGGGATAACCCCCAGGTGCTGGCTCAGGACATTGTACTAAGTAGGAGGTGGGACATGAAAACTGAGTATAGATGATTCTTTTGAGAAATGTGGATGTGGAGAAGACAGAGCAATTCCTTACATGTGGACAACACTCTAAAACACTTTTTAAAAAGTTAATAAATACATGTTTATTGTAGAAAAATCAGAAATTAACGATAAAATTTTAAAACAGGGCAGAGACCAAAATAATTTAAAAAACAACTGTAAGCTCTACATCTCTCCTGATCAGTGACTAGGGTTGATTTTTTAAATTTATTTTATTTATTTATTTTTTGAGACAGAGTCTTGCTCTGTTGCCCAGACTGGAGTGCAGTGGCGCAATCTTGGCTCACTGCAACCTCCGCCTCCTGGGTTCAAGTGGTTCTTTCCTGCTTCAGCCTCCAGAGTAGCTGGGACTACAGGTGCGTGCCACCATGCCCAGCTAATTTTTGTATTTTTAGTAGAGACATGGTTTCATCATATTGGCTAGGCTGGTCTCAAACTCCTGACCTCGTGATCTGCCCACCTCGGCCTCCCAAAGTGCTGGGATTACAGGCGTGAGTCACCACGCCTGGCCTAGCTAGGGCTGATATTTAACAATCAGGAAAAAGAGCCCCTGAGACCTTTACAAATGCAAAATTTGCAAAATCCCTCAAAGCATAACCTTCATAAAAGGCAGTAAGTAGAACTGCAGCTGGGTGGATGGGCATGTCATTCACTGACCTGACGCCCACAGAAAGAACTGCAAGTGTGATGGAAGAAAATGATGCATTAATTTTGGGGTTAACATAGTTTCAGTGCTAACGCCTGAGATTCTCTAATAAACAGAAAAATACTGACGGGGCTGAGGTTGGTGGCTCATGCCTGTAATCCCAGCACTTTGGGAGGCTGAGGCAGGAGGATCGCTTGAGCCCAGGAACTCAAGACCAGCCTATGCAACATAGCAAGACCCCCATCTCTACCAAAAAAAATTTAAAAATCAGCAGAATGTGCTGGTGTGTGCTTGTAGTCCTAGCTACTCAGGAGCCCTGATGGCACCACTGCACTCCAACCTGGACAACAGAGCGAGACCCTGTCTCAAAGAGAAAAAAAAAGAAACATGTGATGGCCAGGCACTGTGCTAGGTACTAGGAATACACAGGTGAACACAAGATGATCCCAATCTCATAGGACTTGCAAGTTTATCAAATAATCAACAAATAATTACAGACATTTGTAGGTTATGTAAGAAACTTTAAGATACCAGGATGGCTTTCGATAAAATACCATTGAGGCTACATGTCCATTGCACGTCCATATCCTTAGTACTTTCCTGAGAAGATTCCCTAGAAGTGCGATTTCTGGGTCTAAAGATCTGCTTGTTTTTTGTTTGTTTGTTTTTTTGAGATGGAGTTTCCCTCTTGTCACCCAGGCTGGAGTGCAATGGTACAATCTCCAGTCACTACAACCTCCGCCTCCTGAATTCAAGCGATTCTCCAGCCTCAGCCTCCCCAGTACCTGGGATTACAGGCACCCGCCACCACGCCCGGCTGATTTTTGTATTTTTTAGTAGAGACGGGGTTTCACCATGTTGGCCGGGTTGGTTTCAAACTCCTGAACTCAGGTGATCCGCCCGCCTTAGCGTCCCAGTGTTGGGATTACAGGCGTGAGCCACCGCGCCCGGCCTGTTTTTAATTAATTTTTTAACAACAGACTTTTATTTTTTAGGGCATTTTTAGGTTCACAACAAAATTGAGCAGAAAGTACAGTTTTCATATTACCCCTGCGCCCACCCACCTCCAGCAAGCAGCAATCTGTTCGCTTTCAAGTTTTATTTATTTATTTATTTATTGCATTTTGTTTTAAATAGAGTCTGGGGAAATGGGAGAAAACGCTGAAAACGCACAAGCACTTTGGTTGGTTAAATTAGGGTTCCGCCAAGAGCCGGAGCGGTGTGCCAAGTGAAAACTACATTTCCCACGGGGCAGCGGGTCACGTCACAGAGGAACGACTACGCATGCGTGCAAGGTCCTCCGCGCGCGACTACGCTCATAAAAGGAAAAAAAAGCGTGTGCGGTTCTCGACGTGCCGCCAATCTTCGAACGCAGGTCTGTGATCATCCGCAGACTCCGAAAAAGGGTTCGAGGAACGCGCCTGCTCCCCTCGTCGCAGTTTCCAGCCCGACGAGCTTGTTTTGTCCCGGACTCGGTAGGTGGCGACGGGCCGTGGCCTGAGACCTCCGGCGAAACGCGGGAGCGAAGGGCTGAGTCCTCCCTCCGCGCCGCGGCTCCCGACCTCCCTGAGGCGGCGCTCTAGGGGCGGTGCGCACGCGCTCTGGGCGGGAGGGGGGCGGGGCTCGTGGGGGTGGGGGCGGGAGAGGAGGGCGGGGCCGGGGCTCGGGGAGGGCGGGCCCTGCGCCCGGCCGCTCGAGGTCTGCGCTTGCGTGCTTCCATCCCCGGCGAGGGTGGGAAACAGCGACACGCTGGGCTCGGCACGGACGCAGCTTCCAGGTGGGGTACTCGGACCCGGGTCACGAAGATGCGGACAGAGGATGGGCCCCGAACTCCAGCACTTATTTTATGATTTGCACAAAAATTTTGTATATATATATAGTTCTTAACAAGATACACTAACAGCTCGTCGTTTGCCCAGGAGGCTCAACCTCCCGCCTCGGCCTCCCAAAGTGTGGGGAGTATAGGCGTGAGCCCCCGCGCCCGGCCAAAAAATGCCCGTCTTAAGAACAACAAAACAGCCTCCTTCACCCTCGCTATCCTCCAGTTACCTCCTCCTCGGCTCCGGTTTGCAGCCAAAGGCCTTAGTCTACCCTCACTAATGCCTTTTCTCCTCCAAGTCTTGAACCCTTGAGCCTCTAGTCAGGCTTTGGTCTCCACCACTCCACTAAAAAGGCTTCTTGTCAAAGCCACCAGTGATCTCTAGGTGGCCAAATGCATTGTTAAGTTAGGTCTCAGTCCTGTTCAGCATTTGATGCTGTGGATCACTGCCCCTCCTTGAAACACTGTTTTCATTTGGCTTGCTGAACGTTCTCTTCCTTTGCCTCTGCTCTCTCTGGCTTCTCCTCTGCTGATTCTAACCTAGGCATCATCTCACATTTTTGTTTTTATTAGAGACACGTTCTCTGTTGCTCAGACTGGAGAACAGTGGTGTTATTACAGCTCACTGCAGCCTCAAACTCTTGGGCTTAAGCAGTCCTCCTAACCAAAGCCTCCCCAAATGCTGGAATTACAGGCATGAGCCACCGCAATCCCAGTTTCACATTTTAAATGTAAATACTGGCCAGGCGCGGTGGCTCATGCGTGTAATCCTAGCACTTTGGGAGGCCGAGGTGGGCAGACTGCCTGAGCTCAGGGGTTTGAGACCAGCCCGAGCAACGTGGTGAAATCCAGTCTCTTCTAAAAAAAAAAAAAAAAATTAAAAAATTAGCCGGGCGTGGTGGTGCACGCCTGTAATCCCAGCTACTTGGGAGGCTGAGGCACAATAATCACTTAAACCCAGGAGGTGGATGCTGCAGTGAGCCAAGATCGTGCCACTGCACTCTAGCCTGGGTGACAGAGCAAGACCCTGTCTCAAAAAAGAGTTCTAGAGGTGGAAGAAAATCCACATATAAGTGGACCTGCACAATTAAAACCTGCATTGTTTGAGGGTCAACTGTATAGCTATTTTAAAAGAGATTTATTGTGATGGATTGGGTGACACTATTATAGAGGCTGAGAAGTCCCGAGATTTGCCATCTGCAAGCTGGAAGCCCAGGAAAGCAAACCCTCAGGAAACTCACAGACACACTCTAAAGTGTTTCACCAGCTATCTGGGAATCCCCTAGCCCAATCAGTTTGACACATAAAGTTAACCATCACATTTCCCTAGCTTTGTTTTTCAGTTGCCTCAATCATCATTTTACTGGTGATACTTTGAGTGTTGTCATAATAGCCTAATGGTGGGTTGGCAGCTTCCACTTTTGTGATCTCTTTTACTATTGAATATGCTGAAGTCGTGACACAACTTGGAATTCAGAGGAAGAGCATAGGTTTTAGAACTTGCAGCCTTGCAGCCCCAGCTCAACTACCTATTTTTCCTGAGTTACCTAGCATAACCTATCTGAATTTCAGTTTCTTCACTATACTTACTATTCTGTTATCTATTTTATAGGATTGCTGTAAGGTTTAAATGAGAAACACTGGCATAAGTTGCAATACAGAGGCATGAAGGAAAAAAATTGTCTTCTTAATGTCTCTTTAACCAATTGATGAATATAGATTCTATTTATTTATTTATTTATTTTTGAGATGGAGTCTCGCTCTGTCACCCAGGCCGGAGTATAGTGGTGCAATGTCAACTCACTGCAACCTCTGCCTCCCGGGTTCAAGTGATTCTCCTGCCTCAGCCTCCTGAGTAGCTGGGATTACAAGCATGCACCACCATGCCTGGCTAATTTTTTGTTTGTTTGTTTGTTTGTTTTGAGACGGAGTTTCACTCTTTGTTGCCCAGGCTGGATTGCAATGGCGCAATCATGGCTCACTGCAACCTCCGCCTTCCGGTTTCAAGCGATTCTCCTGCCTCAGCCTTCCAAGTAGCTGTGATTACAGGCATGTGCCACCACACCCGATTAATTTTGTATTTTTAGTAGAGACAGGGTTTCACCATGTTGGCCAGGCTGGTCTTGAACTCCTGATCTTAGTTGATCTGCCGGCCTTGGCCTCCCAAAGTGCTGGGATTACAGGTGTGAGCCATTGCGCCCAACCTACTTATGTTTTTTTTAGAAACAAGGTCTTACTCTGTCACCCAGGCTGGAGCCTAGTGGTGCCATTATAGCTCATTATTCCCAAATTCCTGGGCTCAAGTGATCCTCCTGCCATAGCCTCCTGAGTAGCTAGGACTACACATGTGCACCACCCTGCCCAGCTAATTATTTTATTTTGTTTTTGTAGAGACAGGGCCTCCGTGTGTTGCCCAGGATGGTCCTGAACTCCTGACTTCAAGTGATCCTCCCATTTCGGCCTCCCAAAATGCTGGGATTACGGTCATGAGCCACTGCACCCAGTTTGCAGATTCTCATTGCTAGTGACTGGGTTGAGAGTGTGGGATGTGAGTGTGGGGTATTAGGTTCCTCTTTCCCTTTGACCCAGAACAAAGCTCTTACTGTTTTAAGCCCTGTGGGATTAATCTTAGAGTGGCTTAAGTGTAGGATATTTGGATTTGTTTATTTGAGGCCTTTTATGCTATTATAGTAAAAGGGCCAGCAATTTTAGGCTGGGTATTAGTGGTTAACATATGCTTCTACCCTGCAGCCTTTGTCCCTCAGAATTGGCTATCTCTTCAGACCGTGCTTAATGAAAGTTCTTATTAGTCAAGCTACTCAGTTGCAGATAACAAAAAGCTACTCTGACTAGCCTAAGCTGAAAGGGGTGTTTGTTGACTCTGTGATATTGTAAAATATATATCTGGTTTGTATCCCAGTTTGGAGCTTCCTGGAGGGTGGCGTGCCCAGGGTGGGTATGGAAGCTCTTCGCTCCTTCCCACATGCTTTGCCCTGTGCACCTCTTCCTTCATCTGTATCCATTGTGACATCCTTTATAATAAGCCAGTAAACCTAAGTGTTTCCCTGAGTGCTGAGAGCTGCTCCTGCAAATTAATGGAACCCAAGGAGGGAGTCATGGAAACCCTGATTTATAGTCAGTTGGTCAGAAGCACAAATAAAGCAACTGGGGGCTTGTGACTGGCATTGAGAATTGGGGGGACATGCTCGTGGGACTGAGCCCTCAACCTGTGGGGTTTGACACTCTGTCTGGGTGGATAGTGTTGGAAATAAACTGAATTAGAGGACATCCAGCGTGTATCCACTGCAGACTCAATGGATTGATTGGTGTTGGGGAGAAATCTCCACACATTTGGCCACGGAAATCTTATGTGTTGATTATCCTATATTGTGACAGCAGAGGAGAAAGTTTTGTTTTTTCCTCACAGACTGTAGCTGAAGAGTCCTGGAGTAAATCAGTTTCAGATGGGACTCTATCCAGAAGCCTAAATTATGTCACCAGTATTTTCTGTTTTTCTTTCTCTGTTTTTTTTTTTTTTTTTTTTTTTTTTCAGAGACGGGGTCTTGCTGTGTTTCCCAGGCTGGTCTTGAACTCCAGGCCTCAAGAGATCCTCCTGCCTCAGCCTCCTGAAAGCTGGGACTACAGGAGTCCACCACCACACCTGGGTACTTTTTTTTTTTTTTGAAACGGAGTCTCGCTGTGTCGCCAGGCTGGAGTGCAGTGGTGCAGTCTCGACTCACTGCGACCTCCACCTCCCGGGTTCAAGTGATTCTCCTGCCTCAGCCTCCCAAGTAGCTGGGACTACAGGCATGCACCACCATGCCCAGCTAATTTTTTTTTTTTTTTGTATTTTTAGTAGAGATGGGGTTTCACCATGTTGGCCAGGCTGGTCTTGACCTCTTGACCTCATGATCCACCCGCCTTGGCCTTCCAAAGTGCTGGGATTACAGGTGTGAGCCACCACGCCTGGCTGCACACCTGGGTACTTTTTATTTTTGGTAGAGATAGAGCCTCGCTATGTTGACAAGTCTGGTCTCAAACTCCTGGGCTCAAGCAATCCTCTGTACTTGGCCTCCCAAGGTGTTGGGATTACAGGCATGAGCCACTGCGACCCGCCTGTTTATTGGTTTTGTTAAATGCCTTGTCATGAGGCATTAAAAAGCCCATGATGGAAAGAAGATAGCCCCAGAGAAGGGATTCCAAATTCTTCACAAATTCTTCAACAGATGAGTGGATTAAAAACGACATCTATCCATAGAATGGAATGTTATTTAACCATAAAAAGGAATGAAGTTACTGATACATGCTGTGACATTGATGACCTTTGGAAACATGCTAAGTGAAAGAAGCAAGTCACATAAGGTCACAGTACAATTCTATTTATATGAAATGTCTAGAATAGGCAAATCTACAAATATGAATTAGAATAATGGCTGCCAGTGACTGAGAGGAGAAGGGGGTGGGGAATGACTGCTAATGAGTATAAGGTTTTAAGGAGAGTTGGTGAAAATGTTCTAAAATTAGATAGTGGTGATATTTGCACAACCTTGTGACTAACATAACACTGAATTGCACACTTTAAAAAAGTGAATTGGGGTGGGTGCGGTGGCTCACATTTTTAATCCCAGCACATTTTGGGAGGCTGAAGCAGGAAGATTGCTTGAGCCCAGTAGTTTGAGACCAGCCTGAGCAATATGATGAGACCTCATCTCAACAGAAAATTATAAAATTAGCTGGGCGTGGTGGTGCACACCTGTAGTCCCAGCCACTTGGGAGGCTGGGGCAGGAGGATTGACTGAGCCAAAGAAGTCAAGGCTGCAGTGAGCTGTAATTACACCACTTCACTCCAGCCTGGGCAATGAGAGTGAGACCCTGTCTCAAATAAGTAGATAGAGAGATAGAGAATTGTATGGCATGCGAATTATCTTCATTAAGCTGTTTTTGTTGTTGTTGTTGTTTTGAGACGGAATCTCACTCTGTCACCCAGACTGGAGTGCAGTGGTGCGATTTTGGCTCACTTTAACCTCCGCCTCCCGGATTCAAGCGATTCTTGTGCCTCAGCTTCTCAAGTAGCTGGGATTACAGGTGTGTGCCACCACACCCAGCTAATCTTTGTACTTTTTTAGTAGAGACAGTGTTGGCCAGGCTGGTCTCGAATTCCTGGCCTCAAGTGATCTGCCCACCTTGGCCTCCAAAAGTGCTGGGATTACAGGTGTGAGCCACCGCACCCGGCCCATTAAGCTGTTATTTTAAAAAGTCTGCCTAAACCTCTGAACTAGACAAACATGGGGCATATTCCAAGCAACTTAGCCAAGTTTAAAAGATCAGTACAGATTTCAGCTGATGCTTGCCTCAGGGAAGCTAGATTTGGAGTTTGAGTTCAGCTGTGATTAACTGCATGTTAACAGAAACAAAACACCAAACTCTCAAGAACATAACAGAATCCAGAGTCTACAACACATCATCTACAATGTCCAGGATATAATCCAAAATTCTTAGACACAAGAAATGGCCTGGGCATGGTGTCTTATGCCTGTAAACCCAGCACAGCACTTTGGGAGGCTGAGGCAGGCAGATCACTTGAGGACAGGAGTTTGAGACCAGCCTGGCCAACATAGCAGAACCCCTTCTCTACTAAAAGTACAAAAAAATTAGCTAGGCGTGGTGGTACACAGGAGGCTCAGGAGGCTAAGGCACAAGAATTGTTTGAACCCAGGAAGTGGAGGTTGAGCTGAGATCGTGCCACCACTCCAGCCTGGGCAACAGAGCAAGACTCTGACTCAAAAAAAAAAACCACGAAAATTTTAAAATATATTTTTACAAAACAGGAAAATATGATCTGTGTTCACAAAAAAAGGCAATGAATGGGCCCGGCACAGTGGCTCACGCCTGTAATCCCAGCACTTTGGGAGGCTGAGGTGGGTGGATCACGAGGTCAGGAGTTCGAGACCAGCCTGACCAACATGGTGAAACCCCATCTCTACTAAAAATACTAAAATTAGCTGGACGTGGTGGCGCACACCTGTAATCCCAGCTACTCAGGAAGCTGAGGCAGGAGAATTGCTTCAACCTGGGAGGAAGAGGTTGCAGTGAGCCGAGGTTACACCATTGCACTCCAGCCTGGGCAACAGAGCGAGACTCTGTCTCAAGAAAAAAAAAAAAAAGAACGAAAATTTTAAAATATATTTTTACAAAACAGGAAAATATGATCTGTGTTTACAAAAAAAGGCAATGAACGGGCCCGGCGCAGTGGCTCACGCCGGTAATCCCAGCACTTTGGGAGGCCAAGGCAGGCGGATCACGAGGTCAGCAGATCGAGACCATCCTGGCTAACATGGTGAAACCCCGTCTCTGCTAAAAATACAAAAAATTAGCTGGGCGTGGTGGCGGGTGCCTGTAGTCCCAGCTACTTGGGAGGCTGAGGCAGGAGAATGGCGTGAACCTGGGAGGCGGAGCTTGCAGTGAGCTGAGATCGCACCACTGCACTCCAGCCTGGGTGACAGAGCAAGACTCTGTCTCAAAAAAAAAAAAAAAAGGCAATCAACGAAGATCAACCCCAAGAGGACCCAGATGTTGGTATCAACTGACAAGAATTCTAAAAGAGAATCAAAATAATTAGTTAAAATAAATTTTTTTAAAAATTTAAAGCAGTTATTAAAACTTCGTCAGGCCAGGTGTGGTGGCTCACACCTATAATCCCAACAATTTGGGAGGCTGAGTCGGGAGGATCGCCTGAGCCCAGGAGTTAAAGACCAGCCTGGGCAACATAGTGAGACCCCATCTCTACAAAAAGTTTAAAAATTAGCTGGACAGGCACAGTGGCTCACGCCTGTAATCCCAGTACTTTTTGGGAGGCTGAGGCAGGCAGATCACCTGAGGTCAAGAGTTGGAGACCAGCCTGGCCAACATGGTTAAACCCTGTCTCTACTAAAAATACAAAAATTAGCTGGGTGCGGTAGCTGGCACCTGCAATCCCAGCTACCTGGGAGGCTGATGCAGGAGAATTGCTTGAAACTTGGAGGTGGAGATTGCAGTGAGCCAAGATCGCACCACTGCACTCCAGCCTGGGCAACAGAGCAAGACTCCGTCTCTAAAAACAAAAAACAAAAAAACACAAAAGGTGCAGGGGAAAGAAAGAAAGAAAAGATGTGGCCTTCTAAGTCAGTGGGAACACGAGCATGCTAGGAGTCAAAAAGTTTAGGGTACTGGGCGTTACCTCAGCATTCCTAAGAATGCTTGAAACCTTGCTGGAATTGCTGAGCCTCTCAGGGTTTGGGACAGTTTTGTTTACATGATAGAATTGTGATAAGATTAGCTGGCACCCTCGGACTCTGATAAAACCAGCCACTTGGCCTGGAAGTGCAGTGTCCCCTCATCTGGCCTTCCAATTCATTATGGTTCCAACCCCAGGGCCTCATTCCCACTTGCTTTGCACCAGCAGGCTTGGCATTTGTTCTCAGAAGGTCACAGAAACCTTTGCTTCTACTTAGAACATGTTTCCTGGGGAAGTTTAGACTTATGACTGACCAGATCCAGAGATAGCAGCACTTTGATGTAAAATCATAGGAAGAGCTTGTTCTCTCAGACAAGCCACTACCCAGTAGGCAAAGCTCAAACGAGAGCCCTTAAATGGTGTGGTCTTTGGCCAGGCCATCATCGTGGGGTTATTCCTAGGTTTGGCAAGCGTCAGCATTTCTTTTGCTTGTGCGATTGGCTCTTTTGCTCAGTGTAACAGCAGACCCCTGGCCTCCAGATGAGAAGGGCCACTAGCGTTCACTAAGTGCATGCTCTGGGCCGGCCACTGCCTAGGACCTTTCTTAGATAGTTGATCATCAAGTAGGTGCTCTTGTTTTAATTTTATTGAGACCCAGAAAGGTTAAATAATTCATCCAGGGTGAGTGTGAGGCTTTATGAGAACTTTACAGTTGTTCTCTCCCTTCCCCCTCCTTGGACTATTCCTGGAACATGAAGGTCCAGTTCCTTTCCCTGATGGCTGTATGGCAGGTGGCGTACTTCATTTCTTTGTGGGAAATTATACTTGTATTGATGCTGGGCATGCTGCTCGCCTCTTCAGTGTTTTCCCAAGTAAGGTCTGACAAATGGGGATCCAAGCCCTCCTGTATTTCAGGCTTTATTTTGGGTACCAAGATGCAAAGACAATCCATTAAGACAGTTCTTGGCCGCTCATGGTGACTCATGCCTGTCATCCCAGCACTTTAAGGAGGCTGAGGCGGGAGGATTGCCTGCGCCCAGGAGTTTGAGATCATCCTGGGCAACAAGGCAAGACCTCATCTCTACAAAAATATTTAAAAATTAGCTGGGTGTGATGGTACATGCCTATAGTCTCAGCTACTTGGGAGGCTGAGGTGGGAGGATCACTTGAGCCTGGGAGGTGCAGGCTACAGGGAGCCGAGATTGGGCCACTGCACTCCAGCTTGGGTGACAGAGTGAGACCCTGTCTCAAAAAAAAAAAAAAAAAAAAAAAAGACTTAGTTCTTCTACTTTTAAGGGGCTTGAAGTCTGAGTAGAAGACTCTTCCACACATAGAAAGCAGTCTTAAAAGGGTGTGTGTGCTCTGATTGTGGTTATATAACATTTACAGAAGGTGGATACAGAATGAAAATCACTTGAGGTTGTTGGGATTTGCTTTAAAACATCCTTTAATGTTGCATTTTTCTTTCACCTTAATTAGGGGAAAAAGGGAGATAATTGGAAACAGGGGTGACCAGAGTGCTCTGGGGAGGCAGAGGTTCTGTAATAACTGTTGGTAGCCAAGGAGGCCACAAAGAAGAGAGGATGTTTGCGTGGTAAGAGTGTGTTGCCATTCGCCAGATACGTGCCAGAGGCAAGGGACATCAAGGCAGTGGGCACAGTTAGATGGTCCACTTTGAAAGTTCGTGGCTGATGGGATCCAGGGATAGCAAGAGCTTATTGTGAAATTACAAAATGAGGTGGTTCTGCCAGGCTAGGCACTACCCAGTAGGCACAGTGATCTTCCAGACCACGTGGTCAGCTCTCTCCCTGAAAGTTTCAACCTCTGTGTGTTGTGTGTCTATCTGTGTGTCTTTGTCAGCAAAAGCTTTTATGAGATACACACCATTTTTTCTTGTTATATGTACATGGGATATCTTTAAAGGAATACCCAAGAAACAACTAGTTGCCTGTAGCGATAGGAGATTTCGTTGTATTTCAAAAATAATCTGAATTTTTTTACTACGTGCATATATTGTTTACTCAGTTTTGTGTGTGTGTGTGTTTTTCTAGAGAAACAGACTTTTTTTTTTTTTTTTTTTTTTTGAGACAGAGTCTTGCTCTGTCACCCAGGCTGGAGTGCAGTGGCGTAATCTCGGCTCACTGCAACCTCCACCTCCTGGGTTCAAGCGATTCTCCTGCCTCAGCCTCCTGAGTAGCTGGGACTGCAGGTGTTCCTGAGTAGCTGGGACTACAGGCGCACACCACCACACCTGGCTAATTTTTGTATTTTTAGTAGAGACAGGGTTTTGCCATGTTGGCCAGGCTGGTCTTGAACTCCTGACCTCAGGTGATCTGCCCGCCTCGGCCTCCCAAAGTGCTGGGATTAGAGGCTTAAGCCACTGTGCCTGGCCAAGAGAAACAGACTTTATGAACAACCACATGAGACAGTGAGACAGGTGATGAGGACCTAAACTAAAACAATGACAAGTGTGGTGGGAGAGAGGGGGCTGCATTCCCAGCTTGGGAAGCCAGCTGTGCAGCAATGCTGTTAACCAGCATCTAGAAGGCAGAGCAGTGCGGGACTGGAAGTGTGAGCATCTGCGGGTGCATCTCAGTGGGATTATTCAGGGGGCAGTTGGAAGTCTGAATTGGGAGCCTTGAGAGGTCAGGGTTGGTGACACTGATTTGGAAGTTTAGCCTGAAGCTGATGAGAATGCTTAGGGAGTGCTTAGAGAATGAGAAGAGGATCCCGGAGCGATCTTCCACCGGGTTAGAGAAGGAGGCGGCAACAAACCAGAATGGTGGTTAGAGACACTGGGGAGCGTGGAGGCCTGGTGTGTTAGCGTTCTCCAGAGGGACAGAACTCTGTGTGTGTATATATATATGTGTGTGTATATATATATGTATATATATACGTATATATATATATACGTATATATATACACGTATATATATACACACATATATGTGTATATATATACATATATGCATATATATACGTATATATGTGTATATATACGTATATATATGCATATATATGTATATATATGTGTATATATATGTATATATATACATATATATGTATATATATACATATATATGTATATATGTATATATATGTATATATGTATATATATGTATATATATATATACACACACACACACACACACAAACACACACACACACATATATATGAGTTTATTAGGGAGAATTGCCTCACGATTACAAGGTGAAATCCCATGATAGGCCATCAGCAAGCTGAGGAAAGAGAGAAGCTGGTAGCATAATTCAGTCCAAGTCTGCCAGCCTTAAAACCAGGGAAGCCAGCAGTGCAGCTGTCAGTCTGAGGCCTAAGGCCTGAGAGCCCCTGAGAGGTGTAAGTCTCAGAGTCTAAAGGCCAAAGAACCTGGAGTCTGATGTCCAAGGGCAAGGGGAGAGGAGGCCAAGTGTCCGGCGTGACACAGAACAGAGCCAGCACGCGGACTCAGCAAGCTGCTGGTCCCCCTTCTTCCGCCTGCTTTGTGCCAGCCATGCTGGCAGCCAACTGGACGGTGCCCACCCATATGGAGGATGGGTCTTCCTCTCCTAGTCCACTGACAAATGTCAGCCTCTTCTGGCAACACCCTCACAGACACACCCAGGAACAGCGCTTCACCAGCCGTCTAGGCATCCCTCAATCCAGACCAGTTGTTACCTAGGATTAACCATCACACCTGGAAATCTAGAGAGTGGAGCTTTGAGGTGCAGTATGTAAGCAGGTGTGCAGTGCAGCAGAAAGGTCCAGGAGCTGCCAGGAGCTCCCTGGGAGCTGAGGGTGGGCTGAGGCGTGAATGGGAGAAGTGACGATGGTAGGTATGGTAGTTTTTTGTTTTTTATTTTGAGACGGAGTCTCGCTCTGTCACCCAGGCTGGAGTGCAATGGCGCGATTTTGGCTCACTGTAACCTCCTCCTCCTGGGTTCATGCAGTTCTCCTGCCTCAGCCTCTAGAGTAGCTGGGACTACAGGCACCCGCCACCACACCTGGCTAATTTTTGTATTTTTAGTAGAGATGGGGTTTCACTATGTTGGTCTCAAACTCCTGACCTCGTGATCCACCCGCCTCGGCCTCCCAAAGTGCTGGGATTACAGACGTGAGCCACCACGCCCAGCCAGGTATGGTAGTTTTATGGTGAAGGAAAGGATAGTGATTCAGTCAGCATTTATTGAGAACCCAGTGTGCCAGGCTCTCTGCTAGGTATGGAGAGTAAAGTGATCCCTATCCTCAAAGACTGGACAAACTAGGGGAGGAGACAAATATATACAAAGAAGATTTGAATGTGATTTGGTAGGTACAGTGCTAGAAAGAGGGTCTTGGGGGCCGGGCACGGTGGCTCACGCCTGTAATCCCAGCACTTTGGGAGGCTGAGGTGGGCAGATCACGAGGTTAGGAGATCGAGACCATCCTGGCTAACACGGTGAAACCCCGTCTCTACTAAAAATACAAAAAAATTAGCCAGGCGTGGTGGCGGGCGCCTGTAGTCCCAGCTACTCAGGAGGCTGAGGTGGGAGAATGGCATGAACCCGGGAGGCAGAGCTTGCAGTGAGCCAAGATCGCGCCACTGCACTCCAGCCTGGGCAACAGATCAAGACTCTGTCTCAAAAAAAAAAAGAAAAAGAAAAAGAAAGAGGGTCTTAGGGGAACAGAAAGGCAACTTAACCCTGCCTAGGAGACTGGGAGTTTCAGTTTGTGATCAGTGGAGGAGGTGACTTGGTGCTAAGCTAGATCTTAAAGATTAAGTAATTAACTGAGAGGATTAGGAGTGATCTGGATGTCCCAGATAGAGGGAACAGTGTGAACATAGGGCAGGCATGGAGATAAGAAATTATGTGGGGCTGGGCGTGGCGGCTCACATCTGTAATCCCAACACTTTTCAGAGCCAAGGTGGGCAAATCACTTTGGGCTCAGGAGTTCAAGACCAGCCTGGGCAACATGGTGAAACCTCATCTCTACAAAAATTACCTGGGCGTGGTGGTACACACCTGTAGTCCCAGCTACTCAGGAGGCTGAGCCTGGAGAGAGAATTGCTTGAGCCTGGGAAGCAGAGGTTGCAGTGAGCCAAGATTGCACCACTGCATACTAGCCTGGGCAACAGAGTGAGACCCCATCTCAGCCTCCCAAGTAGCTGGGATTACAGGCGTGCACCACCACACCCAGATACTTTTTTTGTATTTTTAGTAGAGACCAGGTTTCACCATGTTGGCCAGGCTGGTCTCAAACTCCTGACCTCAGGTGATCTATCTGCCTTGGCCTCCCAAACTGCTGCAATTACAGGGGTGAGCCACCGTACCCCACCAGTTAATTGGCTTTTAAAGTACATTCAATTATAAAATCATTACCATAATCCAATTTTAGAATATTTTCTGGACACACTGATTTTCTTTTCATTTTCTTGACTTTTAAAAATATTATTTTTTTAAGGCTTTAACTTCAGTATGATTTTTTAAATATTATTTTTATTATGGAAAATTTCTAGCCATAGAGAAGTAGAAGTGTGTAAGAAATATCCATGTTGAGCATAGTAATTTGGGGTCTTTTCTGGATAGAGATGTTCAACCAGTGAGTGAGTATCTTAGTTCATTTGGGTTGCTGTAACAAAATACCTTAGGCTGGATATTTGTAAACAACAGAAACATATTGCTCATAGTTTTGAAGGTGCCATCTTTGAAGCACAGAGCAAGCCCTCACCAGATGCCGAATCTGCTGGCACCATGATCATGGACTTCCTAGCCTCTAGAGCAATGCATTTCTGTTGTTTATACATTCCCTAGTCTAAAATATTTTGTTAAAGCAGCCAAATGGATTAAGACAAATTGGTACCAGAAGTGGGGTGCTGCTATAACAAATACCTGAAGATATGGAAGCAGCTTTGGAACTGGGTAGTGGGTAGAGACTGAGTTTTGACGTTCATACTAGAAAAGGTTTACATTGTCATGAACAAATCATTAAGCACAGGTGTGGTAAGGGCACAGGAGGAGAGCTGTAGAGAAAGCCTCAGTCTTCTTAGAGATGCCCTAAGAGGGCATGAACAGAATGTTGGTGGAAATATGGATGGTAAAGGCCATTCTGATGAGATCTCAGATGGAAATGAGGAACATGTTAGTGGAAACTGGGGGAAAGGTGATCTTTGTTATAAAGTGGCAAAGAACTTGGCTGATTTGGGTTTGTGCCTGTTGACCTAAAGGAACAAGCCTAGGCAAAATTAATGTAGAGTTTATTTGGGCCAAGGTTGAGGACTGCAGCCTGGGACACACTTGTAAGTTGCCTTGGGGAGTGCTCTGTTTGGCCTTTGTTACAAGCAGATTTTTAAAGGCAAAAGGGAATGAGGAGTGGGCTCACACAAAGTTTTTTGACAGGGGCCAGGTGTGTTGACTCACGCCTGTAACCCCAGCACTTTGGGAGGCTGAGGTGGGTGGATCACCTGAGATCAGGAGTTTGAGACCAGGCTGACCAACATGGTGAAACCCCATCTCTACTAAAAATACAAAAATTAGCCAGGCATGGTGGTCGGCGCCTATAATCCCAGCTGCTCAGGAGGCTGACGTAGGAGAATTGCTTGAATCCGGGAGGTGGAGGTTGCAGTGAGCCAAGATCATGCCATTGCACTCTAGCCTGGGCAGCAAGAGCAAAACTCCATCTCAAAAAAAAAAAAAAAAAAAAAAAAGTTGTTTGACAGGAATTCTCGTTGATTTACAGAGATAACATGAATTAGTGACTGGCTATACATTGTTGAACTATAGGATATGAGAAATTACAGAAAATGCCAGTGTATGACATTGTATAGCTACTTTGCATGAGTTAGTTTAGAGCTCACATAGCAAGTGGCTTCATGAGGTGATTGATTATTTAGCTTAAGTGTGGAGTGAGACATGACTGCTGTTGCATCTCATTGCTTCTCTGGGCTTGATAATTAAGGGGTGGTTGGGGGGGGCTCACATTCTTCAGATTAAAGGTTTCTTGGCCAGGAGCAGTGGCTCACGCCTGTAATGCCAGCACTTTGGGAGGCCGAGGGGGATGGATCACGAGGTCAAGAGATCGAGACCATCCTGGCCAACATGGTGAAACCCTGTCTGTACTAAAAATACAAAAATTAGCGGGGCATGGTGGTTTGTGCCTGCAATCTCAGCTACTTGGGAGGCTGAGGCAGGAGAATCGCTTGAACCCGGGAGGCAGAGGTTGTGGTGAGCTGAGATTGTGCCACTGCACTCCAGCCTGATGACAGAGTAAGACTCCATCTCAAAAAAAGAAAAAAAAAAAATACAAAATTAGACGGGCGTGGTGGCGTGTGCCTGTAATCCCAGCTACTTGGGAGGCTGAGGCAGGAGAATCGCTTGAACCTGGGAGGCGAAGTTTGCAGTGAGCCGAGATCACACCATTACACTCCAGCCTGGGCAACAAGAGCGAAACTCTGTCTCAAAATAAATAAATAAAGTAAAAGAAAGAAAGAAATAAAAATAAAAGCTTCTTTTCTTTCTTATGTCCTAGTGTTTTGTGGGAGAACTTAAGAGTGATGAAATAGAATATTTGGTGGATGAAGTCACTGAACAAAGTGGTGAGGGGGTGGCATGGCTTCTCTTGACGGCTTATAGTAAAATGTGAGAAGAGAGAAACAAACTAAATACAGAATTTAAAGCCAAAAGGAAAGCAGAACTTAAGCATTTGGAAGATTCTCAGCATGGCCACGTTGTAAAGAATGAAAAAGTAGGCTGGGCACAATGGCTTACGCCTGTAATCCTAGCACTTTAGGAGGTTGAGGCAGGTGGATCACTTGAGCTCAGGAGTTCAAGACCAGCCTGGGCAACATGGTGCAACCCTGTCTCTACAAAAAATTAGCCGGGCATGGTGGCATGTGCCTGTGGTCCCAGCTTCTCAAGAGGCTGAGGTGGGAGGATCACTTGAACCTGGGAGATTGAGGCTGCAGTGAGCTGAAATTGCACCAGTGCACTCCAGCCTGGGTGACAGAGCGAGAGCCTGTCTCAAAAAGAAAAAAAAAGAATAAATGTATTTGGAGAGAATATGAAAGGTGTGGCCAAGCCATCCTTTGATAAGGAGACTAGTATGGATGTGGAAGCCAGGTACTAATCAAGACAATGGAAGGATGACCCCGAAGGCATGTGGGGGCTGTCACCCCCATCACAGGCCCAGAAGGCCCAGGGTGTTGGGGGCAGAACCATTTCAAGGCTCTGTTCCTAGCATTCTGGGGCAGTGCTCCTTGGCAGCCCGAGGTAGTTTGGCAGCATCCACATGGCGCTGTCTTTGCTGGTGCACAGAATACACAAGCTGTAGGGGCATGGCTACCCCCACCTAGATTGTAAAGGATGCCCTGAAGAGCCTTGGGCCCAGGCAGAGAACTGACACAGGGTAAGGCCCCTGCAGAAAGTCCCCATTAGGGCATTGCCTAGCAGAGCTATGGGGGTAGGGTTGCCTCTGAGACCCCAGACTGGTAGAGCCACCAGTGTGCAACTCCAGCCTGGGAGAGCCACAGGCATGCAACTCCAACAAGTGAGGGCTGTTGCATGGGCTGTGCCCAGCAAACCTGTACAGGCAGGGCTGCCCAGAGCCCAGCAACATGTCCCTGCCAGTGTGTCCAGAAGGTAGGAGGACATAGAGTTGAAGAAGGTTGTTCAGAAACCTTGAGATTGAATGGGGTTTGCTCTGTTGGGTTTTGGACTTACCTGGGACCTATTACCCCTTTCTTCTTTGTTGTTTCTCTCTTTTAGAATGTCTGTCCTATGCCTGTCCCACCGTTGTATTTTACAAGCACATAACACGTTTGATTTCACAGGCTCACAGATGGTGGGGAATTTGCCCCAGGATGAATTGTACTTTGAGTCTCACCCATACCTGATTGATTGATTGATTTTTTTAAATTTTATTTATTTATTTATTTATTTATTTATTTATTTATTTATTTATTTAGCGAGAGAGTGAGCCTCACTCTGTCACCCAGGCTGGAGTGCACTGGTGGGATCTCGGCTCACTGCAACCTCTGCCTCCCAGGTTTAAGTGATTCTCCTGCCTCAGCTTCCTGAGTAGCTGAATTACAGGTGCCTGCCATCATGCCCAGCTAATTTTTGTATTTTTAGTAGAGACAGGGTTTCACCATGTTGGCCAGGCTGGTCTTGAACTCCTGACCTCAAGTGATTCGCCCACCTTGGTTTCCCAGAGTGTGGGATTACAGGCATGATACACCACACCCAGCCACCCATATCTGATTTAGATGATAGATGAGACTCTGGACTTTAGACTTTTGAGTTGATGCTAGAATGAGTTTCTATTTGGGGCCATTGGGGTGGACTGAATGTATTTTGCAAGTAAAAAGGACATGACTTTTGGGGGTTCAGGAGCCAAATGCTGTGGTCTGAGTGTTTGTGTTCCCCTAAAATTCATATGTTGAAACTTGATCCCCAACATGGTGGGGCCTTTGGGAAGTGATTAGGCTGTGAGGATTCCACTCTCAAGAATGGGGTTAGCGCCCTTATGAAAGAGGCCTGAGGGACTTGTGTTGCCCCTTCTGCCATGTTGAGAATGCAGTGAGAAGGCACCATCTTTGAAGCGGAGAGCGATGCCGAATCTACTGGGGCCTGGATCTTGTACTTTCCGGCCTTCAGAACTGTGAGCAATAAATTTCTGTTGTTGGCCAGGCATGGTGGCTCACGCCTGTAATCTCAGCACATTGGGAAGCCGAGGCAGGTGGATCACCTGAGGTCAGGAGTTCGAGACCAGCCTGGCCAACAAAGCAAAACCCCGTCTCTACTAAAAATACAAAATTAGCTGGGCGTGGTGGCAGACACCTGTAATCCCAGCTACTTGGGAGGTTGAGGCAGGAGAATCGCTTGAACCAGGGAGGTGGAAGTTTCAGTGAGCCAAGATCACGCCACTGCACTCCAGCCTGGCGACAGAACTAGACTCCGCCTTAAAAAAAAAAAAAAAAAAGATTCTGAATCTTTGGGAAGCCCTCTGGGCTGGGGATCGATTTGGGAGTCAGTACCATGTGGTTCATAGTTGACGCGGTAGCTTGCAGAAGCCAAGGAAAGCCTACGCTTTCAAAAAAAGTTTGGAAGAGTCAATGTAAGGAAATCCAAAGTGGACCTAACTGTGGAGATGGGGGTCAGGGAAGGAGAGAGCTGGGGTGTGAAGTAGTGAAAATTAGAAAAGTGCCTGCTAAGTCCCTGACGCTACTAATGAGTGGTGATTGATTGATGAAAGCAGAGATTTCCGTTCTTGCCTGAGAGCTTCTAGTCTGTTGGGGAAGAAAAGATACACCAATAGCAGCTGGCTAGAAGGCCAGTTTCTTCTTTTTTTATTTTTATTTTTATTTTTTGAGACGGAGTCTCGCACTGTTGCCCGGACTGGAGTGCAGTGGCACAATCTCGGCTCACTGCAAGCTCTGCCTCCCGGGTTCACGCCATTCTGCCTCAGCCTCCCGAGTAGCTGGGACCACAGGCACCCACCACCACGCCCGGCTAATTTTTAGTATTTTTAGTGGAGATGGGGTTTCACTGTGTTAGCCAGGATTGTCTCAATCTCCTGACCTTGTGATCCACCTGCCTCAGCCTCCCTAAGTGCTGGGATTACAGGCGTGAGCCACTGCGCCCGGCCCTTTTGTATTTTTCTTGAGACGGAGCTCTTGTTGCCCAGGCTGGAGTGCAGTGGCACGATCTCGGCTCACTGCAACATCCGCCTGCTGGGTTCAAGCAGCTCTCCTGCCTCAGCCTCCGAGTAGCTGGGATTACAGGCACCGGCCACCACGCCTGGCTAACTTTTGTATTTTCAGTAGATACAGGGTTTCACCATGTTGGCCAGGCTGGTCTCAAACTCCTGACCTCAGGTAATCCGCCTGCCTCGGCTTCCCAAAGTGCTGGTATTACAGGCGTGAGCCACTGCGCCCGGTAGAAGGCCAGTTTCTAAAGGCGTGTTGCAGAGTCCATGTCAGTTCTAGGAAGAATCAAGCAAGAGAAAAGTGTGCTTCTTTAGGACTGGTCAGGCAAGCGCAGCCTTGAGCCAGAAGGGAAAGGGCTTTGCAGGTAGGAGTGGGCAGGCAGCAAGATCGTGTGTCTGAGACAGTGTAGAGGGAACAGGCCAGAAGGAATGTCAGCTGAGCCGGGGAGGTGTCGCTGGGTATGATCCAGTGCTAGAGCCTGTCTCTCGCTGCGCCTGCCTCCTCTCACACAGCCCCCTCTTCTGTCCCTGGCTTCTCAGCATGAAACTCCCCCCAGCCACGTGTTCACATTCCTCCGTGTCACTTTCCTCCATTCAGCACCCCCCATACCCCTTCTTGCTCGCTGGCCTCCCAGCTGTACTCCCAGACAGAGTAACCTACATTTGCTTCCTGCATTTGCCTCCCCCTCCTGTGTGTTGGCTTCTGTCTCTTCCACGGAAAATGTTTTCCCCAAGGTCCTCAGTGACTTCCTCAGCTTTGGGAGACCCCTCTGAGTCCTCTTCTGTGGCATTTGGTGCTGTTTATCATCCCTTCTGTGACTTTCTTTTGACGGATGTACAGATTGGGAGATGGCACTACACAGCTGGGAAGTGGGGGTGAGGACCTGGGGGGGTGTAAGAGATAGCCAGGCTCCAGCCCAGAGGAGGAGCTGGAGGTGGGTGGCCGGCGAACTGCCAGGAGGGAGGCCCTGAAGCCAGAGGAGAAGGGAGTAGCATCATGTCAAGATCAGTAGGCCACATCGGAAGCAGCAGAGAGGGCCCTCACGCTTCCCCTGCAGGGGCTGTTGACTCTCTTGATGAGAGACTGATGAGGACAGAGCTAGAGAAGTGGGTTGGAAAGTGAAGTGGGGACAAGGAAGCAGCACCGGATCCCTGCACAATTTAGGGAAGAAGTTTTGCCGTGAAGAGGAACAGAGGTGGGGGCCTCTAAAGGGGTTTGGAAGCTCTTTTGTGTTTTTTCAGGATGAACTCTCCTCAATCATGCTTGTTCACTGGTAGAGGAGAAAGGATTCGCTGACAGTCGGAGGGGAGATGGAGTTCAGAACACAAATGAAGACTGTTTTTCCCTCTTTAGGGTGAAGGCAGAGGTGACAGGCATTGCTATACAGAGCTTGTAGTTTTGATGGTGGGCATAAAGTCTCTGGCTTCCCTTCCGAGTGAAGTAGGAACCTCAGATATCAGCTAATAGGACCCAGGCCTGGGTCTGAGGGCAGTATCAAGGATATTGAGGAGAGAGGAGGTTTGAAGTGTGCTAAGGGAAGGCTAACCAGATGACTTGGCCACGTGGTTGCAGCACCTCTCGCTGTTTGTGACAGTGCTGTGTAAAGTAAAACCCCCTGTCCAGTGGTGGGGCTGTTAATAGGGCTCAGGTGCGGGCATGTGCAAGGCGGGCCATTGGTTTTGTTACGGGTGGAAGGTATCTGAGTTACCAGCAGCAAATCTGTACGGGTTTGCAGCAATCTCACTTCTTGCCTGTTAAGAATTCGACTTGGGCACAAGGCAGGAAAAGACCGAGGCAAGTTTCAGAGCAGGAGTGGAAGTTCATTAAGAAGCTTTGGAACAGGAAAGAAAGGAGAAGTACACTTGAAGGAGACCCACGTGGGTGCTGAGGTCCAGTGCGGTGTTTAACCTTGATCCTAGGACATTCTAGGACCAAGGCTGGCCCTTTTCCCATGATTCTTCCCTCACGGCGAGCTGCCCGCATGCACAGTGTGCTCCTTACCCTTGGGAGGTGGGCACATACACAGTGTGTAGGAAGTTGTACGGATGCCCATCTGAGGCTTTCTTCACTGTTCTGGTGATGTGCCCTGGGAGGCCATGCTCTGCCATTTGGTCTCTTAATGTGCATGCTCAGGAAGGTGCGTCTCCTTGGTGTCTGCATTCAATTAACACTTCAGTGCATCAAGTGTGGACCGTCAGGAAATGGCCTCTCCCTGGCACCTAGTGGGTGGGGGAGAGCCCTCTCCTGCCCTGCTCCTGCCTGTCCAACTCCCTATAACAGTTTCAGCCAGGATTCCTGCTTTAGCAGGAGAGAATAACCCTTTCTATGCCAAGCCACACCTTCCCTGATCTGGCCACTGAGCTTGCATCTTCTGTCCACACCTTCACTTTCTTTGTTATGGCTCACTGGGGTTCTTTCCTTTTTCCTCACTTAGCAGATAGTCTCTAGCCTCATCAGTTCCCAAGACTTTAGCAACAGCCTGCATGCTGATCATGCTCAGATTTATCCACTTCCAATCTGTGATCTAAACTCCACTTTTATTCTTTTGTGTGGTTTTAACTAATGCAACTAGGGAGACTAAAGCAACTTCATCCTGTATTCTAATTCACCGTGTTCACTTCTGATTAATTCCAGTTCTGGAAAGGACTCCAAGATTTCCAGTTTGTCTATTGTTCCTTGTGTAAGAGTACATACTTACCATAAATCCTGCCATGGGGTCACACCATCTTGATGTTATCATACTTCAGTTGTCCAGTGCATCCCTTCTGAACCACCCTTTCCCTATGGTATACAAGCCCTGGGGGTACTGGCACCAGGATCCACCATCTGGCTTCACCACCACCTGAGACACAGATGTAGCTTCTGTTCCTAGGTCTCTAAATGTTTCTAAGGGGATATGTTCTTCTCTATATGACAATGCATTGTGTAAAGCTGTGGTGGTAAAAACAGTGTCGTACATGTGGGACAACACAGATCAATATCACAAGCAGCTAAAAGAAAAAGAAATTGGTCTTCATAAAAATTAAAAACATGTGCTTCCAAGGACACAACTCAAGACAACTGGCTGGACACGGTGGCTCACACCTATAAGCCCAGCACTTTGGGAGGCCAAGGCGGGTGGATCACTTGAGGTTGAGAGTTTGAGACCAGCCTGGTCAACATGGTGAAACCCTGTCTCTACTAAAAGAAATACAAAAATTAGCTGGGCTTTGTGGTGCGTGCCTTGTAATCCCAGCTACTCAGGAGGCTGAGGCAGGAAAATTGCTTGAAGCCGGGAGGCAGAGGTTGCAGTGAGCTGAGATTGAGTCACTGCACTCCAGCTTGGGTGGCAGAGTGAGACTCCGTCTCAAAACAAACAAGCAAACAAAAAAGACAAATAACCAAACTTTAAAATGGTAATATATACAGATGGCCAACAGCATATGAAAAGATACTCAATGCCATTAACCGTTAGGGACACACAAATCAAAACCACAATGAGACTCTACTTCAGACTCACTAGGATGGCTGTAATCAAAAAGAGAGAGGCCAGGCATGGTGGCTCACACGTGTAATCCCAGCATTTTGGGAGGCCAAGGCAGGAGGATTGGTTGAGCTCAGGAATTCGACACCAGCCTGGGCAACATAGTGTGACCCTGCCTCTGCCAAAAATAAAAATGACAGAGAGAGACAATAGCATGTGTTGGCGCAAATGCAGAGTGGGAATGCACATTGCAGGTGGGAATGTAAAATGGTCACCCAGTTGGAAACAGCATGCAGCTCCTCAGAAGGTTAAACAGAGTTTATGTTTAATACACTTATTAAGATAAACATAGTGTAAATACGTTAAAAAAAACACATTATTAATTCTCATAGATATGTACCCAGAAATGAAAACATGTCATGAATACAAAGAAGGAAACAACAGACACTGGGCGGGGAGGGTAGGAGGAGGGAGAAGCGGGAAAGATAACCATCGGGTACTGGGCATAATACCTGGGTGATGAAATTATCTGTACAACAGACCCCCATGACACATATTTACCTATGCAACAAACCTTCACATGTATCCCCAAAACCTAAAATTAAAATTAAAAAAGAAGGGCCGGGCGCAGTGGCTCACACCTGTAATCCCAGCACTTTGGGAGGTCAAGGCAGGTGGATCACCTAAGGTCAGGAGTTTGAGACCAGCCTGGCCAACGTGGTGAAACCCCATCTCTACTAAAAATACAAAAAGTAGCCAGCGTGGTGATGGGTGCCTGTAATCCCAGCTACTTGGGAGGCTGAGGCAGGAGAATTGCTTGAACGAGAGAGGCAGAGATTGCAGTGAGCCGAGATCACACCACTGCACTCCAAGTTGGGCAACAAGGCTAGAATCTGTCCCAAAAAAGAAAAACAAAGAAAACGTGCCCACACAAAAACCTGTACACAACGCTCATAGCAGCATTATTCATAATAGCCAAAAAAATAGACGTAACCCAATGTCCATCAGTTCATGAACTGACATGTAAAATATGATATAGCAAAACAATGGAGTTATTCAGCAATAAAAGCACAGGCCTGGCATGGTGGCTCACGCCTGTAATCCCAGCACTTTGGGAGGCTGAGGCAGGTGGATCACCCGAGGTCAGGCGTATCACCCAAGGTCAGACATTCGAGACCGGCCTGGCTAACATGTCGAAACCCCGTCTCTACTAAGAATACAGAAATTAGCCGGGCGTGGTGGTGGGCGCCTATAGTCCCAGCTACTTGGGAGGCAGGAGAAACACTTGAACCCGGGAGGCGGAGGTTGCAGTGAGCCAACATCGTGCCATTGCACTCCAGCCTCGGTGACACAGCGAGACTCTGTCTCATTAAAAAAGAAAAAAAAAAGTGCAGACTACATAAATCTAAAGAGACAGAAAGTAAATTAATATTTGCCTGGGGGTGGGGTGGCCATGTACCATGTATTTAAAGTGTGCAATTCATTGGTTTTTAGTATATTCAGAGTTGTGCAACCATCAGCACAATTTTAGAACATTTTCAACACCTGGCCAAAAAAAAAAAACAAAAAAACCCATACTCATTAATAGTCGCTGTCCTTTCTCTCCCAACCCTTCCCCACCCAGCTTTCTATGGATTCGGCTATTCTGGATATTTCACGTAAATGGAAACACAATTATGTGGTCTTCTGTGATTGCAGCTTCTTTCACTTAGCATAATGTTTTCAAGGTTCATCCATGTCATAGCGTGTCTCAGTACTTCATTTCTTTTTACTGTCAAGTAATATTCCACTGTATGGATAATATCACACTTTATGCATTCGTGTAGTTTCTCTACCTCCTTCCCAACTCTTGTCTCTTTTTTATTGTAGGTGTGAAGTGGTGTCTTCAGTAGTTTTGACTTGCATTTCCCAATGGCTAATGATACGGAGCATCTTGTCATGTGCTTGGTGATCATTTATATGTCTTCTTTGGAGAACTGTCTATTCAGATCATTTTTGTATATGGGCTGAGATAGGGAACCAGATTCATTCTTTTACATGTGGATATTCAGTTGTCCCAGTACCATTTGTTGAAAAGATTATTCTTTCCCCACTAATTTGTCTTGACACCCTTGTTGAAAATTAGTCGACCATTTCTGGTTTCTCAGTTCTATTCCATTGAACTAGATGTCTTTGCTTACAACATCTTGATTACTGTAGCTTTCTTTTTTTAAAGTTAAAAAATTTATAAAGTAGAAGTGGGGCTCAGGCTCGTCTGGTGGCCTAGGCTCGTCTGGACCCCTGGCTGCAAGTGATCCTCCCGCCTCAGCCTCCCAAAGTGCTGGGATTACAGGCGTGAGCCTCTGGGGCCTGGCCACAATTGAGTTTTGTTTATTGATCTCGTATCCTGCAACTTTGCTATGAGTTCTAACCTTGTCTTAGTCCTAATAGTTGTTTAATGGATTCCTTAGGGTTTTCTATATACAAGGTCATGTCATCTGCAAATAGAAATAGTTGTACTTCTTCCTTTCCAATGTGGATGCCTTTTATTTCATCTTATTGCCTCATTGCCCTGGCGAGAGCCTCCAGAACAATGTTGACTAGAAATGACAAGGGCCCATGCTCATCTTGTTCCTGACTTAGGGGAAAGCTTTTAATCTTTCGCCTTTAAGTCTGATGTTCGTTGTGGGTTTTTCATAGATGCCCTTCATCAGGTTGAGGAGGTTACCCTCTATTCCTAGTTTGTATGTTATTATACTTTTAAATAGCAGCAGCAGAGCATGTAAGAAGATATGAATAAATACATGGCGAGAGGTTCGCAGTTGATTAAGTGGGGGGAAGAGTTTACTCCATTCATCGTGAATCTGATCTCTGTGAGTAGGAGGATGTGTTAGTTGAACAACTTTAAAAAAAAAAAAAAAAAAGAGGGCGAGGTGGGTGGATCACGAGGTCAGGAGTTTGAGACCAGCCTGGCCAAGATGGTGAAACCCCGTCTCTACTAAAAATACAAAAAATTAGCCAGGCAAGGTGGCGGGTGCCTGTAATCCCAGCTACTCTGGAGGCTGAGGCAGGTGAATCGCTTGAACCCAGGATGCCGAGGTTGCAGTGAGCAGAGATCGCACCGCTGCACTCTAGCCTGGGCGACAGAGCAAGACTCTATCTCAAAAAATAAATAAATAAAAAATAAAAATAGAGACAGGGTCTTGCTGTATTGTCCAGGCTGATCTCGAGCTCCTGGACTCAAACCATCCTCCTACCTTCGCCTCCCAAAGTGCTGGGATTACAGGTGTTAGTCACTGCCCCCAGCTTGAACAAACTTTGTAAGATGCAGGCTATTGTGCAAAATTTTAGCACTGTAAAAAATATCCCCTTATTTTATCAAATATACCTTTATCTTGAGGCATATGTCTATTTTCACCTACTTGTAACTTACACTCTTGATTACTTTTGGTTGTCTTTTTACTCTTGTTCTAATTATCTTTTTTTTTTTTTTTTTTTGAGACGGAGTCTCACTCTGTCGCCAGGCTGGAGTGCAGTGGCGTGATCTCGGCGCACTGCAACCTCCATCTCCCGGGTTCAAGCAATTCTCCTGCCTCAGCTTCCTGAGTAGCTGGGACTACAGGTGCCCACCACCATGCCCAGCTAATTTTTGTATTTTTAGTAGAGACAAGGTTTCACCATGTTGGCCAGGATGGTCTTGATCTCTTGACCTCATGATCTGCCCTCCTCGGCCTCCCAAAGTGCTGGGATTACAGGCATGAGCCACCACGCCCGGCCCTAATTATCTTTTATTGTACAGAAGCATTTTATTTTCATCAGAGTACATTCATCTTGATTGAGATATTTTACAGTAGTTTCTCTCCCCATGCTGGCTGGGCGTGGTGGCTCACGCCTGTAATCCCAGCACTGTGGGAGACTGAAGCAAGCAGATCACCTGAGGTCAGGAGTTTGAGACCAGCCTGGCCAACATGGTGAAACCCCATCTCTACTAAAAATACAAAAATTAGCTGGACATGGTGGCACACACCTGTAATCTCAGCTACTCAGGAGGCTGAGGCAGGAGAATTGCTTGAACCTGGGAGGCAGAGATTGCAGTGAGCCAAGATCACACCACTGCACTCCAGCCTAGGTGACAGGGCAAGACTCCCGTCTCAAAAAAAAAAAAATTATCTTCCCACTATAGTAAGAAAGTAACAGCGTTTTATGACTTGGAAAGTGTCTTCATATAAAATCTTATTTGAATCTCCCAAAATATAGCAGAGATGATCCCCATTTTACAGATTAAAATATGGATACCAGAAATGTTTGAATCATTTGTCAGGATATTGGCAGCAGAGCAGGGGCTAAGGGCATGCTATCTTTTTAAGGCACTTCATATTAATTTTTGTATTTATATACAAAAATTATACACTCCTTGACTCCTTGACTTCGTCGAACATATGACATTCAAACATATCAATAGGGTGGAGGAGAATCCAAGGATAGCTTGCCACTGTATTCATTTCTTATGGCTGCCATAACAAGTTACTGCAAGCTGGGTGGCTTAAGACAAGAGAAATTTATTCCATCACAGTTCTAGGGGCCATAATTCCAAAATCAAGATGTCAGCTTGGTTCCAAAGACAAGGGATTGTTGCTTCTTGGAGGCTTAGACGGGGCCGTTACTCCGCGCATCTCTCCCGGCTGGATGGGTGGCTGCCGGCAGTCCTTGGCATCCCCTGGCTTGCAGCTGTCCAAGTCCAGTCGCTGCTTCTGTCTGCACCTGGCTGTGTGTCTGGATTAAGGGCACACCCTATTCCACTATGACTTCATCTTAGTGACATCTTAAATACTTCTCCAAAGACCCTAATTCCAAACAAGGTGACATTACAGGTACCATGGTTAGGACTACAATGTATCTTTTTATTATTACTATCTTTTAAAGGGATAGGGTGTCACACTGTCATGTAGGCTGGAGTGCAATGGCACGATCGTAGCTCATGCAGCCTCAACCCCCTAGGGCCTAGCGATCCACTCACCTTAGCTTCTCGAATAGCTGGGACTACAGATGTGTGCCACTATGCCGGGCTAAGTTTTTAATTTTTTTGTAAAGACGGGGTCTCCGTGTTGCCCAGGCTGGTCTTGAACTCCTGGCCTCAAGCAATCCTCCCGCCTTGGCCTCCCAAAGTGCTGGGATTACAGCATGAGCCTCCAGGCCTAATGTATCTTTTGAGGGGGCACAGTTCAGCCCACAGCAGCCACTAACAGAGTTCTCTTCTGTCCTCGCTCCCCCACCAGGTGCCCCTGTAGACAATGGCCCTCGTGTCTGCCGATTCCCGCATTGCAGAACTTCTCACAGAGCTCCATCAGCTGATCAAACAAACCCAGGTAAAAAGTCACCACCCTCCATTCCCAGATGGGAACATGGGCTTTGATGCTGAGCCGTGAAGTGGGGGTGGCATTTGTGTTCAGAGAGATTGGACTCGCAGGAACCAAAATGACGTAATAAAAGTGAAAGGAGGGGAATTTGGTGTATGGCTACCATTCCTGTTGGATTTTCTACCATGTACAGGATTTCATGATTCATTTTGTTTGACAGCTATCCTGAGATAGAATTCACATGCCATACAACGCACCCATTTAAAGTGTATAATCCAGTGGTTTTTCGCAGCTCACAAAATTGTGCAACCATTAGCACGATCAATTTCAGAACATTTTTAACACCCAACAAAAATGCCCCATATCTTTTCCTTCCACCCTATTAATCCAGGCAAACAAAAACACTCTTTTTTTTTTGGAGACGGAGTCTCACTGTGTCACCTAGGCTGGAGTGCGGTGGCGCGATCTCAGCTCACTGCAACCTCTGCCTCCTGGGTTCAAGCGATTCTTCTGCCTCAGTCTCCCTAGTAGCTGGGATTACAGGCACACACCACCATGTCCGGCTAATTGTTTTTGTATTTTTAGTAGAGACGGGGTTTTGCCATGTTGGCTGTCTCTACTAAAAATACAAAAATTAGCTAGGCTTGGTGGCGGATGCCTATAATCCCAGCTACTGGGGAGGCTGAGGCAGGAGAATCACTTGAACTCGGGAGGCAGAGGTTGCAGTGAGCCGAGATGGCGCCACTGCACTCCAGCCTGGGTGACAAAGCAAGACTCCATCTCAAAAAAAAAAAAAGCCATTTTTCCCCTATTTGATATCTTTTCTTTCACAGATACAAGGGAGATGCGTATTGGTGCCTGTAGCTCACTGCAGGCTATCGGGCATGCTCTGCCACATTTTGCCCACGATACTCAGGGTTTATAGCTACACAAGGATCAGTTTGCTGGCAGTTGTGCACCGCACAGCCAGGAAGGAGTAGATCCCAGAAATTCCTTCCCAAATGGTATTCCTTTTAGACGTAACCTGGAGAGTAAGAGTCAGAAGATGCCGGCACTCATTGCTAAGTGAAAGATGCCAGTCTGAAAGGTTACGTGCTGTGTATTCCAACTGTAAACGAAAAGCAAAACTAGAGAGTGAAAGGATGAGCGGTAGCCAGGGCCTTGGGAGAGATAGGATGAAAGGGATGGATAGGTGGAGCACAGAGGATTTTAGGGGGTGGAACTCTTCTGCAGGGTACCATGATGGGGGGCACGCAACATGATGCGTTGTCCAAACCCATAGAACGGCAGAACACACAGAGTAAACCATCATGGGGATGGATGTAGTTAATTATCTAACAGTATTGGCTCATCAGTTGTTACAAACGCACCACTCTAATGCAAGATGTTAACAATAGGGGAGACTGCGCAGGGCAGAGCAGGTATACATACAGGAACTCTGTGCCATCAGCTCAGCTTTTCTGTAAACCAAAACTGCTCTAAGAAGAGTTTATCAATAAAATACATTGTAAAATAAAGGAAAAAAGGGCTGGGCGTGGTAACTCATGCCTGTAATCCCAGCATGTTGGGAGGCTGAGGCGGGTGGATCACCTGAGGTCAGGAGTTTGAGACCAGTCTGGCCAAATGGCGAAACTCCATCTCTACTAAAAATTAGCCGGGCGTGGTGGTACATGCTTGTAATCCCAGCTACTAGGGAGGCTGAGGCAGGAGAATCGCTTGAACCTGGGAAGTGGAGGTTGCAGTGAGCCAAGATCGCACCACTGCACTCCAGCCTGGGCGACAAGAGCGAAACTCCGTCTCAAAAAAATAAATAAAGGAAAAAAAAGATACAGGCAGATTACGCATTCCATTCAGTCATCCACAGTTAGAACAGTTTATCATCATCCCATACAACCAGGGTGTCCCTCAGACAGCTGCTGCCGAGTTCCCAGACTCCCATCTCACCCGTCAGCTTCCAAAAGCAGGCGTGGTCCTGACAGACACAGGGCTTCGCCCTTTCAGGCACCCAGTGTAACTGACCTAAGAGATGGCATTCTCTCTCTCTCAGCCTCTCTTGAGGTATGAGTACAATATTGGATTTCCCTCATTGCATAACCCATTTAATTTGTTCTGTTAACTCGGCTACTGTTTCTCCTCTCCATTTGTGATTGGTTTTCACCCAAACTTTTCCACCTTTGTAAGGGATGTTAGCTTTGGCCACTGTACCTGGTCCAGATTGCAGCGGCAGCAGTACTAGTCTAGCAAGTATCCCCCCCCAACCCCAATCCATTCCCATTTATATAGGGTGGGGTTACACAGGTATGGACTATTGGCTGTCTTGAGCACTAGGCAGCTAGCTAGCTGTGTTCACTGTTAACCTCATTTTGCAGGTTGAGGTAAAGGCGCAACCCACCCATCAGGCACTTAAAAATTCTCACATAAAGGCTAAAAAGCATAGTCATAATTTCTTTCTTAGGATCTGTCTCAGTTTCCAGCATCTGCAGTTGCAGCTCTGCTCCCAGGATGACTGATATGGGAGGAATTGCACCAGCATTCTTCCCCACCCCTTCTTCTCCACATCAATTGATCATACCTGTATGTGTCTATTTCTGGACTCTGAATTCTGTTCTGTTGATCTATATGCCAGTACCACACCATCGTGATTACCGTAGCTTCGTAATAAATTTTGAAATTGGGAAGTATGAGTTCTCCAACTTTTTTTTTCTTTTTCCAAGATTGGGGATAATCTGGGTCCCGTGAATTTCCATATGAATTTTAGGATGAACTTGTCAATTTCTGCAAAGAAGTCAATTAGAATTTTGATGGGGATTGCGTTGACTGTATAGATTGATTTGTCTCTTTGATAAAGGACTATCATTAAAGATATCACTTATGATTTAACTTTAATGCCTTCTTTTTTTTTTTTTTTTAACAGTCTCACTCTGTCACCCAGGCTGGAGTGCAGTGACATGATCTCAGCTCACTGCAACCTCAGCCTCCCGAGTAGCTAGGACTATACGCACATGCTACAATGCCCGGCTAATTTTTGTATTTTTAGTAGAGGTGGGGTTTCATCATGTTGGCCAGGCTGGTCTTGAACTCCTGATCTCAAGTGATCTGCCCACTTTGGCCTTCCAAAGTGCTGGGATTACAGGCTTAAGCCACTGCACCAGGCCCTTTAAGGCCTTTTATAATGCTTTTGCATTAGTCAAAGGAGAAAATCATCTTGAACTCCTGAATTTGGATTTAGAAAATGAGGGCCATAGCCGGGCGCCCTTGCCTGTAATTCCAGCACTTTGGGAAACCGAGGCAGGTGGATCACGAGGTCAGGAGTTCAAGACCAGCCTGGCCAAGATGGCGAAACCCTGTCTCTACTAAAAATACAAAAAATTAGGCCGGGCGCATTGGCTTACGCCTGTAATCCCAGCACTTTGGGAGGCCGAGGCAGGCGGATCACGAGGTCAGGAGATCGAGACCATCCTGGCTAAGACGGTGAAACTCCGTCTCTTCTAAAACTACAAAAAATTAACCAGGCGTGGTGGCGGGCGCCTGTAGTCCCAGCTACTCGGGAGGCTGAGGCAGGAGAAAGGCGTGAACCCGGGAGGCGGAGCTTGCAGTGAGCCGAGATCGTGCCACTACACTCCAGCCTGGGCGACAGAGTGAGACTCCATCTCAAAAAAAAAAAAAAAAAAAGAAAATGAGGGCCGTATTTTGGGGATGGGGACTCTGGCCTGGCTGGCAGGGTACCACAGCAGCACAAAGGGCCACCGTCATGTCCTGCTGCTCTTTTCCTTACAGGAAGAGCGTTCGCGGAGCGAACACAACTTAGTGAACATCCAGAAGACCCATGAGCGGATGCAGACAGAGAACAAGAGTGAGTAGCTGGGCTCAGGAGAGAAAGGGGATGAGATGGGGCTAGGGTGAGTATGGCCAAGACTGTGACCGAGGTGGTCATTGTATTCAAAATAGATTTGCATGTATCTGCATATTCCAAAATGCAGCAGGAGGGACAGCTTTCCGTTAATCTGGGTGACCTGAAGAACTAAAATCCCTCTACTCTGAGGATTCGAAAGGCAGTGAAATGAGGCTGTATCTAGGGAAGCTTGCCCTTAGAGCACACAAGCGCCCCAGTTAGCTGGTGTTTTCTAGAAAGGAGCTTCCTTCCCAGGCGGCCCCTGCATCTGCCCTGAGGCCCTCAGGTGGTGAGATCCTGGGGCTGGGGCTTTCTTACTCTGGGTAACTCTGAGAATTGTGTTTTCCTGGGTCCTGACAAATATTTTCTGTGAGTGTCATGATGGAGAAAAGGTAAGACAGTACTCTCGCAGATGTAGGGATGGCATTTGTACCATATGGAAATGCGGACTCATGGAGCCTGGGGGCATCCGCCTCAGGAGCACTCCTGAGCCAGCAGAGCTCTGACTGCAGCTACGGCCTCTCTGTGCCTCCACGAGTGTGATTCCGGTGCATGGAAGCAGTGCCATGCTACTGTGCCTGCCCTGGCCCTGCCTCCTTATCCCTGTGTTTCCTCTGCAGTTTCTCCCTATTACCGGACAAAGCTGCGTGGCCTCTACACAACCGCCAAGGCCGATGCAGAGGCTGAGTGCAAGTGAGTACCGTGCACCCACTTCATCGCCGCTCCCTCCTTTCCTGGGGGCTGGGCTGCAGGTCCATTTGGACCAAGTCCCCAGCCTGCCTTCCTCCCATGGATAAGCTGATTGCTACTCCCAGCCTCTCGCTTGGGTCCCGCATTCCCTGGCCCACTGCCAGGCCCACTCTTCCAGTTACCTCTGCTGCTAATGCCTTTACAGAAGGTGGCAAGGCGTGAGTCAACACTGCCGTTTACTGGCTCTATGACCTTGGCAGAGTCATTAAAATAGGGATATCAGGGGCTGGGTAGCTCAGATCTGTAATCACAACATTACAGAGGTGATTGGGAGGCCGAGGTTAGAGGATCACTTGAACGCAGGTGTTTGAGACCAGCCTGGGCAACAAAGTGAGACTTTGTCTCTACAAAAAGTTTTTAATTAGCTGAGCGTGGTGGCATGTGTCTGTAAGCTTGGCTGGGAAGTCATACTCAGATGACCTGAAGGTTTTATGGTTCTGAGATGGAGAAGTTTCACTTCCAGAAAACTCCTGCTTTTAAAATAATCTTAAGGCCGGGCAGGCACAGTGGCTCATGCCTGCAATCGCAAGGTGGGTGGATCACCTGAGGTTGGGGGTTTGAGACCAGCCTGGCTAGCATAGCGAAACCCTATATCTACTAAAAATACAAAAATTAGCCAGGTGTGGTGGCGCACGCTACTTGGGAGGCTGAGGCAGGAGGCGGAGGTTGCAGTGAGCTAAGATCGTGCCACTGCACTCCAGCCTGGGCAACAGAGCAAGGCTCTGCCTCAAAAAAAAAAAAAAAACTAAAATAAAAAAATGATCTGGAAACACTGTTTCCTTGAATCTCTGCAGGAGATTCAGGAACTTGAACATTACATTCCTCTACTTTGAGAACACACTGGTTCTGAAGTCTGACTGTGCCCAGAGGCTCTGTTTATTTGGGGTGGAGCTCCAACATTGGTATTAACTATCTGACATTTCCTCACTAGTAGGATTCATGCTTTACACTTTTGGCACAGAAGAGGTGTCTCTGGTGGGTCATATTAGACGGCACAGGATGCTGTCTGTGCCATTGGTTAAAGTGGTATTTTCCACGTTTCTCTTGTATCAGATTACTGCTATTTTCCATTGTGTGATTGATCGATTAAGACAGGGTCTCAGTCTGTCATCCAGGCTGGAGTGGAGTGGCGTAATCATGGCTCACTTCAGCCTCAAACTCCTGGCCTCAAGTGATCCTCCTGCCTCAGCCTCCTGAGTAGCTGGGACAATAGGCACCTGCCACCACTCCACCTAATTTTTGTATTTTTTGTAGAGAGGGGTTTTGCCATGTTGCCCAGGCTGGTCTTGAACTCCTCAGCTCAAGCGATCCACCCACCTTGGCCTCCCAAAGTGCTGGGATTACAGGTGTGAGCCTCTGCACCTGGCCTCCATTGCATAATTAATAAGTGTCTTGGGAGATACTTTTGAGACTGTAACTATCCTGTTCATATCAAACACACTAGTTTTAGCATCCATTTATGATTTGTGCGTGAAACAATTGAGATTTTTTAAACTTCCCCCAGGAGATTCTGATGCCCACCAAGGTTTGAAAGCCACTTCAGTAACATGTCACAGAAGACAGTTTAGGACAGGCTGTATAAAACTGTATCCTCCACACAGGCCTGGCAACAGTGATGAGACTCTCAGAGTTCCCTTTGGCCCCGTGGCTCTTTCTCCTTCTCTGCTTTCTGGGGTCCCGGTGCTCACAGCCTGAGGTGGCACTGGCTGGGCCATCCCTGCATTGTACGCAGCAGGCAAGCTGTTCCTTGTCCCTGCGTTGGTTTGGCTGCCCTTGGCCTACCTCCATCTTCTGGCCCTGGCCTGGTGAGGTCCATGAGTCACATGCCCTGGGGCACCCCCGGACACCTCCCGAGATGCTGCATCACACCCAGTTCCTGTGCATCTCCTTCCTGCCGCACAAAGGTCTTTAGAACTCCGGGTCATTTCAGAAAGGCTTGCCAGAGGAATGGACTGGGGTTTGCCATGGTATCAGAGGAAAATAAAATGACCCAAAGTGGAGTTTGTGCTGCTGACTACTGTGGAAATACGTATTTTTTTTGAAATGGAGTTTCGCTCTGTCACCCAGGCTGGAGTGCAGTGACACAATCTCGGCTCACTGCAAGCTCTGCCCCCAAGGTTCAAGCGATTCTCTTGCCTCAGCCTCCCAAGTAGCTGGGATTATAGACGCCCGCCACCACGCCGGGCTAATTTTTGTATTTTTAGTAGAGAAGGAGTTTCTCTATGTTGGCCAGGCTGGTGTCGATCTCCTGACCTCAAGTGATCCTCCTGCCTCAGCCTCCTAAAGTGCTGAGATTACAGGCGTGAGCCACCACACCCATCCCTGCTGTGGAAATACTCTTTGGGAAGATTCCCTGAGCTTTAGGATGAAGGAGCCTCACTCCAGCCAAGTTCTGTGTTTGCTTCTGCTGGGTTCTTTGGGTTCCTGCCACCCTGGAATCCCCATAAACTAACTTCACAGAGGCTTCCTGGGGCTTCAAGGCCATGCAGGGGTCTGTCTTTGGGTTCAGCCTTTCAGAAAGGATGAGGTCCTTCCACCCAGTTCTGCTCTGGGCCAGCACCTCTCCCCAGAGTCTCCCCTCCTTTTGTGTGACCCTCGGGCAGACCTGAGGCCCCCTCTCCTCATTTCAGGAGGTTCCTGCAGCCTTTCTGCAGGGTTTGCCGAAGGCAGTTTGCCTGTGTCCTTTCCTCTCTGGGATCCTGTGTTCTCTTAGTTTTTGGCATGCTGCTTTCTACCACCTTGTTTTTTATGTTCTTAAGACTAAAAGACACATACTGAAGATTTCCAGTTTTCTTTTTTTTTTTGAAATGGAGTTTCGTTCTTTTTGCCCAGGTTGGAGTGCAATGACGCGATCTCGGTTCACTGCAACCTCTGCCTCCCAGGTTCAAGCGATTCTCTTGCCTCAGCCTCCCAAGTAGGTGGGATTACAGTTAAAGACGCTCGCCACCACACCTGGCTAAGTTTTGTATTTTTAATACAGACGGGGTTTCACCATATTGGTCAGGCTGGTCTTGAACTCCTGACCTCAGGTGATCCACACTCCTCGGCCTCCCAAAGTGCTGGGATTACAGGCGTGAACCACCACACCCGGGCAGATTTCTAGTTTCACCATGAGGTTGGTCTGAATAACCCAGCCCACCTTGACCAGAACAGGAACCTGCACACACCTGTCATTCCACCTGCGCAGGAGGCTACTGTGAGAACCTCTGGAGTCCGGGACCAGCCTGGGCAATGTAGCTTGACCCAAAACAGAAAAAATGGAAGAGAAGTCTATGCTATGTACGTTAACCAAACCCTCTTTCTCCCTTCTCCCCGCCCTCAGCATCCTTCGGAAAGCTCTGGACAAGATCGCGGAAATCAAGTCTCTGTTGGAAGAGAGGCGGATTGGTGAGTGGGAGAGAACATGCTGGGAGGTCCTTTGCTAGGACAAGAGGAGAGGCCCTGCGGGCAGCAGTCACCCTCCTGTGGGGGCCTGTGGCCACCACCTGCTGGCATCCTCCCATGGAGGCTCTGGCAGACTGGCTCTACCACTGAGAAGGGACAGGAGGTCATTCCCAGTGCCCAGAGGCAGGGGTTTCCCAGTTCTCCCTCAGCAGCCAGAGATCATCCCGCCCTGGCCCCTCATCTCCTGCCCCTTCTGGGGCCTGGGCCAGTCGCCCCCTCCTCTGCCATGGCCCATGCCCATCTGTTGCCCTGGCTGGTTTCTGCAGAGCCACACGCTGTGTGTCGTAAAGCCAGCCTTCCAGACCCCCTCAGCCTGCATTAGGCTCTCCTACCTGTCTGCCCTCCCAACAATCCCATGGTGGGCAGAATCTTGGCATGTCAGTGTCCCCACACAGCCATGCTGGTTCTGTGTGAAGTCAAGTGGGGTGTCCAGCTGTGCCTGAGGAGGTTGAAGGTGCACATTTAATTTTTTTTTTGGTTTTTTTAACTTTCTGTTGAATTACAATGTATATTAATAGAAGAAAAGTACACATAAGTGCAGAGTTCAATGAAATAGTCACTAACTGAACACACTTCTGTAACCAGCATTCAGATCAGCAAACACAGCCTGAACAGCACCTTGGAACCCGCTTTCTTTCTTCTGGTTCCTCCCCCTGGATCCCCGCTGTGCTGCCATCTCACCCAACTGTAGTTAAACCCAGCAGCCCCTATAGGTGCTGACACATGGCCGATGGGGTCACAGTCCTGCTGGGCCCTCGGGCTCACTCGGGAACTGGGGGCTCCCAGGTGCTCCTTCAACAGCTCAGTGCAGCATGCTCGGGGGTCAAGGCCGGCACCTATCCCTGGGGCCTCAGGCCTCCCTTCCTTCCCACAGCGGCCAAGATTGCCGGTCTCTACAATGACTCGGAGCCACCCCGGAAGACCATGCGCAGAGGGGTGCTGATGACCCTGCTGCAGCAGTCGGCCATGACCCTGCCCCTGTGGATCGGGAAGCCTGGTGACAAGTGAGGGCAGCAGCTGCGAGGGAGGGGCTGGTGCCCAGGGGCTGGGACTGACCCTTTGTTCCACTCACAGGCCCCCACCCCTCTGTGGGGCCATCCCTGCCTCAGGAGACTACGTGGCCAGACCTGGAGACAAGGTGGCTGCCCGGGTGAAGGCCGTGGATGGGGACGAGCAGTGGATCCTGGCCGAGGTGGTCAGTTACAGCCATGCCACCAACAAGTGAGTGACACCAACCCTGGGGCTGCTCTCTGGTCACCGAACTTGCCTGGGCTACGGGAGAAAAGCTCTGCAGAGGGTGCTCCCCAGAGGCTGGTTGTGCAGGGAGCACCAGGTCCTCCCCCATCCTCACTCCCCAACAGGTACTGCGCCCCTGGCTGCATCCAGCCTTTTCCTCCTTTTGTCTGCAGGTATGAGGTAGATGACATCGATGAAGAAGGCAAAGAGTGAGTGTCCAGGCCAGGGCAGGGCATGGAGCCTGGGGGCAGCCTAACAGCTGAGAAGGAGCATCCCCACCCGGCCACAGGTTGATATAAGCCCCTCTTCCCCCAGGAGACACACCCTGAGCCGGCGCCGTGTCATCCCGCTGCCCCAGTGGAAGGCCAACCCGGAGACGGACCCTGAGGCCTTGTTCCAGAAGGAGCAGCTCGTGCTGGCCCTGTATCCCCAGACTACCTGCTTCTACCGCGCCCTGATCCATGCGCCCCCACAGCGGGTAAAGCAGCCTCCAGGGGAGAGGCCATGGGTGATGTCAGGAACAGGCTGATCAGACAGACGAGGGGTCCTCTCCCCACTCCTTCCCTTTGTCCTCATCTCACAGGCTCCAAGCTGACAGGACCCACCAGCTGCCCTCCCTCTTCCACTCCAGCCCCAAAGGCCACCATCCCTTTGCCAGCCCTGGCAGCCTTGGCAAGCCCCGAGTCAGTGGCTTCCAGCCCCAGGAGAACCAGCTCCGAGATGGGAAGCTCCTGCCCTGAGCCCTGGGCTCCTACCGCCTTGTGCTCTTGGTGACATGGGACACAAGCCACCTGAGGCCAGGATCCCTGCCTGCCACCCTCTGGGTTGCCCTCAGTCCTCTCAACAAAGAGTCCTTGAAAGGCAGCAGACCCTCCAGCTATGACCCCACTAGGAAGGGAGTCAGCACCCCTACTCCTCCCTGCCTATTCCCTGCCTTGGGTCTCCAGCCACTGAGAAAAGAGCTCTGTAGCAGCAGGGACTGGGCCAAGACTTCTTGACCCCAGAGTGAAGGATGTTAGGAGTGGCTGAGAGTCCACGGCCCAGAGCCTCCTGTGGTCTAGGCTGGGGGAAGGGGGTGCCTGTCCTGGCCTGGGGGTCTCTGAGCAGCCCCTCCTGTCTGCCTGCCCCACAGCCCCAGGATGACTACTCGGTCCTGTTTGAAGACACCTCCTATGCAGATGGCTATTCCCCTCCCCTCAATGTGGCTCAGAGATACGTGGTGGCTTGTAAGGAACCCAAGAAAAAGTGATGCCGCCTGGCAGACTCGCCATCCCCCAACGACACAGGGCAGGACAGCAGAGGACGTGCTGGGATTAAACACATTCCCCCTCTACTCGTCTCCTGGGTTTTACTTCTCCAGACCCTCTCCCCTCTCCAAACAGGGCAAGTTGAGGAGCTGGAGCGGGGAGGTGGCCGTATTTGGCCCCAGTGGGCGATCACTCTTTCAGCTCAGGGTTTCTCTTGGCTTGGAATAGAGACTCTGCATTGAACACAAATCATACTTTATTCTGGAGCCTCTTGGTCAGGCTTGATTCGCACACTCCCTCTGCAGTGACTCCAGGAACCCCTCTCACAGCTCAGAGCGGAAGCTGAGGCTGCAGCCTGCCATCTTCTTCGCATAGTCCGCATCGAAGCGCTCATTCTGCGCCACGGTGAAGGTGGTCTTCCAGTCCCCAGCCATGCCTGGGGGAGGAAGGCAGGGAGCAAAGCTGGAGTCTCATCCCAGGGGAGGCCCCGAGTGCCTATGGGGAGGCTCCAGCTGCTGCTCCCACCTGCTCCAAACCCCCGTGCTGGCCGGCACCTACCTTTCCTCATGAAGGGGGAGATGCTGTGGTCCATGAACTCCCGGCGGACGGTGGTGTAGTTGGTCATAGGGTTCTTCTTCATCTCCTTGAACGACGTGTGCTCAACCATGAGGTCCACAGTCTCCTCTGGCAGGGAGCGCCCCACAAACTCCAGGATCTTTTGAATCTCCCTTTTGGGGTTCTGAGCAGCAGAGGGCTCCTCAGTGGAGGCTTGGATTGCTGATTCAGGAAAATAAAAGGGGTCCACTTCTCTAACCTCAGAGGGGAACTGGCCACTTCCACTTCAAAACCCATAGAGCCAGCTCCTCGACCCCTGGGACCCCAGTCCCTGGGGCAAAATGAATTGCTGTCTGCCCTGTGATCCCATCATGAGCTGGGCTTGGCTCCTATGGGTAAGGACTGGGATGGTCTTCTTCCGTGCCTGTGGCCCTGGGTGGCATAACCATTGGCAGGGAGAAGCAATTGGAATAGATAGCTGATCTGTGGCAAGGGGCCGTGGTTCAGGCGTGTAATTCCCAAGACTTTGGGAGGCTGAGGCAGGCGGATCACCTGAGCTCAGGAGATGGAGACCAACCTGGCCAACATGGCACAACACAAAAATTAGCCAGGCATGGTAGTGTGCATCTGTAATCTCAGCTACTCAGGAGGCTGAGGCAGGAGAATCACTTGAACCTGGGAGGGGGGGTTACACTGAGCTGAGATCACACCACTGCATGCCATCCTGGACAACAGAGCAAGACTTTGTCTCAAAAAAAAAAGTAGCTGATCCATGGCCACCCGTGCAGCTGACTCAGGCACAGGAGATGAGAGCTGTGCCCAGCCTGCTGCCACATGGGGCTGCAGTGGGGCCTGGGCCAGGGAGTCAAGATGGGGAATCCGGGCCTGCTGGAGGGGCCGCCCAGGGAGGGTGGCTGGGTGGCCTTGGCAGGTCCCTGTGAAGTGCCTGCCCCCAGGTGTCACGTGGAGGGAAGCATCAAAGGCGGTCTCACCTCCTTCATGTCTTCATAGAAGAGGTAGAGAACAGGGTGGGTGCGGCTCAGCTCCCACCACTCTTGCACGTGCTGGTACCAGGACCCATAGGACACTGGAGAAGCGGGCAGGGAGTGCCGACACAGGGTTGCTGTGCGTTGTAGCCACCACCCCTTAGCTCCACACCTTCCTTCCTCCCATCAAGCCCACCTTCTCCAGCCATGAACTTCTCCAGGAAGCTTTCCCAGGTCCCAGGGTGAGGGTACACTTTGGCCATGTGGTAGAAGTGGTAGTAGGAAACCGCCACATCCTTTGCGTTGCGGGCAACATAGACCACCTGCAGGGGCAGAAGACTCAACCCCAGCACCATCACCACACAGCCTGCCCCAGGCCAGCTCATCTCTTGGTTTGGCAAAGGAGGAAGCTGAGGCTTAGAGGCTGACTTGTTTGAGATCTCACGGCACAGGTAGGGCCAAGTCAGGATCTGAACCCTGCTCAAAAGCCAAAGTCCTGCCTGGTCCCTGAGACCATCATATTCTATAGTAATATAATCTGCATCAATGCGTCACACCCCGATCTGGAGCAAGGCATGCTCCACCAGGCATGTTCCCACCACCACCAAATTTTGTGGGCCTGTGAGGACCCACCCTCTACCTTTCTTAGGTCTACCCGGAAGAGTCTCATGTTTTTGGTCATCAGAGCAAAAGGCAGACAGTCCCCCCCGTGGAAGATGAGACAAGTCTGGAGGAAGTGAGGCGACTCTCCCAGAAGAACAGGACCAAAGCTGGGCTGAGCCGGGGCCTCCTTCCCTGGATTCACATGCCCCACACCTGGACCTTTGCTTTTTTCTTTTTGTTGTGGTTTTTTTTTTTTTTTGGGGGGGGGGACTCTAGGTCTCAAAAAAAAGAGAAAAGAGAAAAAAGACCTTGGGCTTTCTTTTTTCCTGTTGCCCAGGTTGGAGTGCACTGGAGTGAGAATAGCTCACTGCAACGTTGACCTCCCAGGCTCAAGCAATCCTCCAACCTTAGACTTTTGAGTAGCTGGGACTATAGCGCTATGCCACCATGCCCTGCTGATTATTTGCATCTTTTATAGAGATGGAGTCTCCCCATGTTTCCTGGGCTGGTCTGGAACTCCTGAGCTCAAGCGGTCCACCCATCTTGGCCTCCCAAAATGCTGGCATTACAGCGGTGAGCCACCCAGGTGGCAAACCTTTTAAAATATTTATTTGTTTTGTTTGAAACAATGTCTCGTTGTGTCTCCCAGGCTGGAGTGCAGTGGCACAATCTCGGCTCACTGCAACCACCGCCTCCCAGGTGCAAGCTATTCTCCTGCCTCAGCCTCCCGAGTAGCTGGGATTACTGGCGCCTGCCCCAACGCCTGGCTAATTTTTGTATTTTTAGTAGAGACGGGGTTTCTCCATGTTGGCCAGGCTGATCTCAAACTCCTAACCTTGGGTGATCTGCCCACCTCGACCTCCGAAAGTGCTGGTATTACAGGCGTGAGCCACAACAGGCCCAGCCCCCTGCCACCTGCCGCTTTTTTTTTTTTTTTTTTTTTTTTTTTGAGACAGAGTTTTGCTCTTGTTTCCCAGGCTGCAGTGCAATGGTGAGGTCTCGGCTGACTACAACCTCTGCCTCCCAGCTTCAAGCAATTCTCCTGCTTCAGCCTCCCAAGTAGCTGGGATTACAGATGCCTGCCACCATGCCCGGCTAATTTTTTTGTATTTTTAGTAGAGATGGGGTTTTGCCATGTTGGCCAGGCTGATCTCAAACTCCTAGTCTCAGGTGATCCACCTGCCTCAGCCTCTTCAAGTGCTGGAATTACAGGTGTGAGCCACCGCACTGGTGGGACACTCTTTCTATTCATCGTTTTTTGAGACAGTGTTTCTCTGTCACCCAGCCTGGAGTGCACTGGTGTGATCATAGCTCACTGTAGCCTTAAACTCCTAGGCTCAGATGATCCTCCCACCTCAGCCTCCTGAGTAGCTGGTATTACAGGCACACACCACTATGCACAGCTAAGTTTTTTTTTTGGAAGAGACTTATCTGGAACTTCTGGCTTCAAGGGATCTTCCCACCTCAGCCTCCCAAAGTACTGAGATTGCGGGTGTGAACCACTGTGCCCAGTCTCACCTTGACCTTCTGATCCAACAGAGTCTGGGGGAGCAGAGCCAGGGGCAGGTGTGTCTTCAGGAGTCGTGGGGCTGGTGTGTTTTTCAGAGTCTCCATCCCTGAGCAGTGGGTCAGGGAAGGTCTGGTGAGCTGAAGCCCCAGCCCTGTCTTCCTCCACTCCCCTTGCACCCAGGACACACACACCTGAGGGAATCCCTGGGACTTTGAACTCAAGGAAGGGCACCCGCATGAAGATGGGAGCTCGGTGACACTTTTCCAGGTCACCGCCCTGGTAGATCATGTCCAGAATCTGGCTCACCCAGGTGGTGCCTGGAGAGGGAGGGAGATGGGAGGTGAGCAGGCTGAGGTGAGCATGACCTCGCTGGCCAAGGTGGGGACTGCCACCTGGGAGAGGGTGGGTGGCCCTCCTCACCTACCGGACTTGGGGTAGGTGCTGATGAGCAGGTCATCAGGCCGGGCCTGGAAGCTCTGCAGGGGCCCCAGTGCCTCTGCAAAGTACTTGATGAGCGGGACCCCCTTCACGTACTCCAGTGGCGGGCGAGAGATGTCCTGGATCAGCTCCATGTTCCTGCGTCAGGGGCCAGAGCCAGGCCCGTTCCCTTACCACCATCACAACAGCAAGAAAGTGGAATTCTTGCTTTCAGGGAAGTCACTGAGGCCTAGGGAGGCTGAGTGACTTGCCCGCACTCACAAGGCCAGTCAGTGGCGGGGCTGGGGCTGAAAACCAGGTCGGGCTCTAATGTGGTGGTTCCCCAGCCTGGCCTCACCTTTCATTCACCTGCGGAGCTGTTCAAAATCCCAGGGCCTGGGCCATGGTGCAGACCAGTGAAAGCACCCTCGTGGCGCGGGGCCCAGATGTCAGGGTGTGTGAAGGTCTCCAGGAGAGTCCAGCTGCACTGAGGAACCTCTAGGACCTTCCTGTGCTGTCTTCCTGCCAGCCAGCGCCCTTTGTCTCACCATTTCCTGCTGGGACCCCCAGCCTCCACCCAGTAGGCTCCTCTCCCCGATGTTCCCCTCCTTGAGCCCCTCGGCCCCTCACATGTGGCAACTCCTAGGCTGGCCAGGCCTGTGATCCACTTGCCCGGCCACAGTCCATCTGGGCTCCAGGACAAACAGCCCATTGAGCAACTGAGCTGGTATTGGGGGCCAGAGCCTGATGTGGGAATGAGCAAAACTGTGATGACTCAGCAAAAGGAGGATCCTGGGCAGGGTGGCTCCCACCTGTAATCCCAGACCCTAGGGAGGCTGAGGCCAGAATTTGGAGACCAATCTGGGCAGCATTGGAAGACCCCATCTCTAAAAATCTTTTAAAAATATTTTTTAAAACTATCCAGGCAGGATGGTGAGGGTCTGTAGTCCTAGCTACTGAGGCAGGAGAATCACTTGAGCCCAGGAATTCAAGGCTGCAGTGGCCAGGATCCCACAGCACTCCAGCCTCGGTGACAGCAAGACCTGGCCTCCCCGGAAAAAAAAAAAAGGAAGGGAGGGGGATTCAGGCCGGCCGGGGTTGTCTGAAATGGGATATCCATGGGGAGAGGGCAGGGATAGCAGAGGCCTCGGCTTCTGGAATGTTGGAGCCACAAGCTGAGCAGGGTGAGGGCGTCCTGGGCCATTCCGGTGTGTCACTCACCTGAGCTCTTGGGAACCTGGCCTTGTGCCCTCCTCGCCCGCAGTGGCTGAGTGTGGGTGTTGTGTGGGGAATGCAGGGGTGTTGTCTGTGCTGAGGGTTTCTTAGGTCAGTGTGGGAGGGATCTGGAGCCGGGGCTGGACTTAGATTTGCTTCCGGAAGGAAGGGGTAGGGTTGGGGGTGGGGGAGCTTCTCTATTACCCTCCTTAGTTTGCCAGCTGGAGACAAGCTTAAAGTGATCTCCAAAGCCACGACTGGGTTTGGTGTGTAGAAAACAGAAGAATGAAAGGGGAAAGGGCCCAATGGTGGGTTTGTTTTTGTGGGTTTTTTTTTTTGAGCTGTCACTGGGCTCCTGACCTGCCCCTGAACTCCAAAAGACAAGCTTTCTCTAATTGACCCAGGCAAGAGAGGGGAGGGATTGGAGGAGAAAGATGGGATAGGCAGGCCCTGGAAAGGTCACCTACCTGCTGGCTCCAGGCCAGTCTTGAAGGTGCCAGGGGTCCTGGCCCAGTGCAACCCACAGGCCTCCAGCAGCCCATGCACTCCAGGCTCTGACCACAAGGCCAGTCTGGAGTGATGCGTGTGGGCAGAGTGAAGGGGCAGGGGTGGAGCAGAGCATGGATCCATAGAACAAGAAAGAACAAGGACACTGCAGTCCCATTGCCCTGGGAGCCAGCCCCAGCTTCATGGCTCCCTGGGGACCTCACAGAACATCGATAGAAGATCCTAGAAGAACCACAGCCCCTGGCAGGTACTTTTCTTTCCATGGGTTTGAAGGAGGCTCCACAGACAGAGGCCAGAGGAGGTTGAGGCTTGGAAGCCACAGGGCCCCGTGGAAGGAGTGCATCCCCCCACCCTCCTCGTTCTTTGTCCTCACTATTTAAAGTCCAGGGTCAAGCTGGGCACGAGACAGGTAAACAACCATCTGAGTAAAGGTGAGTCTCCCAAGCCTTCCCAGGGTTGCGTGAGCTCAGAGGCAAGCGGGGAAAACTGAGGCATGGGATTTCCAGGCAGAGGAGAGGCTGCTCCCCTGCTAGGGCCACAGGCCCCTCCTCCCTCCTCTGTGCCCCTGAGGAATCCCCATGACTGGCAGGTCCTCCGGCTACTAGCTCCACCCCTGCCCTCAGCAACCTTCAGGAGGCCCTCTTGACTGAGACTTTGTATTGCACTCTAGTGAAAACCAGCCGGACCAGCAGGGGGTGGCACAGAAAAGAGGCGAGAATGTGAGATTAATAGAGTGCTAGCAAGACAACAGAAAATCCCAGGCAGCAGTTTCACATGACCAGAAGAAGGAAACTTGAAATAGCTGCATGTGCCAAGGGCCAATAAGTCCCTGAAAAATAGGATGAGGACCAAGCTGGCTGCGACCAACCAGAAGCAACATGGCGCTGTATTTGATGTAGGTTTCACCTAGGATCTCACTGTACAATCAGTAACATATGAAACCGTACACCCACCAGTGCCAAGACGGCTCCAGGAACACCTGTATTTGGGTGTAAATTGTGGCACCACGGTCTTGAGAAATCTTTACCTTTTCCTGGAATCTTCATGAATATACCCCTCTTTAGTTGAAGAAGCCCATAAAGGTCAGCCCCACACCTTGTAGGGCATGAGACACTCTCTTGAGGACCCCCACGTTCCTCTTCTTCAGTGAGTCCCTTTACTCTGCAGGAAATCTGCCTACGTTCATGACTTTTGCACTTGTCCTTAAATTGTTTCTGGCTAAGGTGCCAAGAGCCTGGAGAAGGCCTGGCACGGTGGCTCACTCCTGTAATCCCAGCACTTTGGGAGGCCGAGGCAGGCAGACCACCTGAAGTCGGGAGTTTGAGACCAGCCTGACCAACATGGAGAAACCTTGTCTCTACTAAAAATAGAAAATTAGTCAAGCCTGGTGGCACACGCCTGTAATCCCAGCTACTTGGGAGGCTGAGGCAGGAGAATCGCTTGAACCCGGGAGGCGGAGGTTGCGGTGAGCCAAGATCACGCCATTGCACTCCAGCCTGGGCAACAAGAGTGAAACTCGGTCTCAAAAAAACAAAACAAAACAAAAAAAAGCGTGGAAACGGGCTGAGGTCGATGTCCCACCGGTCTTTGATGACCTCCCCTAGGCCACCAGTATCTGGAGGGGATTAGGGACACTGAGCTCCAGCAGGGCTATCCAGTGTGCCTGCAGAAACAAGGTTGGTCACAGGCAGCCCAGGACAGGGAGTGGGGTAGGGAGGCTGGGGCCAAAGCCCACTCACGTCTTCTAATTCCGAGTCTTCCACTATTTCCCCCGTGCTCATCCATCACAGCCAGATCAGGTCACCCAAAGCAGTGACGCCTCACAGCTACCAAGGCATGGGGCCAGAGAGAGAGACAGAGTCAGGCATCACAAGCCCCCTCCAGGCTCAGCCCTGAATACCAAGATCAGGACACGGCTGCCCCGGCCTGGATTGCACAACTGGGCACCCTCTTCCCAAAGCTGGACCAGGCTGGGGCCGGGGGACTGCACTCAGCTAGGGCATTGGCCCTCTAGGGGCAGAAGCTGCCCTGGTTCTTCCGGAAGGAACTCCTCTCACAGGCAGATCACGTGGGCTCTTAGCCAACAGCCAGGGTTGGGGCAACACAAGGGCCCCGCTTCATCCTGTCCCAGGCAGCAGGCAGGTAAGAGACAAGGAGGGAGAGGCAGCTGGCAGCAACCCCTCTATGCAGCAGGCACTGTTCCGGGCATTACACAGCTCCATCCCGTGAGGCAGAGGTGACTGTTATTTGCATCTTACAGATGAGGAAATGGAGGTGGGGGTTTAAAATCCTTGCCCCTGGGACTAAGCTGGTGCAGGTCCTGGGAGCATCAGCAGTGATTGATTGAGTCACAGCCTCACCACTGCAGCCAGACCTGAACTTCCTCACAGCTCAGCAACACCCAGCAGGTCACTGAATGTCCCCAGGGCAAGTCCTCTACTCACTCACTATTAGCGGGTGCTCAGTAGAAGGCACCCGTTTTCCATTATTTTATTAACTATTTCTTGGCTATCGTCTCTGTGCAGGACTTTGTTCTACAGCAGTGACAAGAGCTGCCCTCGGGCAATGTAGTGCAAAGGTTGGGGTGGGAGAGACTAACGAGAGTCATAAAGCACCTAGCCGGTGAGATAGTAAGTATTCAGGTAAAGAAGCAGACGGGGAAGTACACAAGAGGTGCAATTTTATTTTATATTTTTAGAGACAGTTTCTTGCTCTTTTGCCCAGGCTATAGTGCAGTGGAGCGATCAGAGCTCACTGCAGCCTCCAACTCCTGGGACCAAGCGATCCTCCCACCTCAGCCTCCCCCCGTAGCTGGGACTACAGGCATATGCCACCATGCCCGGCTTCTCAGAGCTGCAATTTTAAATCGGGAGATAGAGAAGACCTCCCTGTGGAGGTGGCAGGTTATCAAGATAGGTGTAGAGAAGAACCTTCCAGTCAAAGGGAAAAGGCAGGTCCTGCTGTGCTCAGGAATGGCCAGAAATACTATCATCCCCATCTTAGAGACGGGGACAGGGCCGCAAAAGTGTCAGGGCGTTTCCTGGCTCCTCAACAAACAGCTGGATCCGAAGTGGTCTGGGGGATGAGCCGCCCTGCCTGGGGCGGACCTCCCCTGGAGCTCAAGGGCTCGCAGGGCGCACAGGCCTCTTGGGCCCCGGGTCCGGCTCAGGCTCGGGCTTGGTGCCAGCAAAGGGACCTGCGCGGTGCCCTGGGGCCGGGGAGGCCCGAAGGCCATCGCCCGTGCGGCGCGGCGCATAGAGGTCCCGGCGGAGGTCGGGGTGCAGCGGGAGTAGGAGGCGCGCCTATGGAGGGGGTTCCAGGCCCACTCCAACAGCGGCAGGATACGGAGGAGTTAGGGCGGCTCCAGGCAGGGGGGCGGACCCCAAGCCCTTGCCCGCCTGCCGCCGCCTGGTCTCCTTCCTTACCCGAAGGGTTGCCACGGCGGGCGGGAAGCCGTGCACGACGAGCACTTTCTCCCTGGGGAGGAGAACGGGGGTGTCCCTGTGAGCCCTGCCGCGCCCAACCGCGGGTCCCCTCCAATTCCACCCGAGAGCGGGGTCCTCACTGCCGGCTTCAGCCTAGCCCCAGGCCCTGCCCCTAAATGAAGTCACGCCCCCTGAACCTGCCCACCTCAGGCCGCGCCTCCAGCCCAGGTACCCACCTGTCCCCCCTCCTCTCCCTCCTGCGCTCCATCCGACCCCAGCATGCCCACCAAGACCCCTACGCTGGCCCGCATCCTGGATCATCACCTCCGCCCCAGCCAGCTCCTCCCCGGAGTTCCACCGCCAAGATTCCCAGGGCACTGTCTCCCCGTCATGCTCCTCCTCTGTGACAGTCCCGTCCCCACCCTGGACTCCCCACCCATGTCACAGGCATGCCCCTCCCTCTCATCAGGCTTGTGCCCAGCGGGGTCCGCCTCCTCCAGGAAGCCTTCCTCCTGGCACAGAGACCCTTCCGGTCTCACCAGGAGTGCAATGGCCCGATTTGGCTCACTGCAACCTCTGCCGCTGCCCCCTGCCCCATCTTTCAAGCAATTCTCCCGCCTCAGCCTTTCGAGTAGCTGTAATTACAGGCACGTGCCACCATGCCCGACTAATTTTTGTATTTCTATTACAGACGGGGTTTCACCATGTTGGTCAGGCTGGTCTCGAACTCCTGACCTCAAGTGATCCAACCGCTTTGGCCTCCCAATGTGTTGGGTTTACAGGCTTGAGCCACCGCGCCAGGCCTGGGCCCTGCCTTTTGTGTGGTCCCCATTGTGCTGCTGGACCTGACAAGCAGGGCTGACAGTGAACCCCATATAAACGTGGCCCTGATGACGGGGGTTCAGGCCTTAGAGCAGGTAGATGCTGAAGAAGCGCCCCGGCCTAGCCGCGACTCCCGTGGAACTCTTTGAATTTTAGGAAATTCTCCTTAAACACACTTCTGGTTCAGCACCGACATCAAGAAGAGAGCCTCTCCAGCACCTGCAAACTCACTTTGTCCCTCCCTGGTTCTTCCCGCTGGGCGCCCACTATGCTGCGGTCTCGCCCATCTGTAGCTGAGCCCAGCAGCCCCTGTAGGACACCTGGCCGAACGGGTCACAGTCCTGCTGGGCTCACTCGGGAGATGGAGGCTCCCAGGGGCTCCTCCAACAGCCCCAGGGCTGCTCTCTGGTCACTGCACCTGCCTGGGCTGCCACTCTGCTTCTCATCTGCACAGCAGGAGAAAAACTCCACAGAGCGTGCTGTGGGCGGGGCCGGCTGTGCAGGGAGCACCGGGTCCTCGCCCTGCCCCTGTCCTCCACACTCCCCTACAGGGACTGTGCCCCTGGCTGCATCCTGCATTTTCCTCCTTTTGTCCACAGGTATGAGGTAGATGACATTGATGAAGAAGGCAAAGCGTGAGTGTCCAGGCCAGGGCAGGGCATGGAGCCTGGGGGCAGCCTACCAGCTGGGAAGGAGCATCCCCACCCGGCCACAGGTTGACACAAGCCCCTCTACCACCAGGAGACACACCGTGAGCTTGCGCCGGATCATCCCGCTGACCCGGTGGAAGGCCAACCCCGAGACAGACCCCGAGGCCTTGTTAGTCAAGGAGAAAACCATGTTCTCAGGATGCTGTGACCTTGGTGACAGCACGGCCAACACAGGAAGCCTCGGCATTCACCTGGTCACTGAGCTCATTCAAGCAAAGCGATCTCCAGTAGGGACTTTCCCTTTTGAGAACATGTGCAAAGGGTCAGCAAACTGACACTTTGCTCATTTTAATAGTAAAAACCATACCCCTGGGTGGAGATTTAAGATGCTAATGAGACATGAGTCCTAGGAGCAAGCATGTATAGCAAATGCGCATGTGCACCCAGAGGACCACCCAGAACATGCTTACTAGTGATGCCTCTTCCCACCCATTATGAAGAGTTGTGTGAGACTCCCATAAAGGGAGTTTTTCCTGCAGTAATCAACACCGTCCCAACCTGACAAGCAGTCCCTTCTGAACTCGCTCAAGGTGTATTGTCTATTCTGCAATTAACTTTCAATATACTGTTTTCTTTTGCAATAAGTTATTCTATGCTCCACTTCTTTTGCTGTGTGTCTCTTGTTTAAATCATTTTATTTATTATTATTATTATTATTATTATTATTATTATTATTATTATTATTATCTTAGATGGAGTCTCACTCTGTGGCCCAGGCTGGAGTGCAGTGGCACAATCTCGACTCACTGCAACCTCTGAGTCTTGGGTTCAAGCGATTCTCCTGCCTCAGCCTTCTGTGTAGCTGGGATGATAGGGCTCACCACCACGCCTGGCTAATTTTATATTTTTAGTAGAGACAGGGTTTCGTCATGTTGGCCAGGCTGGTCTTGAACTCTTGACATCAGGTAATCCACCCCTCTCAGCTTCCCAAAGTGCTGGGATTACAGGTGTGAGCCACTGCGCACCGCCTACTTAATTTATTTTAACCCAAGAGGACGAGAACCCAGGTATCACAGAGTGTCCCCAGACAGATTGACACAACCTGCCAGGAGACACACCATGAGCTGGCAGTCATGGCATCAGTGGAAGGCCAACCCCCAGATGGACCCCAAGGCCTTGTTCCAGAAGGAGCAGCTCATGTTGGCCCTGTAACCCCAGACCACCTGCTTCTACCGTGCCCTGATCCATGCGCCCCTACAGCGGGTAAAGCAGCCTCCAGGGGAGAGGTCATTGGTGACACCAGGAACAGGCTGATCAGAGAAGCTAGGGGTCCTCTTCCTGCTCTGTCCCCCTTGTCCTCATCTCCCGAGCTAATGGGACCTGCCAGCAGCCCTCCCTCTTCCACTCCAGCCCCAAAGGCTACCGTCCCCTTGCCAGCCCTGGCAGCCTTGGCAAGCCCCAAGTCAGCGGCTTCCCTTCTGCAGCCCCAGGAGAACCAGCTCTGAGACAGGAAGCTCCTGCCCTGAACCCACGGCTCCTGCCCCCTCATGCTCCTGGTGACATGGGACACAAGCCACCTGAGGCCAGGATCCCTGCCTGCCACCATCTGGGCTGCCCTCGGTCCTCTGAACACAGAGTCCCTGAAAGGCAGCAGACCCTCTAGCTATGGCCCCACTGGGGAAGGAGTCAGCACCTCTTCCTCTCTCCACCTTTTTCACTGCTCTGGGCCTCCAGCCACTGAGAAAAGAGCTCCATAGCAGCAGGGACTGGGCCAAGACTTCTTGACCCCAGAGTGAACAATGGCAGGAGTGGCTGAAAGTCCACGGCCCAGAGCCTCCTGTGGTCTAGGCTGGGGGAAGGGGGTGCCTGTCATGGCCTGGGGATCTCTGAGCAGCCCCTCCTGTCTGCCTGCCCCACAGCCCCAGGATGACTACTTGGTCCTGTTTGAAGACACTCCTATGCTTGAGTGTCTTCAAGCATTCCCCTCCCCTCGGCGTGGCCCAGAGGTAGGTGGTGGCTTGTAAGGAGCCCAAGAAAAAGTGACGCTGCCTGGCGGACTCGCCATCCACCAACGACACAGGGCAGGACAGCAAAGGATGTGCTGGGATTAAACACATTCCCCCTCCACTCGTCTCCTGGGTTTTACTTCTCCAGACCCTCTCCCCTCTCCAAACAGGTCAAGTTGAGGAGCTGGAGCGGAGAGGTGGCCGTATTTGGCCCCAGTGGGCGATCACTCTTTCAGCTCAGGGTTTCTCTTGGCTTGGAATAGAGACTCTGCATTGAACACAAATCATAGTTGTGTTGTTGTTGTTGTTGTTGTTGTTGTTTTAAGACTGAGTCTTGCTCTGTCGCCCAGACTGGAGTGCAGTGGTGTGATCCCGGTTCAATGAAACCTCCACCTCATGGATTCAATCGATTCTCCCACCTCAGCCTCTGGAGTAGCTGGGATTACAGGCGCCCATCATCATGCCCAGCTAATTTTTGTATTTTTAGTAGAGATGGGGTTTTGCCATGCTGGCCAGGCTGGTCTTGAACTCCTGACCTCAAGTGATCTGCCAGGCTGAAGTGCTGAGATTACAGGCATAAGCCACCGAGCCCAGGTCAAATAATAACTTAATTTAATTTAATTATTTATTTATTTTCAAGACAGAGTTTTGCTCTTATGCCCAGGCTGGAGTGAAGTGGCATGATCTTGGCTCACTGCAACATCCGTCCCTGGGTTCGAGCGATTCTCCTGCCTCAGCCTCCAGAGTAGCTGAGGTTACAGGTGTCTGCCACCATGCCCGGCTAATTTTTGTATCTTTTTTTTTTTTTAGTAGAGACGGGGTTTCACCATGTTGGCCAGACTGGTCCTGAATCATAATTTATGTTAAGTAAATTGTATTTTATTTATTTCTCAAGCAAGATTTGCTCTGTCCCTCAGGCTTGAGTGGATTAGCCCAGTCAGCCCACTGCAGCCATAACCTCCCTGGCTCAGGCGATCCTCCTGCCTTCACTTGTCAAGTAGCTGGGACTACAGGTGCCCACCATCACGTACAGATAATTTTCTCAAATTTTTGTAGGGATGATGTCTTGTAATGTTGAACAGGCTGGTCCCAAACTCCTGTCCTCCAGTGATCCTCTAGCCTCAACTTCTCAAATTGCTGGGATTACAGGCATGAGCCACTCTGCCTGGCCCACAATCATATTTTATTCTCTTTTTAAAAATTGGTTTTATTTTATTTTATTTTTTTAACAGAATCTCACTATGTTGCCCAGGTTGGTCTCGAACTCCTGGGCTCAAATGATCCTCCCACCTCAGCCTCCAAATTGCTGGGATTACAGACATGACCTACCGTCCCGGGCCCTCAATTCATATTTTATTCTTGAGCCGCTTGGTCAGGTTTGATTCGCACACTCCCTCTGCAGTGACTCCAGGAGCCCCTCTCACAGCTCAGAGCGGAAGCTGAGGCTGCAGCCTGCCATCTTCTCCGCATAGTCCGCATCGAAGCGCTCATTCTGCGCCACGGTGAAGGTGGTCTTCCAGTCCCCAGCCATGCCTGGGGGAGGAAGGCAGGGAGCAAAGCTGGAGTCTCATCCCAGGGGAGGCCCCAAGTGCCTATGGGGAGGCTGCAGCTGCTGCTCCCACCCGCCCCAAACCCCCGTGCTGGCCAGCACCCACCTTTCCTCATGAAGGGGGAGATGCTGTGGTCCATGAACTCCTGGGGGACGGTGGTGTAGTTGGTCATAGGGTTCTTCTTCATCTCCTTGAACGACGTGTGCTGAACCACGAAGTCCACGGTCTCCTCTGGCAGGGAGCGCCCCACAAACTCCAGGATCTTTTGAATCTCCCTTTTCGGGTTCTGAGCAGCAGAGGGCCCCTCAGTGGAGGCTCGGATTACTGATTCAGGAAAAGTAAAAGGGGTCCCCTTCTCTAACCTCAGAGGCGATCTGGCCACTTCTCCTAGAAACCCTGCAGAGCCAACTCCTCAACCCCCAGGGCCCCAGTCCCGGGGGTAAAAAGAATTGCTGTCTGCCCTGTGATCCCATCATGAGCTGGGCTTGGCTCCTATGGGTGAGGACCGTGATGGTCTTCTTCTGTGACTGTGGCCCTGGGTAGCACACCCTTTGGCAGGGAGTAGCAATAGGACTAAGTTTCTGATCCGTGGCCCCCCATGCAGCTGACTCAGGTGCGAGAGATGAGAGCTGTGTGGGGCCCGCTGCCAGGTGGGGCCTTAGTGGGGAGGCCTGGGCCAAGAAGGCAGGATGGGGAATCTGGTCCTGCTGTGGGGGCTGCCCAGGGAGGGGGCTGGGTGGCCTTGGCGGGTCCCTGTGAGGTGCCTGCCCCCAGGAGTCACATGGAGGGAAGCATCGCACGTGGTCTCACCTCCTTCATGTCTTCATAGAAGAGGTAGAGAACAGGGTGGGTGCGGCTCAGCTCCCACCACTCCTGCACGTGCTGGTACCAGGATCCGTAGGACACTGGAGAAGCAGGCAAGGGGTGCCAACACAGGGTTGCTGTGCGTTGTAGCCACCACCCCTTAGCTCCACACTTTCCTTCCTCCCATCAAACCCACCTTCTCCGACCATGAACTTCTCCAGGAAGCTGTCCCAGGTCCCAGGCTCAGGGTGCACCTTGGCCATGTGGTAGAAGTGGTAGTAGGAAACTGCCACATCCTTTGCGTTGCGGGCAACATAGACCACCTGCAGGGGCAGAAGACTCAACCCCAGCACCATCACCACACAGCCTGTCCCAGGCCAGCTCATCTCTTGGATTGGCAAAGGAGGAACCTGAGGCTTAGAGGCTGACTTGTTTGAGATCTCACGGCACCGGTAGGGCCAAGTCAGGAGCTGAACCCTGCTCAGAAGCCAAAGTCCTGCCTGGTCCCTGAGACCATCATATTCTATAGTAATATAATCTGCATCAATGCGTCACACCCCAATCTGGAGCAAGGCATGCTCCACCAGCCGTGATCCCACCGCCACCAAATTTTGTGGGCCTGTGAGGACCCACCCTCTAGCTTTCTTAGGTCTACACTGAAGAGTCTTACGTTCTTGGTCATCAGAGCAAGAGGCAGACAGTCCCCGCCGCAGAAGATGAGACAAGGCTGGAGGAAGTGAGGCGACTTTCCCAGAAGAACAGGACCAAAGCTGGGCTGAGCCAGGGCCTCCTTCCCTGGATTCACATGCCCCACACCTGGACCTTTGCTTTTTCTTTTTATTGTGGGATTTATTTTATTTTATTTTATTTTATTTATTTATTTTTGAGACAGAGAGTCTCAAAAAAAAAAAAAAAAAAAAAAGGACCGTGGTCTTTCTTTTTTTCTGTCGCCCAAGTTGGAGTGCACTGGAGTGATAATAACTCACTGCAACCTTGACCTTCCAGGCTCAAGCAATCCTCCAACCTCAGACTTTCCAGTAGCTGGAACTACAGCGCTATGCCACCATGCCCTGCTGATATTTTGCATTTTTATAGAGATGGAGACTCCCCATGTTTCCCGGGCTGGTCTGTAACTCCTGAGCTCAAGTGATCCACCCAATTTGGCCTCCCAAAGTGCTGGCATTACAGCAGTGAGCCACCACAGGTGCCACAGTTTTATTTTTATTTATATATTTATTTATTTATTTATTTTTGTGAGTTTTGCTCTTGTTGCTCAGGCTGGAATGCAATGGTGGGATCTCTGGCTCACCACAACCTCCTTCTCCCGGGTTCAAGTGATTCTCCTGTCTCAGGCTTCGGAGTAGCTGGGATTACAGGCACCCGCCACCACACCCGGCTAATTTTGTATTTTTAGTAGAGACAAGGTTCTTCTATGTTGCTCAGGGTGCTCTCAAACTCCCAACCTCAGGTGATCTGCCTGCCTCAGCCTCCCAAAGTGCTGGGATTATGGATGTGAAACACTGTGCCCTGCCTCACCTTGACCTTCTGATCCAACAGAGTCTGGGGGAGCAGAGCCAGGGGCAGGTGTGTCTTCAGGAGTCGTGGGGCCGGTGTGTCTTTCAGAGTCTCCATCCCTGAGCAGTGGGTCAGGGAAGGTCTGGTGAGCTGAAGCCCCAGCCCTGTCTTCCTCCACTCCCCTTGCACCCAGGACACACTCACACACCTGAGGGAATCCCTGGGGCTTTGAACTCAAGGAAGGGCACCCGCATGAAGATGGGAGCTCGGTGACACTTCTCCAGGTCACCACCCTGGTAGATCATGTCCAGAATCTGGCTTACCCAGGTAGTGCCTGGAGAGGGAGGGAGATGGGAGGTGAGCAGGCTGAGGGCACGACCTCGCTGGCCAAGGTGGGGACTGCCACCTGGGAGAGGGTGGGTGGCCCTCCTCACTTACCGGACTTGGGGTAGGTGCTGATGAGCAGGTCATCAGGCCGGGCCTGGAAGCTCTGCAGGGGCCCCAGTGCCTCTGCAAAGTACTTGATGAGCGGGACCCCCTTCACGTACTCCAGTGGCGGGCGGGAGGTGTCCTGGATCAGCTCCATGTTCCTGCGTCAGGGGCCAGAGCCAGGCCCGTTCCCTTACCACCATCACAACAGCAAGAAAGTGGAATTCTTGCTTTCAGGGAAGTCACTGAGGCCTAGGGAGGCTGAGTGACTTGCCCGCACTCACAAAGCCACTCAGTGGCGGGGCTGGGGCTGAAAACCAGGTCGGGCTCTAATGCGGTGGTTCCCCAGCCTGGCCTCACCTTTCATTCACCTGCGGAGCTGTTCAAAATCCCAGGGCCTGGGCCATGGTGCAGACCAGTGAAAGCACCCTCGTCGGGCAAGGCCCAGATGTCAGGGTGTGTGAAGGTCTCCAGGAGAGTCCAGCTGCACTGAGGAAGCTCTAGGACCTTCCTGTGCTGTCTCCCTGCCAGCCAGCGCCCTTTGTCTCACCACTTCCTGCTGGGACCCCCAGCCTCCACCCAGTGGAGATGCTCCCCTCCTTGAGCCCCTCAGCCCCTCACATGTGGAAACCGCCCAGGCCAGCCAGGCCTGTGATCCACTTGCCTGGCCACAGTCCATCTGGGCTCCAGGACAAACACGGCCCATTGAGGAACTGAGCTGCTACTAGGGGCCAGAGCTGCTGTGGGAATGAACAAAACTCTGATGACTCAGCAAAAGCACAGGCCTAGGCAGGGTGGCTCCCACCTATAATCCCAGACCCTAGGGAGGCTGAGGCCAGGAGTTGGAGACCAACCTGGTGCAGCATTGCAAGACCCCATCTCTAAAAATCTTTAAAAAAATTCTTAAACATTAACCAGGCAGGATGATGAGGGCCTGTAGTCCTAGCTACTCCAGAGGCTGAGGCAAGAGAATCACTTGAGCCCAGGAATTCAAGGCTGCAGTGGCCAGGATCCCACAGCACTCCAGCCTGGGTGACAGCAAGACCTGGCCTCCCCGGGGAAAAAAACAAACAAACAAGGGAAGGGAGGGGGATTCACGCAGGCCAGGGTTGTCTGAAATGGGATATCCATGGGGAAAGGGCAGGGATGCCAGAGGCCTCAGCTTCTGGAATGTTAGAGCCACAAGCTGAGCAGGGTGAGGGCGCCCTGGGCCGTTCCACTGTGTCACTCACCTGAGCTCTTGGGAACCTGGCCTCGTGCCCTCCTCGCCCGCAGTGGCTGATTGTGGGTGTTGTGTGGGGAATGCAGGGTTGTTCTCTGAGCTGAGGGTTTCCTAGGTCCACTGTGGGAGGGATCTGGAGCCGGGGCTGGACTTAGATTTGCTTCCGGAAGGAAGGGGTGGGGTTGGGGGTGGGGGAGCTTCTCCATTACCCTCCTTAGTGTGCCAGCTGGAGACAAGCTTAAAGTGATCTCCAAAGCCACGACTGAGTTTGCTGTGTAGAAAACAGAAGAATGAAAGGGGAAAGGCCCAATGGTGGGTTTGTTTTTGTAGGTTTTTTTTTTCTGTTTTTTTTTTTTTTTTTTTTTTTTTTCCGAGCTGTCACTGGGCTCCTGACCTGCCCCTGAACTCCACCCTGCCAGGCAGCCAACAGACAAGCTCTCTCTAATTGACCCAGGCAAGAGAGGGGAGGGATTGGAGGAGAAAGCTGGGATAGGCAGGCCCTGGAAAGGTCACCTACCTGCTGGCTCCAGGCCAGTCTTGAAGGTGCCAGGGGTTCTGGCCCAGTGCAGCCCACAGGCCCCCAGCAGCCCATGCACTCCAGGCTCTGACCACAAGGCCAGTCTAGAGGGATGTGTGTGGGCAGAGTGAAGGGGCAGGGGTGGAGCAGAGCATGGATGCATAGAACAAGAAAGAACAAGGACACTGCAGTCCCATTGCCCTGGGAGTCAGCCCCAGCTTCATGGCTCCTGGGGACCTCAGAGAACATTGATAGAAGATCCTAGAAGAACCACAACCCGTGGCAGGTGGTTTTATTTCCCTGGGTTTGAAGGAGGCTCCACAGACAAGAGACCAGAGGAGGCCGAGGTTTGGAAGCCACAGGGCCCCGTGGAAGGGGGGCATCCCCCCATCCTCCTCGTTCTTTATCCTCACTTTAAAGTCCAAGGTCAAGCTGTGCACGAGACAGGTAAACAACCATCTGAGTAAAGGTGAATCTCCCAAGACTTCCAAGAAATGCGTGAGTTCAGAGGCAAGCGGACAGGTGGGAGTGTGGGGGAAGCTGAGGCATGGGAATTCCAGGCAGAGGAGAGGCTTCTCATATGCTAGGGCCATGGACCCCTCCTCCCTCCTCTGTGCCCATGAGGAATCCCCGTGACTGGCAGGTCCTCAGGCTACTAGCTCCACCCCTGCCCTCAGCAACCCTCAGGAGGTTCCCTTGACTAAGACTTTGTATTGCACTCTAGTAACAACCTGTCGGACCCACACGGGGTGACACAGAAAAGAGGCGAGAATGTGAGATTAATAGAGTGGTAGCAAGTGAATACAAAATCCCAGGCAGCAGTTTCACATGAGGAGAAGAAGGAAACTTGAAATAGCTGCATGCGCTAAGGGCCAATAAGTCCCTGAAAAATAGGATGAGGACCAAGCTGGCTACGACCAACCAGACACAACATGGCGCTGTATTTGATGTAGGTTTCACCTAGGATCTCATTGTATGATCAGTAACATATGAAACCGTACACCCACCAGTGCCAAGACGGCTCCAGGAACACCTGTATTTGGGTGTAAATTGTGGCACCACGGTCTTGAGAAATCTTTACCTTTTCCTGGACTCTTCATGAATATACCCCTCTTTAGTTGAAGAAGCCCATAAAGGTCAGCCCCACACCTTGTAGGGCATGAGACACTCTCTTGAGGACCCCCACGTTCCTCTTCTTCAGTGAGTCCCTTTACTCTGCAGGAAATCTGCCTACATTCATGACTTTTGCACTTGTCCTTAAATTGTTTCTGGCTAAGGTGCCAAGAGCCTGGAGAAGGCCTGGCACGGTGGCTCACTCCTGTAATCCCAGCACTTTGGGAGGCCGAGGCAGGCAGACCACCTGAAGTCGGGAGTTTGAGACCAGCCTGACCAACATGGAGAAACCTTGTCTCTACTAAAAATAGAAAATTAGTCAAGCCTGGTGGCACACGCCTGTAATCCCAGCTACTTGGGAGGCTGAGGCAGGAGAATCGCTTGAACCCGGGAGGCGGAGGTTGCGGTGAGCCAAGATCACGCCATTGCACTCCAGCCTGGGCAACAAGAGTGAAACTCGGTCTCAAAAAAACAAAACAAAACAAAAAAAAGCGTGGAAACGGGCTGAGGTCGATGTCCCACCGGTCTTTGATGACCTCCCCTAGGCCACCAGTATCTGGAGGGGATTAGGGACACTGAGCTCCAGCAGGGCTATCCAGTGTGCCTGCAGAAACAAGGTTGGTCACAGGCAGCCCAGGACAGGGAGTGGGGTAGGGAGGCTGGGGCCAAAGCCCACTCACGTCTTCTAATTCCGAGTCTTCCACTATTTCCCCCGTGCTCATCCATCACAGCCAGATCAGGTCACCCAAAGCAGTGACGCCTCACAGCTACCAAGGCATGGGGCCAGAGAGAGAGACAGAGTCAGGCATCACAAGCCCCCTCCAGGCTCAGCCCTGAATACCAAGATCAGGACACGGCTGCCCCGGCCTGGATTGCACAACTGGGCACCCTCTTCCCAAAGCTGGACCAGGCTGGGGCCGGGGGACTGCACTCAGCTAGGGCATTGGCCCTCTAGGGGCAGAAGCTGCCCTGGTTCTTCCGGAAGGAACTCCTCTCACAGGCAGATCACGTGGGCTCTTAGCCAACAGCCAGGGTTGGGGCAACACAAGGGCCCCGCTTCATCCTGTCCCAGGCAGCAGGCAGGTAAGAGACAAGGAGGGAGAGGCAGCTGGCAGCAACCCCTCTATGCAGCAGGCACTGTTCCGGGCATTACACAGCTCCATCCCGTGAGGCAGAGGTGACTGTTATTTGCATCTTACAGATGAGGAAATGGAGGTGGGGGTTTAAAATCCTTGCCCCTGGGACTAAGCTGGTGCAGGTCCTGGGAGCATCAGCAGTGATTGATTGAGTCACAGCCTCACCACTGCAGCCAGACCTGAACTTCCTCACAGCTCAGCAACACCCAGCAGGTCACTGAATGTCCCCAGGGCAAGTCCTCTACTCACTCACTATTAGCGGGTGCTCAGTAGAAGGCACCCGTTTTCCATTATTTTATTAACTATTTCTTGGCTATCGTCTCTGTGCAGGACTTTGTTCTACAGCAGTGACAAGAGCTGCCCTCGGGCAATGTAGTGCAAAGGTTGGGGTGGGAGAGACTAACGAGAGTCATAAAGCACCTAGCCGGTGAGATAGTAAGTATTCAGGTAAAGAAGCAGACGGGGAAGTACACAAGAGGTGCAATTTTATTTTATATTTTTAGAGACAGTTTCTTGCTCTTTTGCCCAGGCTATAGTGCAGTGGAGCGATCAGAGCTCACTGCAGCCTCCAACTCCTGGGACCAAGCGATCCTCCCACCTCAGCCTCCCCCCGTAGCTGGGACTACAGGCATATGCCACCATGCCCGGCTTCTCAGAGCTGCAATTTTAAATCGGGAGATAGAGAAGACCTCCCTGTGGAGGTGGCAGGTTATCAAGATAGGTGTAGAGAAGAACCTTCCAGTCAAAGGGAAAAGGCAGGTCCTGCTGTGCTCAGGAATGGCCAGAAATACTATCATCCCCATCTTAGAGACGGGGACAGGGCCGCAAAAGTGTCAGGGCGTTTCCTGGCTCCTCAACAAACAGCTGGATCCGAAGTGGTCTGGGGGATGAGCCGCCCTGCCTGGGGCGGACCTCCCCTGGAGCTCAAGGGCTCGCAGGGCGCACAGGCCTCTTGGGCCCCGGGTCCGGCTCAGGCTCGGGCTTGGTGCCAGCAAAGGGACCTGCGCGGTGCCCTGGGGCCGGGGAGGCCCGAAGGCCATCGCCCGTGCGGCGCGGCGCATAGAGGTCCCGGCGGAGGTCGGGGTGCAGCGGGAGTAGGAGGCGCGCCTATGGAGGGGGTTCCAGGCCCACTCCAACAGCGGCAGGATACGGAGGAGTTAGGGCGGCTCCAGGCAGGGGGGCGGACCCCAAGCCCTTGCCCGCCTGCCGCCGCCTGGTCTCCTTCCTTACCCGAAGGGTTGCCACGGCGGGCGGGAAGCCGTGCACGACGAGCACTTTCTCCCTGGGGAGGAGAACGGGGGTGTCCCTGTGAGCCCTGCCGCGCCCAACCGCGGGTCCCCTCCAATTCCACCCGAGAGCGGGGTCCTCACTGCCGGCTTCAGCCTAGCCCCAGGCCCTGCCCCTAAATGAAGTCACGCCCCCTGCACCTGCCCACCTCAGGCCGCGCCTCCAGCCCAGGTACCCACCTGTCCCCCCTCTTCTCTCTCCTGCGCTCCATCCGACCCCAGCATGCCCACCAAGACCCCTACGCTGGCCCGCATCCTGGATCATCACCTCCGCCCCAGCCAGCTCCTCCCCGGAGTTCCACCGCCAAGATTCCCAGGGCACTGTCTCCCCGTCATGCTCCTCCTCTGTGACAGTCCCGTCCCCACCCTGGACTCCCCACCCATGTCACAGGCATGCCCTTCCCTCTCATCAGGCTTGTGCCCAGCGGGGTCCGCCTCCTCCAGGAAGCCTTCCTCCTGGCACAGAGACCCTTCCGGTCTCACCAGGAGTGCAATGGCCCGATTTGGCTCACTGCAACCTCTGCCGCTGCCCCCTGCCCCATCTTTCAAGCAATTCTCCCGCCTCAGCCTTTTGAGTAGCTGTAATTACAGGCACGTGCCACCATGCCCGACTAATTTTTGTATTTCTATTACAGACGGGGTTTCACCATGTTGGTCAGGCTGGTCTCGAACTCCTGACCTCAAGTGATCCAACCGCTTTGGCCTCCCAATGTGTTGGGTTTACAGGCTTGAGCCACCGCGCCAGGCCTGGGCCCTGCCTTTTGTGTGGCCCCCATTGTGCTGCTGGACCTGACAAGCAGGGCTGACAGTGAACCCCATATAAACGTGGCCCTGATGACGGGGGTTCAGGCCGTAGAGCAGGTAGATGCTGAAGAAGCGCCCCGGCCTAGCCGCGACTCCCGTGGAACTCTTTGAATTTTAGGAAATTCTCCTTAAACACACTTCTGGTTCAGCACCGACATCAAGAAGAGAGCCTCTCCACCACCTGCAAACTCACTTTGTCCCTCCCTGGTTCTTCCCGCTGGGCGCCCACTATGCTGCGGTCTCGCCCATCTGTAGCTGAGCCCAGCAGCCCCTGTAGGACACCTGGCCGAACGGGTCACAGTCCTGCTGGGCTCACTCGGGAGATGGAGGCTCCCAGGGGCTCCTCCAACAGCCCCAGGGCTGCTCTCTGGTCACTGCACCTGCCTGGGCTGCCACTCTGCTTCTCATCTGCACAGCAGGAGAAAAACTCCACAGAGCGTGCTGTGGGCGGGGCCGGCTGTGCAGGGAGCACCGGGTCCTTGCCCTGCCCCTGTCCTCCACACTCCCCTACAGGGACTGTGCCCCTGGCTGCATCCTGCATTTTCCTCCTTTTGTCCACAGGTATGAGGTAGATGACATTGATGAAGAAGGCAAAGCGTGAGTGTCCAGGCCAGGGCAGGGCATGGAGCCTGGGGGCAGCCTACCAGCTGGGAAGGAGCATCCCCACCCGGCCACAGGTTGACACAAGCCCCTCTACCACCAGGAGACACACCGTGAGCTTGCGCCGGATCATCCCGCTGACCCGGTGGAAGGCCAACCCCGAGACAGACCCCGAGGCCTTGTTAGTCAAGGAGAAAACCATGTTCTCAGGATGCTGTGACCTTGGTGACAGCACGGCCAACACAGGAAGCCTGGGCAACACAGGCAGTTGGGCCCGGGTGACCACTACCACCAATATGCAGAGACTGGTAGTGGCCCCGAACGTCGGGCTGCGCTGTTATTTATTGGATACAAGGCTGAAGGGTCAGGGTAAAGAATGTGAGTCACCTCCAATGATAGGTAAGGTCACGTGGGTCACGTGTCCACTGGACAGGGGGCCCTTCCCTGCCTGGCAGCCGAGGCAGAGAGGGAGAGGAGACAAAGAGAAAGACAGCTTATGCCATTATTTCTGCATATCAGGGACTATTAGTATTTTCACTAATTTACCACTGCTATCTAGAAGGCAGAGTCAGGTGTACAGGATGAAACATGAAGGTGGACTAGGAGTGTGACCACTGAAGCACAGCATCACAGGGAGACGCTGGACCACGATCCGCCTGGTAACGGGCATCTTCCCAGATGCTGGTGTCACCGCTAGACCAAGGAGCCCTCTGGTGGCCCTGTCCAGGCATAACAGAAGGCTCGCACTCCTGTCTTCCGGTCACACCTCACTATGTCCCTTCAGCTCCTATCTGTGTATGGCCTGGTTTTTCCTAGGCTATGATTATTGAGCGAGGGTTATTATAATATTGGAAGAAAAAGTAATTGCTACAAACTAATGATTAATGATATTCATATATAATCATATCTAAGATCTATATCTGGTATAACTATTCTTGTTTTATATTTTATTATACTGGAACAGATCGTGTCCTCTGTCTCTTGCCTCGGTGCCTGGGTGGCTTGCCGCCCACAATTCTCCTGACTCAGCCTCTTGAGTAGCTGGGATTACAGGCGTGCGCCACCATGCCTGGCTAATTTTTTGTATTTTTAGTAGAGACTGGGTTTCACCATTTTGGTCTGGCTGGTCTCGAACTCCTGACCTCAAGTGATCTGCTCACCTCGGCCTCTCAAAGTGGTGAGATTACAGGTGTGAGCCACCATGCCAGGCCAGTTTTATTTTTTTAAATACAGACAGGGTCTTGCTATGTTGCCCAAGCTGGTCTCGAACTCCTAACCTCAAGGGATCCTCTCGCCTCACCCTCCCAAAGTGTTAGGATTACAGGCATGAGCCACCACACCCGACGTACTTCATTATTTCTTATGTGAACTTGGCTACAATAACCCCCCACTCTGGTTTCCTCTGCTGCAATTACCTAACCGTGAAGTGCAAGATCCTCAGCTCCGGGTGTTCAACAGTCTCCAGGATCCAAACTCATTCCAAGTTGCTCAACAAATACTCTGTGAACACCAAACTGCCTGTGGTTTCTCCCCTCTGGGCATACCGTGGTGCTTTACACATTGTCAACTCTACTCAGCTCTTCTGCCCCTGGAATGACCTGTCCCCCAGTATGTGCCTAACTCCAGATCTTTTTTTTTATTTTTTATTTTTTATTTTGAGACAGGGTCTCGCTGTGTTACCCAGGCTGGAGTGCAGTGGTACAATCATAGCTTACTGCAGTCTTGACCTCCTGGGCTCAGGAGATCCTCCCACCTCAGCCTCCTGAGTAGCTGGGACTACAGGTGTGAGCCACCATGACCAGCTCATTTTTGTATTTGTGGAGATGAGGTTTCATCGTCATATTGCCCAGGCTGGTCTCAAATTCCTGAGCTCAAGCAATCTACCCACCTTGGCCTCCCAAAGTGCTAGCATTACAGGCATGAGCCACTGGTGCCTGGCCCCAGCAAGACTTCCTTGATCCCCACTCCCACACCTCCTCGCTGTGCTGAGTACCCATGGGCTCTGAGAGCATTTCTCATCGAACTCTAGTTAATGACTTGTCTATTTATCTATCTATCCCACTAGACTCTAAGTCCCTTTAGGACAGAATCTCTGTTTTATATGGTTTTTTGGGTATCTTCCACTAACACCTAGGACAGCACCTGGAAGACAGTTTCTTTTCTTTTCTTTTTTTTTTTCTTTTTGTGACGGAGTCTCCCTCTGTTGCCAGGCTGGAGTGCAGTGGCACGATCTCAGCTCACTGCAACCTCCGCCTCCCGGGTTCCAGCAATTGTCCTGCCTCAGTCTCCTGAGTAGCTGGGATTACAGGCACCCGCCACCATGCCTGGCTAATTTTTGTATTTTTAGTAGTGACGGGGTTTCACCAAGTTGGCCAGGATGGTCTCAATCTCTTGACCTAGTGATCCGCCTGCCAAAGTGCTGGGATTACAGGTGTGAGTTGTCGTGCCCGGCCGACAATTTCTTATCACAAGAAATCTTCCCAAAAAATCTCCAAATGGGCTGGGCTTTAGACTGCTGGTATACCCTCTTTCTTTTCCTGAGGGTAGATGAGACTCACTCATTGTAACCACTGTTTTTTAAAACAGTATGCAAATATTCCTGCGGTTTTGTTCATTTACAAATCCCTGCCTGAAGCTTCTTTCTTTCCCAATTCTACTTCCTGCTCTTTTTTTTTTTTTTTGAACCAGGGCCTCACTCTGTCACTCAGGCTGGTGTGCAGCGGTGCAATCACAGCTTATTGCAGCCTTGACCTCCCAGGCTTGCAATCCTCCCATCTCAGCTTCCTGAGCAGCTGGGACAACAGACGCTTGCCACTATGCCCAGCTAATTTATTTTATTTTTGTAGAGATGGGGTCTCACTGTGTTGCGCAGGCTGGTCTGAAACTGCTGAGCTCTACCGATCCTCTTGCCTCAGCCTCCCAAAATGCTGGGATTACAAGTGTGAGCCGGCTACTTCCCGCTCTTTTTTTTTTTTTTTTTTTTTTTTGAGACAGAGTCTCGCTCTGTCGCCCAGGCTGGAGTGCAGTGGCGTGATATCGGCTTAGTGCAACCTCCGCCTTCCGGGTTCAAGTGATTCTCCTGCCTCAGCCTCCCAAGTAGCTGGAACTACAGGCTCGTACCACCATGCCCTGCTAATTTTTTTATTTTTAGTGGAGACAGGGTTTCACCATGTTAGCCAGGATGGTCTCGATCTCCCGACCTTGTGATCCACCCGCCTCCACCTCCCAAAGTGTTGGGATTACAGGCGTGAGCCACCGTGCCCGGCCTAAATTTTGCACTGGACTGGACTATATATATTTGTGCCGAGCAAACAGTAAAACCGCTGATTTGTTTTGAACCTTGGAGTAACCCTTGGAAACCTTCTCCTTCACTATCAATACCTTTGTGATGTTAAAGTTCTTTTCACCAGGACTCCGCAGAATGCTCACCTGAAAACATTGGCTCTGAATGTGGGAATGATTCCATTAAGCCACTCACAGTCTACCATCCTTATTTTGCAAATAGAATCCCAAATTTACAAAATAAATTGTCCCTTTGGCTGCAAAATTTACAAAATAAATTCTGATCATTAATAAGAGTTAATATAATAAAGTCAGAAATCATTGAGAACATGGACTAAAATTCAGAGATATTATTTCATTTCTTTTTTTCTTTTTGAGATGGAGTCTTGCTCTGTTGCCCAGGCTGGAGTGCAGTGGTGAGATCTTGGCTCACTGCAACCTGTCTTCAGATTCAAGTGATTCTCCTGCCTCAGCCTACTGAGTAGCTGGGATTACAGACATACACCACCGTGCCCAGCTAATTTTTGTATTTTTAGTAGAGACAGGGTTTCACCATATTGGCCAGGCTGGTTTCAAACTCCTGACATCAAGTGATCTGCCTGCCTCAGCCTCCCAGGTGTTGGGATTAGAGGCGTGAGCCACCGTGCCCGGCCCAGAGAAAGTATTTCTTTCCAATTCATGAGAAGTATAGACACTCTTAAAGCCTCTCCTCATACATCTATCAAAATAACTTTAAGATTTCTCTGTCAAAATATTGGACCCTTCTGCCAACCAAACTGGAGCTCTAATTTAGGAATAGTTTAATAAAAATGTACTTAATGTTGAGGTGGGAGAATAACTGGAGCACAGGAGTTTGAGGCCAGCCTGTGCTACATAGTGAGACTCTGTCTCTATCAAAAAATTTAAAAATAATTAGCTGGGTGTGGTGGCACATGCCTGTAGTCTCAGCTACTCAGAAGGATGAGGTGGGAGGATCGCTTGAGCTCAGGAGGTCCAGGCTGCAGTGAGCCATGACCATGCCACTGCATTCCAGCCTGGGTGACAGAATGAGACCCTGTCTCAAAAAAAATTTTATTAAAAAATATATATATACATATATATATATAGACACACACACACACACAAAGAATCCTGATATGATTATACAAATGTATCAAATCATCACATGTATTCTGAAAATACATACATATATGTGTCAATTAAAACATTTTAAATCTTTATAAATATGTACACAGAAAGTATATATTTTTGTGGATCTATGTACATATATATACATATACACATATATACACAAAAAGTTACTGATTGTATATGTATATATATTGTATTGTATATTGTGTGTGTGTGTGTGTGTATATACACACACAAAAAGATACTGATAACATTTTCAAACGCCTGTCTTACCATATAGGTGTTCCAGAATTTCTGTTTCAGGTCCAAAAATATGTCATCCTTTCCCTGGAGAATGCTCATACCTATTTGCAAAAACACCAAAAGAATTTTAAAAGATTCAGTAGAGTACTGTATAACAGTTCATGTTTAAGTTTACCATTCCAAAATGCAAAGTAACCATCACTATCATCCATCAATATGACCCTCTGATCCTACAGTGAAAAGAGAACATAGACAGGTGCCGTGGCTCAAGCCTGTAATCCCAGCACTTTGGGAGGCCGAGGCAGGCAGATTGCTTGAGTCCAGGAGTTAAGAGACCAGCCTGGGCAACAGGGCAAAACCTCATCTCTATAAAAAATACAAAAATTAGCCAGGTGTGGTGGTGTGTCTGTAGTCATAGTTACTCAGGAGGCTGAGGTGGGAGGATTGCTTGAGCCTGGGAGGTGGAGGCTACAGTGAGCTGTGATCATGCCACTGCACTCCAGTCTGGACAACATAGCAAGACCCTGTCTCAAAAAAAAAAAAAAAAAAAAGAACATAGTCTCCACTCTAAAACTAGAAAATTTTAAAGGAATGATAAATATGATGTGAGAATAGCAGAATATAAAAGTTATAGCAGAACAATTATTTTTTCAAAAACTATAACAATTCACAAAAACAATCCAGTTACAATAGTGGGTCTATTGGTTACTTTTCTCTACCTTCCAAACATTTTGTGAAAAGTTGAACATTTGGACATTTTGAAATTTTAATTTCTATCTTTTAAAAAAAGCTAGTGGGCTGGGCACGGTGGCTCATGCCTGTAATCCCAGCACTTTGGGAAGTTGAGGCGAGCGGATCACCTGAGGTCAGGAGTTCGAGACCAGCCTGACCAACACGGAGAAACCCCGTCTCTACTAAAAATACAAAATTAGCTGGGTGTGGTGGCGCATGCCTGTAATCCCAGCTTCTCGAGAAGCTGAGGCAGAAGGATCACTTGAACCCAGAAAGTGGAGGTTGCAGTGAGCTGAGATCGGGCCAATGCACATTCCAGCCAGGATGATAAAGCGAGACTCTGTCTCCCAAAAAAAAAAAGAAAAGAAAAAGAGAACAATTTCACTAATTTCACTAGTTGTTTCCTCATTTGTAACATGAGAGTAATAAGAACAATCTCAGGTGCGAGGGCTCACGTCTGTGATCCCAGCACTTTGGGAGGCCATGATGGGCAGATTACTTGAGTTCAGGAGTTCGAGACGACCCTGGCAAACATGGTGAAACTTTGTCTCCATTAAAAATGCAAAAATTAGCCGGGCATGGTGGTGTGCATCTGTAATGCCAGCTACTTGGTAGGCTGAGGCAGGAGGATCGCTTGAACCTGAAGATGGAGGTTTCAATGAGCTGAGATCAGGCCACTGCACACTCCAGGCTGGGCAATAAAACAAGACTCTGTCTCAAAAAAAAAAAAAAAAAAAAAAAAAAGAAGAAGAAGAAGAAGAAGAAAAGAAAAAGAGAACAATCTCACTAGTTTTTTGAGGATTAAATAGCATTCTGGTCCCCTACCCCTTCACCGCTGTACAAGACTTCTTTAACAGTTGCTAGGAAGCTGTTTGCAAATCTAGTCTGCAAATCACACGCCGGGACCAGGCACAGACCTTCTGATAAAACAGGAGGCCCTAGCTCCCCGGCTGTCTGTTCTCCTGACCCACTGACCCCGTCAGGCTTAAGACCCATAGAGATTTTCTCCCCAGTTACCCACCCCATCCCCTTCAAGGCTATAGAAATTGCAATGATGATAGAGGCCACAGGGACCCTCCTGTGAGCAGATGGAGGATCTCCAAAGATTACAAGAATTTAACCAACTTGAGTGATCAGCCTGTTTTACAGCCTCCTGACCTCAACCTGTTCTTCCCCAGCCCTGGGTGGAATGAGGTCACCCTGTTTGTTTAAATCAGCTCCTAAATGACCCCAGGTTACTTACAGATGAACCCAAGTTAACTCTCCTCATTACCATGCTAAAGTCTTCACCCCGGGAGAAGCTATAGCTTCATGACTATAACCTATGCAACCTATGCGCTAGCATCATGACTCACTGGGACCCCTACTCTACATGCAATCATGCACCCTCTCCTTTCTCCATCACCCCATAAAACCCTCCTGTCTCTTTCTCTGGGGGACACACTACTTGGGAGAATATGCCCAGTGTCTTCCTTTCTTGTGCCAAGTAAAACTCCCATTGATCAAAACCCGCCTCTTGGTGGAGTCATTTGTGACTCGTTAAGGGAATGAACCCCGGTATTTTTCAGGTAACATTTCCATTGTTCTTATTGTACGCAGTAGAGAAGGTTTCCACAGTCAAGCCCCTGTCCCCCACACCCCAGGCCCGGGTCGGATTTTCTAAGGAGAGGGTTCCCTGAACCCTCACAGGTATATAGTCCTCTATGGCAAGGATCCAAGGTCCCTTGATGTTTTCCGTGAGACCCCAGGGGAAAATCTTGTTACCAAAGCAGGACTAGGCCCCTGGGCATGAATTTGCTGAAGATCCAGGCCCAACCTCAGATTCCACCTGCTCTGCCCCCCAGGGTCACGGGTCCCCTTGCATTTTGTTCCTGTGTTGGCCCCGGGGCCCCAGGCGTGGATTTTCTGAACAGCAGGTCGGTTCCTTCCCTGTCCCACGATTGGTTCACGGTCATTGCAGCTGCTATGGCCTTGAACTGGGATCTCCTTTATTTTCCCGTGGGCCTTTTTCAGGGGGCAAAGACCTCCGCAGCCCTGCCTACCTCCAGCCTTGGCCTACACCCAACCCCAGAGTCTGAGCCCCGACCCTAGTCCTCTAAATTCCTGACCTGCTGTACCTCTGGCTCCCCAATTTCTCGGCTCCCCAGCCAGTGCCTCCTGCAACTTCTCGCAATCAAACACCCCAGCCTCCAGCCTTTGCCCTGGCCCTTCAGGCCTCTGAAGCAGCTCCGGTCTCAGAGCCCCGGCTCCTGCCCGGGTCCCCAGGCTCCTGCAGCGCCCTCCCTCCAGCCGCTTGATCCCCAAGTCCCTGCCTCCAGTCCCCCAATACTGGTCCCACCCCCCAGGTTCCCCCCCCGGCCCCTCACCGGCGTAGAAGGCCGAGACCGCGATGGGCGCACCGACCACCTGGTCGCACAGCAACTTGGCCAGCATGGCGCGCGGCGCTCGGCCCGGGAGCGCGCGCTCCAGCAGGCCCAGCCACACGTAGTTGAAGTTGGCGTGGAAGGTCACCACCAACGTGGCCACGCGCCGCGTCTGGCGCCAGTCGGCCTAGCGGCCCTGCAGCCGTTGCTGCAGCACGTCCCCGGCGGAGACGAGCGAGCTACGGCACGCTCGTAGAGCGTAGAGCTACGTTGCTCGAGCAACGTAGAGCAGCACGTTGGTGGGCCACGGGTGGCGCCGGGCCGTGCGCGACAACGCCGGCCACCAGCCCGCCATGTCCGCGCTGTGGGCGCCCGCGATCAGGAGCCCGCGTGGTCGGAGGCTTCCTGCACCGCCTCCGGGCCTCGCCAGCCTCCAGCAGCTACTGCGCTGCAGCAGCCGGCACCTGCACCTGCCTCCTCCAGGAGCTCCTGAGCGGTTGGGCGCCCCGCGCACACCCAGCTCGTGCCGTCCAATCCGGAGGCCACGGGCCGTCGTGGGGGCTGAACGTTTGAAAGGTGCCCGGCCCACCCCCATGCATGGGTCCGTTGACACAAAATACCCAGAATAGGCAAAGCCACAGAGGCAGAAGGCATGGGGTTATTTATTTATTTATTTATTTTATTTTTATTAATTAATTAGATATTTTTGAGACGGAGTCTCGCTCTGTCGCCCAGGCTGGAGTGCAGTGGGGCGATCTGGGCTCACTGCAACCTCCGCCTCCCGGGTTCAAGCGATTCTCCTGCCTCAGCCTCCCGAGCAGCTGGGACTACACGCGTGCGCCATCACGCCCGACTAATTTTTGTATTTTTAGTGGAGACGGGGTTTCAATATGTTGGCCAGGCTGGTCTCGAGTGATCTGCCCGCCGCGGCCTCCCATATGGGGTTATTTTTTGGAGTGATGAAAACATTTTGAAATTAGATAGGTGTGATGGTTCCATGACTTTGTGAATATATTAAAAACCATTGAATTGTACACTTGAAAAAAGGAGGTGCATTTGGCCGGGTGCGGTGGCACATGCCTGTAATCCCAGCACTTTGAGAGAATTAGACAGGAGGATCCTTTGAGGGCAGGAGTTCCAGATTAGCCTGGACAAAATAGGAAGACCCCATCTCTACGAAAAAAAAAAGAAAAAGAAAAAGAAAAAAGTATTGTAATTACTCAGACTTGGTGGTGCGCACTGATAGTCTCAGCTACTGCTACTTGGGAGTCTGAGGTGGGAGGATCTCTTGAGCCCAGGAATTCAAGGTTGCAGTGAGCCACGATAGGGCCACTGCACTCCAGCCTGCAAAAAAAAAAAAAAAAAAAAAAAAAAAAAGAAAGAAAGAAAGAAAAAGAGAGAGAAAATAAAATGGTAAGTTTTATGGTATGTGAATTTATCTTAAAAAATGAAGGGACGGCCGGGCACGGTGGCTCACTCCTGTAATACCAGCACTTTGGGAGGCCAAGGCGGGCGGATCACGAGGTCAGGAGATCCAGACCATCCTGGCTAACACGGTGAAATCCCGTCTCTACTAAAAATACAAAAAATTAGCTGGGCGTGGTGGTGGGCACCTGTAGTCCCAGCTACTCGGGAGGCTGAGGCAGGAGAATGGCCTGAACCCAGGAGGTGGAGCTTGAAGTGAGCCAAGATCGCCCCACTGCACTCCACCCTGGCTGACAGAGGAAGACTCTTTCTCAAAAAAAGAAAAGAAAAGAAAAGAAATGCTAAGCAAAGTGTTCTGGTGTGTTTTGCCTGTTTTGGTAGTGGAAGGGAAGAAAATCTGTCTTTTTCTTTCTTCTCCCCCTTTAAACTATTTAAGAAGGGAACTGGGCACGGTGGCTCATGCCTGTAATCCCAACACTTTGGGAGGTCAAGGTGGGAGGATCACTTAGGTCCAGGAATTCAAGACCAGCCTGGGCCACATAGTAAGACCTCATCTCTACAAAAAAATAAAACATTAGGGCTGGGTGCCGTGGCTTACACCTGTAATCCCAGCACTGTGGCAGGCTGAGGGAGCTGGATCACCTTAGGTCAGGAGTTTAAGACGAGTCTGGCCAGCATGGCAAAACCCTGTCTCTACTAAATATACAAAAATTAGCTGGGCATGGTGGTGCGCACCTGTAATCCCAGCTACTCAGGAGGCTGAGGCAGGAGAATTGCTTGAACCGGGTAGGTAGAGGTTGCAGTGAGCCAAAATGGTGCCACTGCACTCCAGCTTGGGGGACAGAGCGAGACTCTGTCTCAAAATAAATAAATAAACATTATTTAAAAAAAAAAGATCCCCTGGGCATACAATAAGTAATACCATACTACTTAGGCAAATAAAGCCCAATTCTATCATTTGGGAATCTTAAGATCAGTTCTACCACTTTGTGGATCTTCAGACTCAATCTCTATTTTAGAGATATTAACATTGATTGATCCTACTATGTGCCAGGCACTGTCTTTCACAACTTCACATATATGATCTCATTTAATCCTCATTTAATTTTGGCAGAGAAAAGTTGAGCTCCTTACCCAGGATCGTATAACTAGGAAATAAAGACCAAAGCACATGCCTCACTCTTCTTGTTATTAGAAAAGATTTCCTTCTGTAAACCTCAGGACTTTACAAGCGAAATATTGGATTACTGTAATATGGTTCATCAGCCCAATTTATTTATTTTTATTATACTTTAAGTTCTAGGGTACATGTGCACAATGTGCAGGTTTGTTACATATGTATACATGTGCCACGTTGGTGTGCTGCACCCATGAACTCGTCATTTACATTAGGTATATCTCCTAATGCTATCTCTCCCGGCTTCCCCCACCCCATGACAAGCCCCAGGGTGTGATGTTCCCCACCCTGTGTCCAAGTGTTCTCATTGTTCAATTCCCACCTATGAGTGAGAACATGCGGTGTTTGATTTTCTGTCCTGGCGATAGTTTGCTCAGAATGATGGTTTCCAGCTTCATCCATGTTCCTACAAAGGACATGAACTCATCCATTTTTATGGCTGCATAGTATTCCATGGTGTATAATTGCCACGTTTTCTTAATCCAGTCTATCATTGATGGACATTTGGGTTGGTTCCAAGTCTTTGCTATTGTGAATAGTGCCGCAATAAACATATGTGTACATGTGTCTTTATAGCGGCATGATTTATAATCCTTTGGGTATATACCCAGCAATAGGATGGCTGGGTCAAATGGTATTTCTAGTTCTAGATCCTTGAGGAGTCGCCACACTGTCTTCCACAATGGTTGAACTAGTTTACAGTCCCACCAACAGTGTAAAAGTGTTCCTATTTCTCCACATCCTCTCCAGCACCTGTTGTTTCCTGACTTTTTAATGATCGCCATTCTAACTGGCATGAAATGATATCTCATTGTGGTTTTGATTTGCATTTCTCTGATGGCCAGTGATGATGAGCATTTTTTCATGTGTCTGTTGGCTGCATAAATGTCTTCTTTTGAGAAGTGTCTGTTCATATCCTTCGCCCACTTTTTGATGGGGTTGTTTGATTTTTTTCTTGTAAATTTGTTTAAGTTCTTTGTAGATTCTGGATATTAGCCCTTTGTCAGATGGGTAGATTATAAAAGTTTTCTCCCATTCTGTACGTTGCCTGTTCACTCTGATGGTAGTTTCTTTTGCTATGCAGCTCTTTAGTTTAATTAGATCCCATTTGTCAGTTTTGGCTTCTGTTGCCATTGCTTTTGGTGTTTTAGACATGAAGTCCTTGCCCATGCCTATGTCCTGAATGGTATTGCCTAGGTTTTCTTCTAGGGTTTTTATGGTTTTAGGTCTAACATTTAAGTCTTTAATCCATCTTGAATTAATTTTTGTATAAGATGTAAGGAAGGGATCCAGTTTCAGCTTTCTACATATGGCTAGCCAGTTTTCCCAGCACCATTTATTAAATAGGGAATCCTTTCCCCATTTCTTGTTTTTGTCAGGTTTGTCAAAGATCAGATAGTTGTAGATGTGTGGTATTATTTCTGAGGGCTCTGTTCTGTTCCATTGGTCTATATGTCTGTTTTGGTACCAGTACCATGCTGTTTTGGTTACTGTAGCCTTGTAGTATAGTTTGAAGTCAGGTAGCATGATGCCTCCAGCTTTGTTCTTTGGGCTTAGGATTGTCTTGGCAATGTGGGCTCTTTTTTGGTTCCATATGAACATTAAAGTAGTCTTTTGCAACTCTCATCAGCCCAGTTTAATATTACCTATTTATTATAATGTAATGCTGCTCGCACAACTGAGAAAACACTGTTGCTTTACCCCCTCTGGCTCTGTAGCAGCCACGCACAAATCATAGAACTATAAACATATGCTAATTACACAACCTATGTAGGCAATCAATATTAAGAAAAATTTTTACTGCCCAATATTTCTGTGGTTGAAAATGTACAGTCTAATTTTGATCCGCAGTAACATCTAGGTTAATGTTGATTCAGAAGGAAAACATTTGTTGTTGCCATGAGAAGAGGCATTGAAACGCTGAATCACCACCACAAATGTTACCACTATTAATATAAGGAGATACATAGGAAGATCGAATTAGACCATCTCGGACAACCAGGTTTACAATTCCACCTGCAGATACATGCAAGAAGTATTGTCACAATACTTATGTCACATTATTCCATTGAGGTCATCACCAACTAAGCTTATCATTAATGTGTGGTCAATTTGGTCAATGTCACCAGCGTAGCATACTAACAAAAACAAGGGTTGCAAACTCAAATGCCTATAAGGCAGAACGTAAGACGGTAGGAAGCAAAGTCTATAGGGAGCTATATAATAGAGGCTGCAGATTCATGGCAGATTCTAAAGCACAGCAGTCCCCAACATTTTTGGCGCCAGGGACCGGCTTTGTGGAAGACAATTTTTCCACAGGCGGCAAGGGATGGGGCGCAGGATGGTAATGGTCTTGGGATGAAACTGTTCCACCACAAATCATCAGGAATTAGATTCTCATAAGGAATATGCAACCTGGATCCCTCGTGTGTGCAACTCACAACAGGGTTCATGCTCCTGTAAGAATCTAATGATGCTGCTGATCTGACAGGAGGCAGAGCTCAGGCAGCAATGCAAGCAATGGGGAGCGGCCAGAAATACAGACGAAGCTTCAATTGTTACCCACCATTCACCTCCTGTTCTGTGGCCCAGTTCCTAACAGGCCACAGACCAGTACATGTCCATGGCCCAGGGGTCAGGGACCCCTGCTGTGGCACATTGCTTAATAGAGGACTGTAGCAGCCATGTGCCCTGACTTTTCCTTTTTTTTTTTTTTTTTTGAGATGCCAGAAACCTAGAATTTTTTTTTTTTTTTTTTTTTTTAAGACAAGGTCTGGCTCTGTTGCCCAGGTTGGAGTGTAGAAGGGCGATCTCAGCTCACTGTGACCTCAACCTCCCAGGCTCAAGCAATCCTCTCACTTCAGCCTCCCACGTTGCTGGGATTACAGGCACACTCCACTACACCCAGCTAATTTTTTTGTATTATTTGTAGACATGGGGTTTCGCCACATTGCCCAGGCTAGTCTGGAATTCCTGAGCTCAAGCTGTCTGCCCATCTCAGCCTCCCAAAGTGCTGGGATTGCAGGAGTGCACCACCACACCTGGCCTGAAACCCAGATTTTATTTATTTATTTATTCATTTTTTGAGATGGAGTCTTGCTCTATTGCCTAAGCTTGAGTGCAGTGGCGTGATCTTGGCTCACTGCAACCTCCACCTCCCTGGTTCAAGTGATTCTCCTGCCTCAGCTTCCTGAGTAGCTGGGATTACAGGCACATGCCACCATGCCTGGCTGATTTTTGTATTTTTAGTAGAGACAGAGTTTCATCATGTTGGCCAGGCTGGTCTCGAACTCCTGACCTCAGGTGATCCACCCACCTTAACCTCCCAAAGTGCTGGGATTACAGGCATGCAACACCACACCCAGCCTGAAACCCAGATTTTTAATATGAAATCGAAGTCTTCAAACCTTGTAGGTGTCATAAAAAGCACGCTGAGGACCACTAGTTTGCAACTGCCAATCTAAAGTATCATAGACATTATATCACTTTAACCATGAAAAAAAAAGTATGTGAGGCAGAAAATGGAAGCAACCATGCCCAATTTATTGTTGAATACTTTTTACGTATACTAAGAGCTTCCTTTGCACTAGCATCTGAAACTATATTCAGAATGACATTGGTTTTCATAAAAGTATTGATCCTCACAACTCTTTATAGTCTTGCACCTAGCACAGCGGAGTGAAACACTTTAAATGGCACTTGTTCCTTGAGTATATATGGAAAAAAGTGAAGTATTGATAAGTGTTCAGCTAATATGAGCAGCATCTCAGGAGTCTCCAATTCTTGAATTACCAGGGAGTATTTTTACCATTTTCCCCCAGTGAAAGGCCTATTTTGAGAGACTTACCCTCCAAAATGAATGCATTAAGTCATATTACTTTTTTTTTTTTCTTTTTGAGACAGGGCCTTGCTCTGTTGCCCAGGCTGGAGTGCAGTGGCATGATAGTTACAGGAAAGGGGTCCCAATCCAGACCCCAAGAGAGGGTTCTTGGATCTTGCACAAGAAAGAATTCAGGGTGATCCCGCAATGTGAATTGAAAGCAAGTTTATTAAGAAAGTAAAGGAGGAGGGGCACGGTGGCTCACGCCTGTAATCCCAGCACTTTGGGAGGCCGAGACAGGTGGATCATGAGGTCAGGAGATCAAGACCATCCTGGTTAACACGGTGAAACCCTGTCTCTACTAAAAATACAAAAAAATTAGCCAAGTGTGGTGGTGGGCGCCTGTAGTCCCAGCTACTCTGGAGGCTGAGGCAGGAGAATGGCGTGAACCCGGGAGGCGAAGCTTGCAGTAAGCCGAGATCATGCCAGTGCACTCCAGCCTGGGTGACAGCGGGAGACTCCATCTCAAAAAAAAAAAAAAAAAAAAAGAAAAAGAAAGTAAAGGAATAAAAGAATGGCTACTCCATAGACAGAGCAGCCATGAGGGCTGCTGGTTGCCCATTTTTATGGTTATTTCTTGATGATATGCTAAACAAGGGGTGGATTTTTCATGCCTCCTCTTTTTAGACCATATAGGATAACTTCTTGATGTTGCCATGGCATTTGTAAACTGTCATGGTGCTGGTAGGAGTGTAGCAGGGAGGATGATGGGAGGTCACTCTTGTCACTATTTTGGTTTTGGTGGGTTTTGGCCAGCTCCTTCACTGCAACCTGTTTTATCAGCAAGGTCTTTATGACTGGTATTTTGTGCTGACCTTCTATGTCATCCTGTGACTTAGAATGCCTTAACCATTAGGGAATGCAGCCCAGTAGTTTCAGCCTCATTTTTCCCAGCTCCTATTTAAGATGGAGTTGCTCTGGTTCACATGCCTCTGACATGATCACTGCTCACTGCAGCCTCCACCTCCTGGGTTCAAGAGATACTCCTGCCTCACCCTCCCAAGGTGCTGGGACTACAGGTGTGTGCCACCACGCTCAGCTAATTTTTGTATTTTTTGTAGAGACGGGGTTTTTCCATGTTGCCCAGGCTGGTCTCAAACTCCTGGGCTCAAGCAATCCTTCTGTCTCAGCCTCCCCAAGTACTGGGATTACAGGCATGTCCCACCATGCCCAGACTAATATTTACTTTTAATCAGACTAAGATAGGGTTACTACTTGAGTTGCTATGGCTCCAGCTGAAAGCCTGTGCAGTCATATCATGGGTAAACATTTGCTTTATGCTAAAAATATGGTGGACCTGGCATTACAGCTATTACAAATCTCCTAAGGTGTCTCAGGTAGTGTATTAGTTACTTTTCATACTGCTATGAAGAAATACTCGAGACTGGGTAATTTATAAAGGAAAAGAGGTTTAATGTACTCACAGTTCCACAAGGCTGGGGAGGCCTCAGAATCATGGTGGAAGGCAAAGAAGGAGCAAAGGTACGTCTTACATGGCTGCAGGAAAGAGAGCACGTGCAGGGAAACTGCCCTTTATAAAACCATCAGATTTAGTGAGATGTATTCACTATCACAAGAACAGTATGGGAAAAACCTGCCCCCATGATTTGATTACCTCCTACCAGGTCCCTCCCACGACACATGGGGATTATGGGAACTACAATTCAAGATGAAATTTGGGTGGGGACGCAGCCAAACCATATCGGGTAGCAACAACCTAGGGTCAGTTTTGCAGGTGGTAAAGCCATTTACCAAGATAGTTGTAGGTAAAGAAGGGCAGATTTATTAGAGAAATTATGAAAATATGTTGCAGTGGGCAGCTCAGCAGAGAAGGGGCTACCTGCAAAGAGGCAGGGGCTGGAGGAAAGTTTTATAGGGTCCTGCTGAAGGGTGCTACGTGTGGAATGAGGTCATTGTGCCCGCAGGTTGTTTGTGATTAGCTGTCTCTAACAATTGTTCATACAGTAATTGTTCATTATTGTTCTCAACTTGGGGCTCTCCCCAACCTGGGGACCCTTCCTTATTGTTGCTTACTTATCAGGACTCCACATAAGGGTGTGGAAACTTCATTCATTCATATCTTCAACACAAATTGTAGGTAGCCTGTTTTTTAAAAAATTTATTCAACAAATATTTAGTCCAAGCCACTGTTACTTATTACCCTCTCTACTTCTGTATGGACTTTTAACTATCTCTGACACTATTCACTATTCTTCCACATTCTCTATTATTTATACCTATGGTAAAATTTGCCAGTTTGACCATGCAACTAATACTCACAGGGAATATATAGAGTCTAGAAGAAAATATACAGGTCCTTAGAGGCTGCTCTGCCAACAAAACCATAATGCAGGAACAAACATCACAACTATGCCAAATAATCAATCCTACAATGTCCAAAATTTTACTTTAAAACTGGAATTTCCAGACTTCCTTTCTGCATTAACCAGTTTAACTAGATAGTAATGAAATATCCCTCTACTTTATGCTGTGATAGTTTATTTATTTATTTGAGACAGAGTTTCGCTCTTGTTGCCCAGGCTGGAGTGCAATGGCGCGATCTCAGCTCACCACAACCTCCGCCTCCCAGGTTCAAGTGATTCTCCTGCCTCAGCCTCCTGAGTAGCTGGGATTACAGGCATGTACCACCACGCCCAGCTAAGTTTGTATTTTTAGTAGAGACGGGAGTTTCTCCATGTTGGTCAGGCTGGTCTAGAACCCCTGAACACAGGTGATACCCCTGCCTCAGCCTCCAAATGTGCTGGGATTACAGGCATGAGCCACCGTGCCTGGCCAGAAAATTTTAAACACACAAACTCTCAGGTGGCCTAATTCCCTCTCACCAAACCAGTCAAAATACAGACAAAAGAGAATAACTATATTAGTTATTGTACAAACAAAAAAGACTGATAAATTGTGAATGATGCATGATTTTTAATTACAAGTAAACTGGGCAAATGCTTCTGCATTGTTTAAAGCTAAAAGGTGATCAGTGGAAACTTTCCTCTGTTAGTACTCTAATACTTTTTATATTTATCGGCTCACTACAACCTGTGCCTACCAGGTTCAAGCGATTCTCCTGTCTCAGCCACCTGAGTAGCCGAGACCACAGGCATGCACTACCATGCCCGGCTAATTTTGTATTTTTAATAGAGACAGGGTTTCACCGTGTTGGCCATGCTGGTCTTGAACTCCTGACCTCAACCGATCCACCTGCCTTGGCCTCCCAAAGTTTTGGGATTACAAGCGTGAGCTACCGCGCCCAGCCTTATTATAATTATTATTTAAATATCTTTTGCTCTCTCCTTCAAGAGAGACCTCATCTCATTCAGTGGCATCCATTTATTTATTCATCTTCTGCCTCCTGGGCTCGAGAGATCCTCCTGCATGAGTCTCCCAAGTAGCTGGGACTACAGGCTCACACCACCATGCTTGGCTAATTTTTGTAGGTTTTGGAGAGACAGGCTCTTGCCATGTTGCCTAGGCTGGTCTCAAACTCCTGGGCTCAGATGATCCACCTGCCTTCGCCTCTCAAAGCACTGGGATTATAGACATGAGCCACCACGCCCAGCCCCAAGTACTTTTACACAAAATGCAAACACTATTCTTCTATCATAAAAGTGATACCACAGCTTCTGTGAAGTTTTGCCAGGTAGTACTCATAATTACCTTGGGTAAACTTTTTGATGTTAAACTGTATCTTCTTATTATGAGTTTTTCCATTGTATTAACAACTTTTACAACAACGCAAATAACAAGTTATTTAACAAACCATTTAGAAATTTCTGTACTATGGTCCTGATAATGTAAAATATATTAATGCCTATTACATTCAGATAAATTATACACTTGGAAACTACATACTTATGACTTACAGAAACTTACATAAACAAATTATACAAATTATATGCTCAATTTTTAGGTATATAGTCTTAAATTAAGCTTAAATATACATTCTCAAGATAAATTAACAGTTCAGGGCTTCATAACTTGAAATCTGTGGAAGATGACATTGGAGACAACAGAACTCTGGTGGAATTCTTAGGTGGGATTTGCTGAAACTTTTTTTTTTTTTTTGAGACGGAGTCTCGCTCTGTTGCCCAGGCTGGAGTGCAGTGGCGCAATCTCAGCTCACTGCAAGCTCCGCCTCCCGGGTTCACGCCATTCTTCTGCCTCAGCCTCCTGAGTAGCTGGGACTACAGGTGCCCACCACCACGCCTGGCTAATTTTTTGTATTTTTAGTAGAGATGGGGTTTTACCATGTTAGCCAGGATGGTCTCGATCTCCTGACCTTGTGATCCGCCCACCTTAGCCTCCCAAAGTGAAACTTTTCTTTAAAATAGAGATGGGATCTTGCTGTATTGCCCAGGCTCATCTCAAACTCCTTGCCTTAAGTGGTCCTCCCACCTCAGCCTCCCAAAGTGCTGGGATTACAAGCGTGAACCATTACATCCAAGTGAAACTTCTTGAGATAGTTACATAATTTTTAAATCTGCTGGTGTAGAATTTAATAAAGTGTAGAACTGAATAAATATTAAATATTAGATCAAATTTCTCATGTTTACCTTAAAGTATAAAGATTTATCTTAAAGCACTGATTTTCACAAAATAACATCAGTGTGAAATTGGAAAAGAAGCCAAATATTTTATTTCATGTATCTGGGAAATGAGGGGCTTTAGTCAACTGAATCTGCCCAAAACTAAAAAGCATTCATTAAAAAGTACTTAACTCAGAAATTATAAAAATAGAAGACATCAATAAAATACATTCTACACAGAATACGCCAATCATAGACTACTCTTTTTTGATAATAAAAAACGTACTTACTGAGCCAGTTGTGGTGGCTCATGCCTATAATCCCAGCACCTTGGAAGGCCAATGAGAGTGGATCAGTTGAGGCCAGGAGTTTGAGACCAGCCTGGCCAACATGGCGAAACGCCGTCTCTACTAAGAATACAAAAATGAGCCGGGCATGGTGGCAATCACCTGTAATCCCAGGTACTTTGAAGGATGAGGCAGGATAATTGTTTGAACTCAGGAGGTGGAGATTGCAGTGAGTCGAAATCATGCCACTGCACTCCATCCTGGGTGACAGAGTGAGTCTCTGTCTCAAAAAAAAAAAAAAAAGAAAAAAAAAGAAAAAAAGTCAGTTGCAGTGGCTCACGCCTGTAATCCCAGCACTTTGGGAGGCCGAGGCAGGCAGATTACAAGGTCAGGAGATCAAGGCCATCCTGGCCAACATGGTGAAACCTCTCTACTAAAAATGCAAAAATTAGGCTGGGCGCGGTGGCTCACATCTGTAATCCCAGCACTTTGGGAGGCGGAGGTGGTCAGGAGATTGAGACCATCCTGGCTAACACAGTGAAACCCCGTCTCTACTAAAAATACAAAAAATTAGCTGGGCGTGGTGGCAGGCGCCTGTAGTCCCAGCTACTTGGGAGGCTGAGGCAGGAGAATGGCATGAACCCGGGAGGCAGAGCTTGCAGTGAGCCGAGATCCCACCACTGCACTCCAGCTTAGGCGACAGAGCCAGACTGTGTCTCAAAAACAGGAAAGAAAACAAAAGAAAATTTGGACTATTGCCAATTACAAATATTTTTAGAGAAGATTCGAAACAATAACTGTGGATGATGGAAACAATAGTTATGATAAAAGTCTGATGAAACTTCCCAGTTCACAAGGAAATTTAATTACTTATGTGCGGCATTTTAAGACAGTAATCAGAATCATGACTGACAGCATCATATCAGGACCACCAGACTTTTATAAATTTCATGTAATCTTCAGAAATAATTAATAACTTTTTTTTTTAGATAGATTTTACCTCTGTCACCCAGGCGGGAGTGCAGTGGCATGATCTCGACTCACTGCAACCTCCGCCTCCTGGGTTCAAGCAATTCTCCTGTCTCAGCCTCCCAAGTAGCTGAGACTACAGACATGTGCCACTAGGCATGGCTAATTTTTGTATTTTTAGTGGAGACAGGGTTTCACCCTATTAGTCAGGCTGGTCTCGAACTCCTGACCTCAGGTGATCCACCTGCCTTTGTCTCCCAAAGTGCTGGGATTACAGGCATGAGTGATGGTGCCCAGCCATTCATGACATGTTTATACAAATATAACTTTAGCAAATATTTAGCATAACTATCAAAATTACAAATAATAACATCTTAAATTTGTATAAATGTGTGTAATTTTTGGAACACGTATATCAACAACATACCCATAAATATAACTGAGATGAGATCTAATGTCACCTCACTTGACAGTGCCCTCCCATGCAGTATCACCACATTTGACAATGCCTGCCCATTTAATCTACCAAATAAATCGAATCACTTAATACCTCTACAAGATGAGAGATACATTCTTTAGACTCCCCAAGGGACACAGCTGAAAAATCCCAAAGTTAATTTTAGGCCAAAAAGACTTGATTTAGGATTTTGACACTGGAAAAACCCATCAAAGACGTCAAGTTTGAAAACACTTGATCAAAACAGAATCACAGGTCACTATTAAAAGAGTATTCATTTAACCAGAGACTTCCAAAGCAATACAGAAACTTACATGGATATAAAAACCTTAACCCTTTTAAAGCTCAGTTTTGCTAAGTGATCAAAAGGGGTACTTGAATTGAATTGACACAGGAAGAGTGTGTACAGGGTTATGAGTGTAGGCAGATGGTTACTTTGGTCATATCTCCATTTGCCACCTGATTACACATGAGAATGGCATCTTTACTCACCAGAAAGCCTGTATTATAGGAGGTGTAGGAGGCATTCTTGGACTTGAGACAAGAACATTGTTGTGTAGAAATTTCATTGACTGTGTTAAAATTATTCTCCATGGGCTGGAGAACACATAACATGGCCTTTAGAATGAGATGGGCATTGATTGGATGCAAGGTGTCCACACTTACTAGCCGTGTGACATTGGACAAAGTGCTTCATCATTCTGAGACTCAGTTTTTAAAGGAAAAACAACTAACTACCTTGCAAGCTTGCTAGCAGGTTTAAGTGTAATAATGTGTGGGAATGACTGCACCATGACTAACACGTAGTGACGGCTTAATTAATGTTAACCCTTATCATTATCATGTAAGAATGTGAGTTGCATAAGAGAGGAATCCTGTCAGTTCGTTCTCTGCTGTGTCCCCAAGACCATGAATCATGGCTGGCACGTAGTAGGCTTTTAATAATATTTGTTCAACAAGTATTTGGCAGTCTTGGAGGGCAGAAAAGGAGGTGGGGAAGATTTTTAAATAACATTTTTTAAAAAGTCACATTGTCCTACAATATCGATTTTTCTTGCATATTTAGGAAATTGAGGGTTTTTTCCTAAAACATGCGGACATATGGGAAATATGATCCAACATTTGCACTAATGTTTCAGACACAGTTAGAGGTTTCCAAGAGATTTTGTGCTGGGGAGGCTGCTTGCTACAAGCTCCCAAAGCTCTGGGAGGACATAGTATTCATTCCTCCCTCAGCAGAAGCGGTGAGGCAAGAAGCTCTGGGGAGCACCCAGCCTTGGACTTTTAGCATAGTGTGTCAGGTCTTCATAGTTTGGGCCCAGGGCACAGAGAAGTCACAGCTCTCTGGCATCCTGTGACCTTTACCCTCTTTGCCAAGGGAAAATGTGGCCCACCAAAGCAAGAAACTTGAGGGCATGGGTCACCCCAGCCCTGGCATCTGCCCAGAGCCCGAGAAGGAAGGAACAATGATCCTCCAGCTACCTCACAGGGCTGGCACAGGTGACCACTGCCCTGGCATCACCCAGCTGTGTCCGGCAGCCTGAACCCCATCTGTGGGGATGCGAGGAGGAAAATACAAAAGTCCTTAGGTGAGCACTGAGAAGGCAGATGCAGCAGAAACCACCAGGCCGGAACTACCCAGTCTTGGACCTATGGTGGAGACAGAGCATAGCTGGCGATCATGTGTACTTACACTCTAAGGTCACCTGGTTGCACTATGGCCTCATCTGTGGCTCTGAAAATGAAGATTTGGAAGGAGATCATCACAGCTAATGTTTAAGAAGCCCCTCCTGTGTGCCAAATCATTCACCCGTCACCACAACCGAATGAGCTAAGGATTCTCATTATATATAGTTTATGGAGAGGGAAGTGCAGACATAAAGAGGTGAATTATCTTACCCAGATCACACAGCTGATAAGTGGTGGAGGCAGAATAGAATCTAAACAGTGTAGAATCTAAACAGAATAGAATCTAAACATGCATTGATTTGACAAGTGTTTATTGAGCACCTGCCATGAACAAGGCCTTGTGTGATTAAATAGGGTTATAATTAGTAATATAAAAATGAGAAATCACTAATGCTTTTTAGACTTAACATTTTCTTTTTTGTAGGTTTCAGGCACAGAACTGTATATCCAATAATAGTGAAATGGATCCCACTAATTATGACAGAAATGATGATACATTTAAATGACTTGGATGTTTTATAGGTATGATCTCATGAAACCTTGAGAGAAACTGAATGACGAATGAAACTATTGTTCCTGTTTCACACAGAAGAAAACTGAGGTTAAAAGGGGTAAAGTAATTTTGCATGGCATGAAGTAGAAATTCAAAGTACAGGAATTTGAACTTGGTTCTGTCCTTTTCTGAAGCCCCTATGCTCTTGACCACTATAGACTCAAACATCACCTTGTTTTTCCACTCATTCAACAAACTTTTTTTCTTAATTGTCTAATAGGTTGGCACTCATCATGAGCCCCTGTTCTCATTCTGCAAATGGTGAAGCTCTCTATTGTCCTGACCCCACAGTTCCTGTCCCATGACCAGGGCCAGCTCACCAAGGAGCTGCAGCAGCATGTAAAGTCAGTGACATGCCCATGCGAGTACCTGAGGAAGGTGAGTGAGTGCAGACAAGATGGGGCCTGGTGCCCTTGAGCAGTTCCCGGGTCTCAGCTGCCACACATCTCATAGCGGGTGATGCTGGGGGAAGCTTACGCAGTCACAGTACTGGCTTCTTCCTCTTTTTCTTTCCATACAAGTGGCTTAGGGATGGGGTAAAGTAGTTGACTTATTTGGATGAAAACCACTATCTTCTGTCAGAAACTCAAAAGGAATCATTGCTGGCATGGTAACCTAAAGAAAAACAACCAGACAAGTGCCCAACGACACTTAAAAAGTTTATTTATTATCTTGCCAAGTTTAGGCTGGGCATGGTGACTCATGCCTGTAATCCCAGCATTTTGGGAGGCTGAGGCTGGTGGATCACCTGAGGCCAGGACTTCAAGACCAGCCTGACCAATATGGCAAAACCTCGTCCCTACTAAAAATACAAAAATTAGCCGGGCATGGTGGTGTGAGCCTGTAGTCCCAGCTACTCAGGAGGCTGAGACAGGAGAATTGCTTAGATTCAGGAGGTGGAGGTTTTAGTGGGCCAAGATCACGCCATTGCACTCCAGACTGTGCGACAGAGCGAGACTCTGTCAAAAAAAAAAAAAAAAATTATCCTGCAAAATTTGAAAAGGAAATTCAAATCAACAGCTTCTAAACTACTTTTTAACATGACTCATAATAAGAAATACATTCTATAGTACATATATATGTTCTATAATTTTGAATAAAAGAATTAACCACATCACATTTATTTTACAACATGTAATACATATTTTTTATTCTCCTTCATTTGTTTTGAATGCTCTGTGCAGTCTACAAAAAGTCCAATAGTAATAATTAAATTAGTCATTAAGTTGAACATTATCTTGTCTTTTAAAATAATAATCTCAAAAATGATCTTTTATTTTTGAGATTTATATAGATACACACACACACACACAGACACACACACAGACACACACACACACACATATATATATATTTTTTTTTTTTTTTTTTTGAGACAGAGTTTCACTCTGTCCCCCAGGCTGGAGTGCAATGGCACAATCTTGGCTCACTGCAACCTCCGTCTCCCGGGTTCAAGCAATTCCTCTGCCTCAGCCTCTGAGTAGCTGGGACTACAGGTGTGCACCATCATGCCCAGCTAATTTTTGTATTCTTAGTAGAGATGGGGTTTCACCATATTGGCCAGGCTCGTGTCAACTCCTGACCTCGTGATCTGCCCACCGTGGCCTCCCAAAGTGCTGGGACTATAGGTGTGAGCCGCTACACCCCGTCCAAGATAAAATTATTTTAACAATATACTATGAAGAGAAAAACACTGGCTATGAAAGAATATGCATAGTTTTACCCTGTTTAAAAATAAAGATTGAAAGAATACATATGCAAATAAGTTTACTTTTATTTTTGGTAACACTTTACTGCATTGTCTGAATATTGACAATCAGTATGCATCATGAAGCTACATGGCTAACATTGTGTACTCACTGTGTGTGCCAGGCCCTGGGTTCAATGCTCTACATGCACTTATATTTCATTTAATTCTCTCTGCAACCTGAGATGGTATAGCCACCTCATTTTACAGAGTTGAAACTGAGGCTCAGAGACTGAAAGTTAAGCCTGAGGTTACAGTCAATAAGAGGCAGAGCTGGAACTGAAACCTATGTGTGTCTGACCACCAGTTCATGTTCTGACGGCAGGCTAGTCTGCATCACAGAGTGTGGGGTAGATGGTGCATGCCTGCTAGGATGGGCTAGGTATCACTGTAGGTAAGAAACAGCCCCAAACGATGGAAATGTACAAAATGTACACCACTGAAGGCTCTTTTCCTGCCCATGCTGCACATCCTCCATGGCTCTCCTGTGCCCTGTGCCCCACATGCCCTCATCCTGCCACGAGAATAAAGGAGCAGCCTCCATATAGGAGCTGTCAGTTGCTCCAAGAGATGAAGGAGAGAGTGGCCAGTCTCAATGGCTCCCAACTCTTTTGCCTCGAGGTGACACGCTTCACTTCCACTCACATCTCCTGGGTCAAAGCAAATCCCATGGGTACATCCACTTTCAAGTGGCCCAGGAGAGAACCTGAAATACTTGGTGGACTCCATTAAGACCGTCATATGGTGTCAGCCTGCATGGGAGACTGTGGAGGGGCAGAGGAAGAGAGTGGGGAACTGATGGGAAATGACAGGAGGACTAAGTCACCGCAGATTTGCTTTATCTTCAGCCAGGTGGAGTTTGTCCCAGAGCTGCACAAAATCATCACCAGCATGATTAAACGGAGTAGACTTCAGAAAAAGCAGTTTGGTCGAATGTAATCAGCAGTGAACTCAGAATCAATTGAGTGACATTGAGTCAGTAAATCTCTGACTGCCTCAGTTACCCCATATGATAGTTTTGAGGATGGGAACATTGAGAGAGTTGATTTGGAAGGATATCAAGAGTAAAAATTCCAACATTTTAGTTCCTTTAAGTTAAATCCAGGCACTGTCTTTCCTGCAAGTCTCCTGTTCCTTTCAGATTGCACAGGTGAGAGTGCTCAGATTAGGGCTGGAGGTTGTAAACTATTGCTCCCACACTGACAGTGCCCCTGTGTCGTGCATGTATTCTGTGCATTTTCCTGTGCTAAACACTCTCCCAAAACATCATGGGGCCTGATTCTTCCTCTTTGTTCCAATGGCCCTGGGTGACTCAAGTGCCCATTCAATGACCAGGACACAGAGGTCTTAGAGAGATGCTCCATGAGGCCCCAGGTGTGAGCCTGTACCCTGCCGGAGCATGAGGCAAGGGACAGGGCATCATCTGTGGGGATAGTGGGGGTAGTGGGGGTAGTGGTCAGCCAGACTTGGTGACTCTACTTGCTCACCAGATGATCCTACACCTGCCACCTCCGATGGATCCACTGCCTCTGTGCCTGACTGTACTGCTGATGCTCCAGTGGATAACTCAGCATCCCAGCCTAGGCCCAATGCCACTGAAGATGGACCTGCACCCTGGGGACCCAGGAGTCCTACCACTCAGCTATCCCCAGGAGTGCCCAGACCCTCATTCTTATCCAGGACCTAGGAGCCCTACCTTCTGGCCTTCCCTCATCAGCCGTAAATGATGATTTACTGCTGTTACCATCATCACTGCCTTCAGTGACCAAGGGCCTTCCAAGGTGCCAGCTCTGGAACGAAAGATGCCCTTGGGAGGTGATGACACTCAGGTACACGGGTGCTCAACAGATTGCTTCCTCCTATCCTCAGACGGTCTTTGCATGCATGCAGCCATTGGCACTCCCATTGTATGGAAGGAAACCAGCCCAGGGTCACACAGCTGGTCAGCAGCAACATAGCTGGTCTCAAATCTAAGGTGCCTGGCCATGCCTCCATGAGGGACCGCCTGCAAGGGAGGTTGATCCTGGCTTTGGGGAGCCTTTCCTGGGCTGCACGAATAACCTCCATTGTTCGAGACCCCAAACTCTGCTCACATCTTCCTTTCCCTGTCTCTGCTTGGGCTATGATCACGGTGACTCTAGCAACCCTTCATGGACATTATAGTACTCTCTGCCATTCACTTTTGCTCTAATCTGACTTCAACCCCCACTTACTTGGTCTCTCCTTTTATAACCAACACAACCGAAATCTAGGGCTTCTTTTTTTTTTTGAGACAGAGTCTCATTCCATTCTGTCACCCAGGCTGGAGTGCAATGGCACGATCTCGGCTCACTGCAACCTCCGCCTCCCGGGCCCAAGGGATTGTCCTGCCTCAGCCTCCTGAGTAGCTGGGATTACAGGTGTGTGCCACCATGCCTGGCTAATTTTTGTATTTTTAGTAGAGACAGGGTTTCACCATGTTGGTCAGGCTGGTCTCGAACTCCTAACCTTGTGATCCACCTACCTCAGCCTCCCAGAGTGCTGGGATTACAGGTGTGAGCCACCATGCCCAGCCAAATCTAGGGCCGGAACATGGCTGCAGCATATAAAAAGAATTGAATTCCATAGTTTTGTAAACCCTGTTTTTTGTTTGTTTGTAGTTGTTGCTGTTTTTGAGACAGAGTCTCGCTCTGTCGCCTAGGCTGGAGTGCAGTGGTGCAATCTCGGCTCACTGCAGACTCTGCCTCCCGGGTTCAAACTATTCTCCTGCCTCAGCCTCCCAAGTAGGTGGGACTACAGGTGCCCACCACCACACCCGGCTAATTTTTATATTTTATTAGAGACAGGGTTTCACCATATTGGCCAGGCTGGTCTGGAACTCCTGACCTTGTGATCCGCCCACCTCGGCCTCCCAAAGTGCTGGGATTACAGGCGTGAGCCACCACACCCAGCCCCTGTTTTGTTTTTGTTTTGCTTGTTTCTTAGGGTTGTTTTTCTATTTATGGTAAAGGCATTGGCTTTCCATTTGTAGCATCAATAGAATATTTCCTGTTCACAATAACCTTATGTCATAGTAAATGGTAAAGGGATTTAAAGCAGTGGTTTTCAGCTGCCAGAGGCCTGAGAGAGTTTGGGCATACTCTGTGTGATCGGGCGGAAGGCCTGTGGGAAGTTTAGCTGAGGACAGGGCCAGGAAAGGTGATAGACAGTGGGGGTCTGTCCTGGTCACCAGACCCCTGGGTCCTGCCCACCTGCTTGGAGCTCCCCACCCATCACACATGATGCTGCCAAGCCCTCTGGGTATTGTGGGCAAATACCTTAGGAGAGAAGCTGATGAACTTTGTTTCTTGAAATGCACAGATTCCTTGGACATCCCTGAGAGGTCAATCATGAAGGTCAACTTGGTTTTCTCCCCCTCATTTGGGTTCAGAATTTAAAGTCCACACACACAGGCAGTAAGATGATTATAGATAAGGACATCATCACTCGGTTTCGGATGTTAAATTGTCTAGGTGGGTTAGGGGTGATTTGAGATCACACAACCTTGTGCCACAAAGAGGAATTCCCAGGCCAGAGGGAGACATTTTATTGCCATGTTATGATCTTATCATTGAGTTGAAAGGCAATCTTGTTTCATTTTGGATTCTTTCTTATGTTTATGTCTTATAAGGGCACTTTGAATTTCCAAGCAAATAATAATTTTGAATTAGCTTTTAATCATTGACTTCTAGCACAGTTATATGATCAGAAACGTGCTGTGTGATTTGATTGCTCTCAAATATATTGAGATTTGCTGGAACAAAATAAGTCAGGTTAATTTTTGTAAATGTACCATGCTTGCTTAAAATGAATGTATCTACATTTGTTCCTGAGATACAGGTTGATGGACGGATGGCTACATGGATGTGATGGAGATGGTTTACTATCGGGACCTTCCGCATCCTGCTGATGTTTTGTTGCTTAGGATATGAATGGCTGAGCGGAGGCTGTAAAACCTGGCACTCTGCTTGGGTATGAGGTTCTTCCTGCCATCCTGCCATCATTTGTTTTTTATGTTTTGTCGCCAAAAGTGACCTTGAGGAACCCTGGGAGCTCAGGAAGGAAGGAGCGCCCAGAAGCAGGGACAGGGAGCTGGTTGGGGAGGACCAGAAATCAGGTTTGTGAAGGTTCCAGAGAGGACCTGTCCTTGCGAGGAGTGTGGGAGACTGAGATGGGGGAGGGGTCATTGGAATGATGCGGGCGCTACTTGGCATTGTCCATTGTGAGGCACCACCGGGGTCATCAGGGATTGGTGGAGAGGGAGTATAAAGCCCCAGGTTTGCTAAGGGAGGGCCCAGACCGAAGAAGGTTTGGCAGATAGCAGAACCTTTTTGTCTCCCTCTCATTGCTCCTAAGCCTCACGCTCCCTTGTCCCGCGTGTCCTGTTGCTTCCCTGATCTTCTCCGTGACCTGTAGCTAAACCTTCCACCAGCGCTTGAGAACTTAATTTGAACCGGATCCTTTCCCAGACCCCTTTCTTCTTCTCCTCCTCCTCCTCCACCTCCTCCAGGTGCCCAACAGCCCCCTTCTCTTCCTTTCCCTTCCCTTACTTCCCCCCTTCCCCTCCCCCTCCCCTCCCCCTCCCCCTCCCCTCCCCCTCCCCCTCCCCTCCCCCTCCCCAACTCAGATCCGGCCCATTCCCCGTCCCCTTCCCTCCCCCCTGCCCTAAGCCACCTCCACCTCTGTCCTGGACACCTCAGGGCGCCCTGAAAGGACCAGGACATGCGGCTGCGCTTTTGGCTCCTCATTTGGCTCCTGCTGGGATTTATCAGCCATCAGCCCACCCCTGTGAGTAGACGCTGGACCCGCGGGGTTTCTTCCTTTTTACTGGGCTGTGTCACGCGGCATGAAATTACACAGCTCAGGCCTGTAATCCCAGCACTTTAGGGGGCCGAGGTGGGCAGATCACTTGAGTCCAGGAGTTGAAGACTAGCCAGGGCATCATGGCGAAACCCCATCTCTACAAAAAATTCCAAAAAAGATTAGTCGGGCCTGGTGGTGCGTACCTGTTATCCCAGTTACTGGAGAGGCTGAGGTGGGAGGATCGCTTGGGCCGAGGAGCTGGACGTTGCAGTGAGCTGAGATGGCCCCGCTGCACTCTTGTCTCTAACAAACAAAATGGACCAAAACAAAGTGAAATGTCATTTGATTTGTGTCATCTGGTTTGATGACTTTTTTTTTTTTTTTTTTTTTTTAGACAGAGTCTCATTCTGTCGCCCAGGCTGGAGTGCAGTGGCAAGATCTCGGCTCACTGCAACCTCCGCTTCCGGGGTTCAAGCAATTGTCCTGCCCCAGCCTCCTGAGTGGCTCAGATTACAACGCCTGGCTAATTTTTGTATTTTTAGTAGAGACGGGGTTTCACCATGTTCGCCAGGATAGTCTCCATCTCTTGACCTCGTGATCCGCCTGCCTCGGCCTCCCAGTGCTGGGATTACAGGCGTGAGCCACCGCGCCTGGCCAAAATATATAACCTTAAGTGTAAGTTTACTAACTTTGGAAAGTACTTACACCAGCATAAACCGACCCCCTTTCAAGATCTACATTATTTTATTTATTTATTTATTTATTTGAGACAGTTTCTCCCTTGTTGCCCAGGCTGGAGTGCAATGGGGCAATATCAGCTCACCGCAACCTCTGCTTCCCAGGTTCGAGCGATTCTCCTGCCTCAGCCTCCCGGGTGGCTGGGATTACAGACATGTGCCACCACTCCCAGCTAATTTTGTATTTTTAGTAGAGATAGGGTTTCTCCATGTTGGTCAGGCTGGTTTTGAACTCCCGACCTCAGGTGATCCGCCCGCCTCGGCCTCCCAAAGTGTTGGGATTACAGGCGTGAACCACCGTGCCCAGCCAAGATCTACACTATTATGTCACCCCAGAAAGTGAACTCTCACTCTTCCCAGCCAGTCTCTTTCTTATCATAGGTTAGCTTGCTTATTCTGGAATTTCGCGTATACAGATGCGTGCCATGCCATAGGTACTCTTTTGTGTCTGCTTTATTCTGCTCAACACCATGTTTCTGAAATCATTACCATTGTTGTATGGTTCTCTAACTCCATCATTTCCATTTCAGACTCAGCATATGCTGAGTTCAACCTGTTGAAGGGCTATCTCTGTTTAATTCACCATCTTGAAAGAAACATTTAAAATTGAGATGTTTTCAAGAATATACAGTTAAATCCTGAGGAATCGATGTAGAAATGTTATCACAAGCTGTCTGAACTTACTCAGGGGAAGTCTTCGTCTTCACTCACATAAGAGTCTACTGGAATTAATATCAACAATCTTAGAGAAATCCCACACTATTCATGCCATTTTCATGATCTCCACCTTGGTAATTTTTTTTTTTTTTTTTTTTTTTTTTGAGACAGAGTCTCGCTCTGTCACCCAGGCTGAAGTGCAGTGGTGCGATCTCGGCTCACTGCAACCTCTGCCTCCCGGGTTCAAGTGATTCTTCTGCCTCAGCCTCCCAAGTAGCTGGAACTGTAGGCACGTGCCACCATGCCCTGCTAATTTTTTGTAATTTTAGTAGAGATGGGTTTCACCGTGTTAGCTAGGATGGTCTCAATCTCCTGATCTCGTGGTCCACCCACCTCGGCTTCCCAAAGTGCTGAGATTGCAGGCGTGAGCCACCACACCCGGCCCACCTTGTTAATTTTTAAGCACTAAAATTTGATACTTATTTGTGAATGAAGTAATCTCTTCATTGTATTTTTTTTTTTTTACTTATGCTGAGCTTCAAATGACAAAGATTCATATAATCCAAGAGAGAAGTATTATTTAGAGGGATTCTTTTACCATGTGATATATAATAAATGCATCCAATGTTATACATCAATTTAAAAAACAAGTAAATAACTTTAAAGAAAAGATAACTACTGGCCAGGTGCAGTGGCTCACACCTGTATTCCCAGCACTTTGGGAGGCCGAGGCAGGTGGATCAAGAGGTCACGAGTTGGAGACCAGCCTGGCCAAGATGGTGAAACCCTGTTTCTACTCAAAATACAAAAATTAGCCGAGTGCGGTGGCAGGCGCCTGTAATCCCAGTTACTCAGTAGCTGAGGCAGGAGAATCGCTTGAACCCGGGAGGCGGAGGTTGCAGTGAGCTGAGATCATGCCACTGCAATCTAGCCTGGGTGACAGAGCAAGACTTTGTCTCCAAACAAAAAGAAAAGATAATTACTTTATACTTAGCTTGTCTTAGCCATGAGTGACGGGCTGCATGTGGCCCAGGACAGTTTTGAATGCAGTTCAACACAAATTTGTAAACTTTCTTAAAACATTAGGAGATTTTGGCCAGGTACAGTGGCTCATGCCTGTAATCCCAGCACTTTGGGAGGCTGAGGCGGGCAGATTACCTGAGGTCAGGAGTTCGAGACCACCCTGGCCAACATGGCAAAACCCCATCTCCACAAAAAATACAAAAATTTGCTGAGTGCATTGTCAGGCACCTGTACTCCCAGCTACTCAGGAGGCTGAGGCAGGAGAATCACTTGAACCTGAGAGGCCGAGGTTGCAGTGAGCCGAGAGCACGCCACTGCACTCCAGCCTGGGTGACAGAGTGAGACCCCATCTCAAAAACAAAACACCAAACAAAAACAAAAACAAAAAAAAATGGCTGGGCACGGTGGCTCACACCTGTAATCCCAGCACTTTGGGAGGCCGAGGCAGGTAGATCGCCTGCCAGGAGTTCAAGGCCAGACTGGCCAACATGGTGAAACCTCATCTCTATTAAAAATACAAAAATGAGTCAGGCATGGTGGCAGAGACCTGTAATCTCAGCTACTCGGGAGGCTGAGGGAGGAGAATGGCTTGAGCCCAGGAGCTGGAGGTTGCAGTGAGCCGAGATTGCACCACTGCACTCCAGCCTGGGCGACTGAGTGGAGCGGAACTCTGTCTCCAAAAAAAAAAAAAAAAAGAGTTTTTTTTTAGATCATCAGCTATTGTTAGTGTTAGTGTATGTTATGTGTGGCTCAAGACAACTTTGTTTCTTTTAATATAGGCAGGGAAGTGAAAAGATTGGATATCCCTGCTTTATACCAAGAAAGACAACACCCCACATTTGCAATGCCTAAAAACACTACCAGCCATCTGAAAAACATGAGACTTCTAACTTCTGTTCTTTTTTGTAGCAGTGGAATCCCATGGTGATATCTGAGGGATGTGGTTACCTTTTGGAGGAGGTTGACGGTTTCTAAGGATGATTCTTTCTGAGTGAAATATTGTCGGTGTCATTGACCTTTTCATTATTTCAACTATTATTATTCCAGGTTATCAATAGTCTGGCTGTCTATCGTCATCGTGAGACTGACTTTGGTGTAGGAGTTCGAGACCACCCTGGCCAACATGGCAAAACCCCATCTCCACAAAAATTGGATAATTTGATAATTATCATTATTGGGTTTCTGAGATGTTACACATTTAACATTCTCTTCTGCACAAGTTGCCTTTGTGTGAGTATACTAACTTTCTGTAGAGGTATACTTGTAATCACAAATAAGAATAAATTATATAAAACAATTCACGTTTCTGGACTTCATTATGAATATGTGGTTTTACCCAAAAAATCAGGGAAATGATTTATTAGCATAAGAATTATGAAAATGTCTGCCATTTACATTATGAAAATTAAATAGGTCGGTGTTTGTTTAATAGAATGTCAACAGAGCTTTTGGTCAAAAATAAGTTTTTTTAGCCTTTGTGCTATTTATCACAAATGGAGTATGAGGTTTCGTCACTTAAATAGGAAATTCTTTCTAAACTCTTCTGCTTTATAGTTCTATCGTATGGGTGGAAGGAAAGCTTCCAATCTCCTCTCTGAAGATTCACTGCAGAAATGAGCTGACAACAGACAGCTTAACAGGAAAAGAAAAACATAGAACAGGCATAAACATGGGAACCAGCTGAAAAATGAGACTGCTAGAAGGGCCGGATGGTTGATGCTTAAAGAGCACCCTCTTCTGAGGGGAGAGGGAGATAGATGGAGATGTAGGCCATTTAGAGGGGCAGCAAATGATTTTTAGGGGAAATGAAAGAGGCCAAGGAACAAACAATTGGCCTGAGACAAAGTTCCTCTGAGGTCATAGGGACGAGGTGACAAACTGCCGGAAGGTGAAGGGCAGAACTGCACTGCGTCTCATGATGCAGAGAAAGCCCCAGAGAATCTCTTAGAACTGCCCTCCAAGAGAATCAATGAAAAGTGTGTCTGGGCAGGGTAATTTTGAATGACATCATTCAAAGTGCATGTTCCCACTTGCAACTGGAGAGAGATCAGTATGTCAAAAGTCTGTACTTGGTAAGAATTTGGCTGCTAAGTTGTGCCATAATTTGTCTTTTGAGCCTTTTTTCCTTTGGGTAAGTTGAGCTCTACATTTTGTCTTGCCATTCATGACAGTAAAAATGTGGTTGTCTGGGGGCTGAACCTCCTTCTGAACAATGATCCAAGATAAAAGTACTAATACCACAATGCTTTTTTATATTCAAGGGAAGAGGAAGTATGTTTCAGTTTTACCACCTAGATAATTACACGTCATTTGGCACTGCCTTTCAAGATATGTAGAAAACAGAAAATATATGAGTTATGAAGATATCTAGGCACACTTAACATTCTCTATGCCACTTAGTCCTGAACAGAGAATTTTTGGTATAAATTGGAGGAAGCTTTTTTTTTTTTTTTTCCTTTTCTCACCCCCGAGACGAGTCTCCCTCTGTTGCCCAGGCTGGAGTATAATGGTGTGATCTCGGCTCACTGCAACCTCCACCTCCTGGCTTCAAGCGATTCCCCTGCCTCAGCCTCTCAAGTAGCTGGGATTACAGGTGCCCACCACCATGCCCAGCAAATTTTTGTATTTTTAGTAGAGTCGGGGTTTTACCATGTTGGCCAGGCTAGTCTCAAAACCCGACCTCAAATGATCCACCCGCCTCAGCCTCCCAAAGTGCTGGGATTACAAGCGTGAGCCACCACGTGAGCCAGGGGAAGTTTTTAAACTTACCACTTTTTAACAGTTCCATTTAGGAAAGTTCAGTTGAGCTGCTGGACTTGGACAACTTCGCACCTCTCATCTTTGTCCTTGTCATCTAGTCATCTATACCATTACCTCCTAAGCAGGGACATCATGGGTGCCATGAAGCATTCATGCGTGATGGCATTTCTTTGCTTGTCATTTCTTCATGTGTTTGACATTTCTCCTAGCTCCAAACTGGGCCAGCTACCTTTCCTGTGAAATCTAGTAGTAGCTGTGGGATTGACGTGGTTGCTCTTTTCATCTTTTTAGATTACCCATTGCTTCTCTCGAAATCCTAGTACATGATTTTTTTTTTTATCCTATGTGCAGAAATCAGGAAAAAACAAATTCTACAAAGAATTTGAAAGATATTATTTCAGGCCAGGTGTGGTGGCTCATGCCTGTAATCCCAGCACTTTGGGAGGCTGAGGCAGGTGGATGACTTGAGGTCAGGAGTTCAAGACCAGATGGGCCAACATGGTGAAACCCCATCTCTACTAAAAAGACAAAAATTAGCCAGGCATGGTAGCAGGCACCTGTAATCCCAGCTACTTGGGAGGCCGAGGCACAAGAATCGCTTGAATCTGGGAGGTGGAGGTTGCCGTGAGCCAAGGTAGTGCCACTGCACTTCAGCATGGTTGAGAGTGACACTCCATCTCAAGAAAAAAGTCATTTCAATGACTACCTCAGGAGATTCATAGGTATCTGACCCACATCTGAGATGGGATTTGCATTGCATTTTCGCTATGATGAGAACAAATATTTAATATCTTAGAAGATTAAAAGCATACTGTGATAATATGGAAATCTTGGTGGGAATTCAGTCATTAGTGAGAATGTTTTGCGTTAAGTTCAAACCAGCCTCAATGAAGCTGATGTGAGGGAAGGGAAAGTGAACTCTGAGTAGAGCAGGGACAGAAGGAAGATGCTCCAGTGCAGATCAGGAAGGAGCAGGGGGTGAAATGTTACAAATTCTAGAACTCAGAGAGCTGAAGGTAATTACTTCCTTTTCAAGTTGTGAAACATGTTAACCTGTGGTAAAATACTTATAAGATGATAATTACCATCTAACCGTGTTGAAGTGTACAGTTCAGTTGTGTGAAGTATATTCATGTCATTTTTTTTTTTTTTTTTTGAGACGGAGTCTCACTCTGTCACCAGGCTGGAGTGCAGTGGTGGGATCTTGGCTCACTGCAACCTCTGCCTCCTGGGTTCAAGCAGTTCTCCTGCCTCAGCCTCCCGAGTAGCTGGGACTACAGGCGTGCATCACCATGCTCAGCTAATTTTTGTATTTTTAGTAGAGACGGGGTTTCACCATGTTGCCCAGGATGGTCTCCATCTCTTGACCTTGTGATTCACCCGCCTCAGCCTCCCAAAGTGCTGGGATTATAGGCGTGAGCTACCGCACCTGGGCTATTTTTTTTTTTTTTTTTTTTTTTTTTGAGACAGAGTTTCAATTTTGTTGCCCAGGTTTGGAGTGCAATGGCACAATCTCAGCTCACCACAACCTTTTCCTGCTGGGTTCAAGTGATTCTCCTGCCTCAGCCTCCTGACTAGCTGGGACTACAGGCATGCACCACCATGCCTGGCTAATTTTGTATTTTTAGCAGAGACAGCGTTTCTCCATGTTGGTGAGGCTGGTCTCAAACTCCCGACCTCAGGTGATCCGCCTGCCTCGGCCTCCCAAAGTGCTGGGATTACAGGAGTGAGCCACCGTGCCAGCCTCATGTCATTCTTGTGTGTGTGTGTGTGTGTGTGTGTGTGTGTGTGTGTGTGTGAGAGACAGAGTCTCATTCTGTCGCTCAGGCTGGAGTACAGTGGTGTGATCTCGGCTCACTGCAACCTCCGCCTCCCAGCTTCAAATGGTTCTCTGCCTCAGCCTCCCGAGTAGCTTGGATTACAGGCGCCCGCTGCCATGCCTGGCTAATTTTTGTATTTTTAGTAGAGACAGGGTTTCACCATCTTGGCCAGGCTGGTCTTGAACTCCTGACCCCGTGATCCACCTGCCTCGGCCTCCCAAAGTACTGGGATTATTTATACGCATGAGCCACCGTGCCCAGCCGTCATTCTTATATTATTATTTCCTAGGTGTCTTTCCTGAAGACTATCTTCTGGTCTCGAAATGGACATGATGGATCCATGGATGTACAGCAGAGAGCCTGGAGGTCCAACCGCAGTAGACAGAAAGGTATGGCTCTGTTGGAGTCCCCATAGTGTGGAAATGAGTTTGCCCTGGAAAGGGAAAGAACAGCTTCTTGACCTCAGGTTTCTCACCTTCTCCTCTCCTCACTCTCACCAAGGGCTGAGGTCCATTTGTATGCACACAAAGAAAAGAGTTTCTTCCTTTCGAGGAAATAAAATTGGCCTGAAAGACGTCATTACTCTACGGAGGCATGTGGAAACAAAAGTTAGAGCTAAAATCCGTAAGAGGAAGGTGACAACGAAAATCAACCGTCATGACAAAATCAATGGAAAGAGGAAGACCGCCAGAAAACAGTAAGATGTGCCTTGACACAAATACTGTTGTATGAACCATGTGCCAATCAAAGTAGACAACTGTAAAGTCCTTGAGAATATTTTCTACAATATTTGTGGCAAATTCAGTGGGCTCAAAATTGAGTTTGTCCTTTCTGCTTCATTAGTTTAAGCTGTATAATTCCTTTCCCTTCCTACATTCTTGTTTGTAATTTTTTCGGGGGAAGAGGAGTTGCTAGTACTGGCATTGGTTTTCCTTTCTCTCTTTTTTTTTTTTTTTTCCTGAGATGGAGCTTTGCTGTTGTTGCCCAGGCTGTAGTGCAATGGCACAATCTCAGCTCACTGCCTTTTGGCTTCAAGCAATTCTCCTGTCTCAGCCTCCCAAGTAGCTGGGATTACAGGTGCCCACCACCATGCCCAGCTAATTTTTGTATTTTTACTAGAGATGGGGTTTCACCATGTTGTCCAGGCTGGTCTCGAACTTCTGACCTCAGGTAATCCACCTGCCTCAGCCTCCCAAAGTGCTGGGATTAGAGGTGTGAGCCACCACACCCAGGCTTTTTTTTTTTTTTTTTTTAATTTTGAGATAGAATCTCGCTCTGTCGCCCAGGCTGGAGTGCTATGGTGCAATCTTGGCTCACTGCAACCTCTGCCTCCCAGTTTGAAGCAATTCTGCCTCAGCTTCCTGAGTAGCTTGGATTACAGGTGTGTGCCACCACATTCGGCCAATTTTTTTTTTTTTTTTTTGAGACAGAGTCTCACTCTGTCACCCAGGCTAGAGTGCAGTGGCATGATCTTGGCTCACTGCAACCTCCGCCTCCCAGGTTCAAGTGATTCTTATCCCTCAGCCTCTTGAGTAGCTGGGACTACAGGCATATGCCACCATGCCCGGATAATTTTTGTATTCTTAGTAGAGGCATAGACTTAGTAGAGTAGTTCTAGACCATATTGGCCAAGCTGGTCTAGAACTCTGGACATCATGATCCACACACCTCGGCCTCCCAATGTGCTGGGATTACAGGCGTGAGCCACCGTGCCCGGCCCAATTTTTGTATTTTTAGTAGAGACAGGGGTTCACCATGTTGGCCAGGCTAGTCTTGAACTCCTGACCTCAGGTGATCTGCCTACCTCAGCCTCCCAGTGTGAGCCACCGCACCCAGCCTGGATTGTTGAATTCAATGCTTGGGTCACCTCCAGATTCATTTTCACAGTCTTTCATGTTTTGGTCATATTACATTGTATTTTGCTGCCATATGACTGATCTCTTTTTGTTAAATGTGAGATACTCGTTAAAAAATATTTAGCAATGAATTGAGGCCTAGTGGCATGTTATCTTGCTGCAGAAGAGATGGGAGTCTACTTCTGGGGGATGGTCACGGGTCCTCCATACAGGCTGCAATTGAGGTCATCGGTGCAGGCTCAGTCCCTACAAAGGCCAGGGTATTTCCTGTCCACCTCTATTCTGATGCATGACTCTTCTGGGTCTCAACCAGAGCCAGTGGACTTCAGTACGGGTCGCTTTCATTGGCAGACCCTCAATCCACTTGTTTTCCATCTAATCCCACGCATGTGTGCAAAAGCTGCTGTGCTTCTTTGCATCTCAGTAGTTCCTTCTGGAATTCAGCAATGAAACTCAGGGAAATGGGTTCCAAATGCGAGGCTGACTTTCGTCCTGGGTTTCCTTCTTCTCCATCTTCACCTCATGTCTGTTTACTGCCATGTTAGCAATTTGATGTATTCAATCATGGGTTTTATATTCTGTTTGGTGTCCCCCATTGTTCTCATCGGAGATCAGAAGCTTCAGATGCACTTATGTCAACTCAAGAGTAGAATGCTTCCTTAGCTTCCCTCCAGAGTCAGGTTTTGTGTTTCTAGTTCCCAAGTGGACAGCAGGAGTAGTGATGTCCTCACTGGCTTCTCATTTGCATTAAGCTGTGAGCTTCTTTACCGTGGGGACAGGACCCTGCTCCCATTGCATTCTCAGCACCACACCACACACTCCTTGTTGGAGGCCACTCCAGACAGCATGTGCTGAAGGATGCCCTGTGGTCAGAAACAAGTTCATTAACTTTCTCTTTGAAGTGTTTTCGCCCCTGTTTCCTAGCGTTCTGGGAATTTTACACATCCTTCCTATAAAACCAAGTATCAGGTGAGATCCTTAGGATCAGGACCATGAATCAAGTGGTGTGAGGGCAACACAGCAAACTTACCCTTTTTAGGCCATTTCCTTTTTCTGCCCTCAATGTCTGTGAAGTGAACCTTGTTAAAGTCAGTCAACACCAGGGTGGATGGTTTGCCGTTGTCACCTATTTTCAGGACATAACACCCTGACTTAGGAGCCATTCCGATCATTTCTAATTCAATAGATGCGCCCAGCATTCAGATTGCCTTTTCTCTCAACCAGGATCTTTAAAGTCGATGACAAGAGTTCCAGTCCTGAATCATGGCAAAGTGCAGTAGTGAACTGCGGGGTTAATGACACCATATTCTGGAAGGATCTCTCTATGGCTGATGGTCTCAGTTCTGGCATCAGCCTCTGACTGAGAAGCAGGTCTCACACAGGAAGAGTCAGATGAGGAGCAATCCTCTGCTTCCGATGGAGTTAGTTGTGATGAGTTGGTGAGGTCTGGTTTTTCACACTGAACTAAAATGATCTTTCGCTGTGTCAAGCACAAGACTGACCCCAGAGACACACATAGTGCACCTCATAGAAGCTTTTAATAGTCTTTATATTTACTAAAGAATAGGACTAACTATGGAACTATGAAGATGAGCTGGAAATGACAGGTGACTTGCCAGCAGGCCAGAGTGTGATTTTTTTTGGTCCCTCAATGGGAGGTGTCCATTCTCCCTTCGGTTGTGAGAATCAGTTGGTTCATTTGTGGGAAGGTTGCAGGGGGGATCTTTGAATCACAGCCTTCAGATGCCAGAAGGGCAGAGGGAATCCCACATGGACTGGTGGATCATGTGTGTGCATTTCTCTCCCTTCTAACCTGAGGAAACTAAGCATGAAAGAATGTGAGCACGCAGAAAAGGAGAGGCAGGTATCAGAGGCAGAGGAAAATGGGAAATTGGATATGAAAGAAATACACACCTACAAGTGAGTTCAGAAACTGAACCCCACCCTCCTGGGAAACGCCCATTGGAGTGCTGTTTTTAACCTCTGTACAATGTTTAGACCCAGTAAATGCAGAAATAGAAACAAACGGTCAGAAGACATATCGTGAGAGAGAGAGAGAGAGTTCACAAAACAGAAAACAAAGTACCTTAATATTTACCAGTGACCAAAAGATGTGAAGTAGCAAAACGGCTCCTGACCCCATTACCAGCTAGACTGTGTGGAAACTCGGTTCATACCAGCCATTCTAGGGGTGGGGTGAGTTGTTGTCATCCTTAGGAAAGTGTGTTGTTGTAGGATCAACCACATCCTTCAAAAGGACTATGCCTGTTTATAAGCCCAGCTGTTTCTGCCCTGTGAAACACGGTGAGGATATTAATACAAAGAGAATACAGCTTTATGATAAAAGATGCTCAATGAAGGATGAATTAGGGATATACTGAGAATGGGGAAGGAAACTATCATCTCAGAAGTCAACAGGCAGTAAGCAAGAGGAGGAATCAATACAGCAACAGTTTGGATCAGACCGTACAGTTTTTTTGTTTTTGTTTTTGTTTTTGTTTTTCTGAGATGGAGTCTCGCTGTGTCACCCAGGCTGGAGTGCAATGACGTGATCTTGGCTCACTGCAACCTCCGCCTCCCAGGTTCAAGTGATTCCCCTGCCTCAGCCTCCCGAGTAGCTGGGATTACAGGTGCCTGCCACCACGCCCGGCTAATCTTTTGTATTTTTAGTAGAGACGGGGTTTCACCGTATTAGCCAGGATGGTCTCAATCTCCTGACCTCGTGATCCATCCGCCTCGCCCTCCCAGAGTGCTGGGACTACAGGCATCAGCCACCGTGACCGGCTCAGACTGTACTCTTATAGCCATCTGAAATACGTTTTCTAGGTAGAGATAGATTGTGTAAGGGTACAGTTGTGAGGATAACAGAAACATGGCAGATTATTTAAAATCATCCTGAACGTGGTGCTTTATCTGATGAAAGTGATTGTAATCCATAGGAAAATGTTTCAACGTGCGCAAGAGTTGCGGCGGCGGGCAGAGGACTACCACAAATGCAAAGTAAGGAGCTTCCTCCCCGCAGTTGCAGGATAGTTCAGTGCTGATGCAGATGATGCCACGGCTCTTAGACTCTCTCAACATTCAATTTCTCATGTGTTGGCTTTTTCAGATCCCCCCTTCTGCAAGAAAGCCTCTTTGCAACTGGGTAAGTTTGTTTGTTTTCCTTGCTTTTGAACATAGTCTGCCAGGTCAGGACATGGATACATTTTTCTCCCTACAGCTCTGTGCTCAAGCCCTGCAGAGGGAGATGGCAGAGAGGAAGGCTGCCTACAGGCATCACAGTCCCATCCCTGTTGGTAACCGTGTTGTGCAAAAACACCTTCATCCCCACCCAGTGGGGCCCCTGATCTAAATTCAAAGTGTCAGAGGTTCCATATTTGTAATAGCAAATGGGCCCTGACTGTAAATTAGTGAAGAGTGAATGTAACTTATTACCCACAGGGACAATTCCAAATGAAGGCCTTAAATGATGCTCAGCTAAGCTGGTTCTTGTGTGGCCTCTGTACCTTCAAAAGCTGCCAAGTCCTATGATTACACGTGATGGGACTTGTACACTTGAAGTGAAACACAGTTTTAAAACTTGCTTTGTTTAGAATTCCCACCTCATTTTTCCATGGACAAAAGTATTCTTTATGTCCTAGTGCACTTACAATTTGGTATTACCTGGGAGTGAAAAGAAATATTACAGCCATGCCTAAGTGACTTCTTGAGGTGAGATTGTTCTGTCAGAAAACCCTCTCCCAGTTCCCCTGCAGCTCTTCAGGAATCCACATCTCTCCAGAGCTCTTTGTTCTCATGGGTGGCACCTCCAGAGTGAAGAAGTTCCTTTGTCAAGAAGGGAAACAGAGGGGAAATGAGAGGGTCCTGCAGGCAGAGCTGGAATCAACTTCCACTCTGCCTCTTGCAAGCTGTGTGACCCTGGGCACAATTTCTCCTTCCTCTGGAAACCTCTGTTTTCTTAGATTTGGAGCAGGGTGGTCACACTGACCTTGCAGAGTTCTGAGAGTCAGAGACAGAACATGAAAGGCCTGGAAAACATTCTCCAAAAAGAAGCTGCAACATGTGTGGACAATGGGCTTTTCATGCCTCTCTTACTGTCTCTTACTGTCTGTTGACCTGGTGCAAGAAACATGCTCTGGTGATGGCTGTGAGGGAGGAATGAGGATAGACATAGACACTCCTGTGTCTCAAACATGCTTCTTTATTACTCTGTTATGACTCTGTCTTCCCTGGGGCAGGACCCCAGCCTGCCTACATTTGCAGACAGACACAGTGGCATGTGGAGACAACAGTGTGTCCCAATGACTTTCCTTTACCCTCCAGCTGTCGGCAGTACTCAGTGGAAGGGTGATATTATGACACTGATACTGCTATTTTGAAACCTGGAGGATGGAAAGGTGCAAAAATCTATCACCAGCAACAGAAGGTGCAGACTGTGTTGGTGGTGGTAATTTTGTCCATCAAATGAATATGTGTGAAAACATTCCCTCCTTTGGCCCTACAGGTCAGAATGGCGGCAGCGGAGCATCGTCATTCTTCAGGATTGCCCTACTGGCTCTACCTCACAGCTGAAACTTTAAAAAACAGGATGGGCCGCCAGCCACCTCCTCCAACTCAACAACATTCTATAACTGATAACTCCCTGAGCCTCAAGACACCTCCTGAGTGTCTGCTCACTCCCCTTCCACCCTCAGTGGATGATAATATCAAGGAGTGTCCTCTTGCTCCTCTTCCACCCTCTCCTCTTCCACCCTCAGTGGATGATAATCTGAAGGAATGTCTCTTTGTCCCGCTTCCACCCTCTCCTCTTCCACCCTCAGTGGATGATAATCTGAAGGAATGTCTCTTTGTCCCGCTTCCACCCTCTCCTCTTCCACCCTCAGTGGATGATAATCTCAAGACTCCTCCCTTAGCTACTCAGGAGGCCGAGGTGGAAAAACCACCCAAACCCAAGAGGTGGAGGGTGGATGAGGTGGAACAATCGCCCAAGCCCAAGAGGCAGAGGGAGGCCGAGGCACAACAATTACCCAAACCCAAGAGGCGGAGGTTGAGTAAGCTGAGAACACGCCATTGCACTCAAGCCTGGGCAATAAGAATAAATCCGTAGGTCGAAAAAAAGAAAAAAATCAAAAAACAAAACAAAACCCACGCTCCAAAAACAAACTAACGAAGAATAAATAAATAATATAAAAATAAAATAAATACTGCAGTCCTTATGTTATTGCTTTGTTTCAATATCTGGTATGATTGCCTGAGGGACCTGAGGTTTTTAATTAATTGTAGGGTTTTTTTTTTAATCTTTAGAAGTGGTTGGTTATGTAAAATATTATTATTATTATTATTATTTTTTGAGACTGGGTTTTGCTCTGTCACCCAGGCTGGAGTGCAGTGGCTCGATCACAGCTCACTGCAGCCTCAACCTCCTGGGCTTCAAGCAATCCTCCTGCCTCAGCCTCCCAAGTAGCTGGGATCACAGATGTATGTGTGCCACCACGCCTGGCCAATGTTAAAAAATCCTTTAACTTTTTTGTAGAGATGCACTCCTGGACTCAAGCGATCCTCCTACTGGTCCCGACCACCAGCCTCTTTCTGATAAACATTTACACTGTTTATTATCTGATGCCATTTCTATCTTCTTCCTTGTCGTCCAGACATCAAAGAATTAGGTTTCTTCAGGGTTTTCTTTTTCAAGTCCTCATTGTTAAAGATCACTCACATTAGGGCCAGACACCACGACTCATGCCTGTAATCCCAGCACTTTGGGAGGCCGAGGCGGGCAGAGCACTTGAGGTGGGGAGTTTGAGACCAGCCCGGCCAACTTGGTGAAACCCCACCTCTACTGAAAAACATACAAAAATTAGCTGGGCGTGATGGTGCATGCCTGTAGTCCCAGCCACTTGGGAGGCTGAGGCATGAGAATCGCTTGAACCCAGGAGGCAGAGGTTGTAGTGAGCCAAGATCACATCAGCACACTCTAGCCTGGGTGACAGAGCGAGACTCTGACTCAAAAAATAAATAAAATAAATATCACTTACATTAGATATACCCAAGGGGTGTTCTATAGAGAGTTGGAAGCAGTGGTTATTGCAACAGGGGCACGGAAGTCATCTGGCTATGCCAGGGTGCCCAGGGGATACTCGGGGTGGGTGGCATGGTGCTGCTGGGGACTCATCGCACAGGACGCTCTGATTGACGCACTGCCAGGAGTAGCGCTCTGTCTTGGGGCTGCAGCCGGCCTCCTCAGCTCGAGTGTAACAACAGTCGTGGCCATGGCAGCACCTGCGGATGTCACATGGGCAGGACAGCAGGTGGGTGAAGCTCTCTCCTGGCCCTCCTCTCTTGCCAGGACCATGGGTGACTGAAGACCCCCAGGGAGGCACAGCATCCTCTTATCTAAGATTTTTTTTTTTTTTTTTTTTTTTTTTTTTTTTTTAAGAGACAGGGTCTTTCTCTGTCGCCCAGGCTGGACTGCAGAGGCACAATCATAGCTCACGGCAGCCTTGAACTCCTGGGCTCAAGCGATCCTCCTACTTCAGTGTCCCAAGTAGCTGAGACTACAGGCACACGCCAGCATGCCCGGCTGGTTTTTTAATTTGTATTTCCTTTGAGACAGCGTATCTCTCTGTTGCTCAGGCTGGGGTGCAATGGCTCCATCAGCTCACTTTAGCCTTGAACTCCCGGGCTCAAGTGATACTGCCACCTCAACTTCCCAAGTATGCTACTACAGGAACACAAACTCCTTTTTTAAATTTTTTGTGGATATGGGGTCTATGTTGCCTAGGCTGGTCTTGAACTCCCAGGCTCAAGCAGTCCTCCTACCTCAGCCTCTCCAAATGCTGGGATTACAGGTGGGAGCTACTGTATGCCTGGCCTTATCTAAGCTGTTTCCCTGAAAATCCCCGACTTCGATAATGATTCCATTGGCCCCACCATGCCCTGTCCTGCCTTCCTGGCTGTGCCCAAGCTTGGTCCCTGCCTGCCTGCCTCACTCTCTGGGTCTCGAGCTCCTGTGACACATGACTCCTCTCTCTTCCTGGAGTGATCCAAGCCCTGCCACTTCCTGACTTTGCCCACACTGTACCCTCTGCCTGGGGCAACTTCATGTCTGCCCATTGTCCCTTAGGCCTCAGCCCAGGCACAAGCCCCTGCCTCCGGAGGTCATCCAGGCCTCACCAGGCTACACCCTCTCGTAAAATTGGATTCCCTCCCTTCAGGGCAGGTTTATAATGAAATCCTCCTCAGAGGCCAGGTGCGGTGACACGCATCTGTAATCCCAGCACTTTGGGAGGCTGAGGTGGGAGGATCACTTGAGGCCAGGGGGTCGAGACCAGCCTGGGCAACATAAGAGAGACTCTTGTCTCTATAACAAATTTAAAAATTAGCTCACCAGGCCAGGCTCAGTGGCTCATGCCTGTAATCCCAACACTTTGAGAGGCCGAGGCAGGTGGATCACGAGGTCAGGAGTTCGAGAGCAGCCTGACCAACACGGCGAAACCCTGTCTCTACTAAAAATACAAAATTAGCCAGGCATGGTGGCACGCACCTGTAATCCCAGTTACTCGGGAGGCTGAGGTAGGAGAATTGCTTGAACCCAGGAGGTGGAGGTTGCGGTGAGCCAAGATCATGCCACTGCAGTCCAGCCTGAGCAACAGAGCAAGACTCTGTCTCAAGACAATAAAAACACACAAAAAATTAACTCGCCATGATGGCACATGCCTATAGTCCTAGCTACTTGGGAGGCTGACGTGGGAGGATTCCCTTCAGCCCAGGAGTTTGAGGCTGCAGTGAGCCACTATGATTGTGCCACTGCACTCTAACCTGGGCAAAAGCGAGACCCCAGGCTAGAGTGCATGATTTGGGGTCACTGCAACCTCCACCTCCCAGGTTCAAGTGGTTCTCCTGCCTCAGCCTCTTGAGTAGCTGGGACTACAGGCATGTGCCACCACGCCTGGGTAATTTTTGTATTTTTAGTAGAGACAGGGTTTAGTAGAGACCATGGTGAAACCCCGTCTCTATAAAACAAATCTCTATTAACCCCATCTCTACAAAAAACAGCTGGGCGTGGTAGTGCACACCTGTAATTCCAGCTACTTGGGAGGCTGAGGCACGAGAATCATTTGCATCTTGGAGGCAGAGTTTGCAGTGAGCTGAGATCGCACCACTGCACTCCAGCCGGGATGACAGAGCAAGACCCTGTCTCAAAAAAAAGAAAAAGGAACAAACAACAGCAACAACAAAAAAACCTCTGTGTCAATCACAGCCTTCAAGCTAGGGGAGAGGCGGCCGAATTCTGCCCTCTGCTAACTAACTATAGCTTTGTGGAAATGGGCGAGTGGCATGCCCCTGTGAGCCTCAGGGCCCCATCTGTAAAATGGGCATAACTGTCATGCCCGTCTTTAAGAACAGCCTTGGGGGTAAATGAGTGGAACTCATGGAAAGATCTCAGCCCACAACCTTCCACAGAACAGGCGCTTCTCACACAGTAAGTAGCAGGAGTGCAGAGGCTGCAGGCATGAATCCAGCCAGACTGCCTGGGTTCAAGTCCCAGCTCCCACGTCTTGGTAACTAAGTGGCCTCAGACAAGTTACTTAATATTTCTTTTTTTTTTTTTTTTTCAGAAGGAGTTTTGCTCTGTCACCCAGGTTGGAGTGCAGTGGTGTGATCTCGGTTCATTGCAACCTCTGCCTCCCGGGTTCAAGCAATTCTCCTGCCTCAGCTTCCTGAGTAGCTGGAATTACAGGCACCTGCCACCACACACAGCTAATTTTTGTATTTTTAGTAGAGACGGGGTTTCACCATGTTGGCCAGGATGGTCTCGAACTCCTGACCTCATGATCTGCCTGCCTCAGCCTCCCAAAGTACTGGGATTACAGGCGTGAGCCACCGCACCTGGACACGTTACTGAATATTTCTGTGCCTAGGTTTCTTCATCTGTGAAATGGGATTGTTGTGAGAACACAAAGGGATTCCCAGGGCAGTTCCTAGTGCATAGTCTGGCTGCCTTTGTGTGTGTGTGTGTGTGTGTGTGTGTGTGTGTGTGTGTTTGTGTTTAATATAGAGACAGGGTCTCACTCTGTTGCCTAGGCTCGTTTCAAACTCCTGGGCTCCAGTGATCCTCCTGCCTCGACCCAAAGTGGTGGGATTACAGGCATGAGTCAACACACCTGGCCACTTTATATTATTATTATTTTTTTCTTTTGAGACAGGGTTTGGCACTGTTGTCCAGGTTGGAATACAGCGGTGCAATCTCAACTCACTGCAAACTCCACCTCCCGGGTTCAAGCAATTCTCCTGCCTCAGTCTCCCGAGTAGCTGAGATTACAGACGCCTGCCACCACACACAGCTAATTTTTGCATTTTTAGTAGAGATGGGGTTTCACCATATTGGCCAGGCTGGTCTTGAACTCCTGACCTCAAGTGATCTGCCCGCCTCGGCCTCCCAAAGTGCTGGGATTACAGGAGTTAGCCACCGCTCCTGGCCAATTTTTTAAGGCAACGTTTTCAGCCCATGGCCAGGGTAAGGGGCAGCTGGTACCAAGATCTGGCTTCACTGGCCATGTTATCCAAGAGGCCTCTGCCTGCCTGCAAAGTAGTACTGCACACTGGGATCTCCCTGGACCAAATCCCAGCTTCAGTTTTGGGTACTTCCTCATAAGCCTTGACTACCCCAGAGTGTGAGGGATTTTGTAGCCTGGTCCCAGGCATGCACTCACCAGTCAATGGCATCGCAGGGCTGGCCATGGCCTCCCAAGCCACAAAAGGAACCATATTTCGTATAGGCGATGGGAGTCTAGGGACCAACACAACCCACAATTCCTGCCAGTTCCAGGATCCCACGCCGGTGCACACATAATATCCTGGAGGCTGGGGGGTAAACGAAGGTGACAGGCTGCAGGTCAGGGCTTCCCAGACCCCTGGGAAGGGCATGAGCCTGAGAAGAGCCTAGGTGTTACAGCCTGGCTGTCTGGGTTTGAATCCTACTTCCTAGCTGTGTGACCTTGGATGAATTCCTAACCTCTCTGGGCCTTGGTTTCCTCATCTGTGAAATGGGGGATAAGCTGATTTCAACTCATATGAATGAAATGAGATAATGAGTATAAAGCCCCTGGTGCATGAAAAGGCTATTATAATCCGGCTGGGCTCAGTGGCTCACACCTGTAATCCCAAGACTTTGGGAGGCCCAGGTGGGCAGATCACCTGAGGTCAGCAGTTCAAGATCAGCCTGGCCAACATGGTGAAACCCCATCTGTAGTAAAAATACAAAAATTAGCTGAGCCTAGTGGTGCACACCGGTAATCCCAGCTACTAGGGAGGCTGAGGAAGGAGAGTCACTTGAACCTGAGAGGTGAAGATTGCAGTGAGCCAAGATTTTGCCACTGCATTCCAACCTGGACGACAGAGCAAGAGTCTCAAAAAAAGAAAAAGAAAAAAAGGATAACTATTATAATCAAGGTCCTCAAGGTAGCCAAGAAGGGAAAAAAGAGTCGTGCATGAAACGTTTGTCCAGTTCCCTGTGTTGGGCACTGGGCATCACGGATGTGCCTACAGGTGTCTGTCACCAAGATGGGCTCCTCTGTGGCAGCTCCCGGGCCCTGGCACTGCCCTGTGCTCATGACTTCCCCTCCAGACTCAGGGCCCTTGGTATCTCCTCTTATTTTCACTGCCAGACAGGAAGGCCCCTTGGCCTGAGTCCAGCCATTTTTCTAGATCCTGGCACAGCTTGGACATGTAATGGTGCCCAACGCATGTGACTGGAACCCCTGCATTGGACATGAAGGAAACGAGGCCAGCTGGGAAAGGTAACCCCACATTCCCACAGCCAGCAGGAACCCAAGCAGAGGCTTCAACCCAGGCTTCTGACTTGCAAAGCAGTGCTCCTTCCTCCTTACACAGTAACAACAGGGGAAGGTGGCCTTCCGGGTTGCCAGAGCCGAGTGGTACCAGCAATAGAGTGGAAACTCACACACAGGCTTGCCTGCTTCCTGGGTTAGGGTTAGGGTTTATATGGCTCCGGGAGGTTGATGCATTGTGTTTGATCTTCCCCCTTTTTTTTTTTTTTGAGACAGAGTCTCATTCCTGTTGCCCAGGCTGGAGCACAGTGGTGTAATCTTGCTCACAGCAACTTCTGCCTCCCAGGTTCAAGCAATTGTCCCGCCTCAGCCTCCCGAGTAGCTGGGATCACAGGTGTGCGCCACCACACCCAGCTGATTTTTGTATTTTTAGTAGAAACGGGGTTTCACCATCTAGGCCAGGCTGGTCTTGAACTCCTGACCTCATATGATCCACCTGGTTTGGCCTCCCAAAGTGCTGGGATTATAGGCGTGAGCCACTGCGCTCATCCTGATCATCTCGTCTCTCTTTTTTTTTTTAGAGACAGGGTCTCACTCTGTCACCCACACTGGAGTGCAGTGGCACAATCATAGCTCACTGCAGCCTCCAAATCCTGGGCTCAAGCGATCCTCCTGCCTCAGCCTCCAGACATATGGGCATGCACCACCATGCCCAGCTAATTTTTAAATTTTTAGTAGATCTGGGGTCTCACTATGTTGCCCAGGCTGTTCACAAACTCCTGGCCTCAAGTGATTCTCCTGCCTTGGCCTCCGAAGGCGCTGGGATTTCAGGCATGAGCCACCATGCCCAGTCTCATTTCTGTTTTATCTAGAACATGTTTTCATCACACTGACTTTTTTGAGAAGTCCAGGCCAGATTTAAATTCCATTTTGTCTTTTTATCGGTGGAAAAGTAGCATATTTATGTTGCAGGACAAAGATGAATCAAATAGGAAGAAAATGTAAAACACATTTGGGGCCAGGCACAGTGGCTCATGCCTGTAATCCCAGCACTTTGGGAGGCCAAGGTGGGCAGATCACCTGAAGTCAGGAGTTCCAGACCAGCCTGACCAACATGGAGAAACCATGTTTTTTTTTTTTTTTTTTTTTTTTTTTTTTTTTTTTTTATTGACCATTCTTGGGTGTTTCTCGCAGAGGTGGATTTGGCAGGGTCATAGGACAATAGCGGAGGGAAGGTCAGCAGATAAACAAGTGAACAAAGGTCTCTGGTTTTCCTAGGCAGAGGACCCTGCGGCCTTCTGCAGTGTTTGTGTCCCTGGGTACTTGAGATTAGGGAGTGGTGATGACTCTTAACGAGCATGCTGCCTTCAAGCATCTGTTTAACAAAGCACATCTTGCACCACCCTTAATCCGTTTAACCCTGAGTGGACACAGCACATGTTTCAGAGAGCACAGGGTTGGGGTAAGGTCACAGATCAACAGGATCCCAAGGCAGAAGAATTTTTCTTACTACAGAACAAAATGAAAAGTCTCCCATGTCTACTTCCTTCTACACAGACACGGCAACCATCCGATTTCTCAATCTTTTCCCCACCTTTCCCCCCTTTCTATTCCACAAAACCGCCATTGTCATCCTGGCCCGTTCTCAATGAGCTGTTGGGCACACCTCCCAGCCGGGGTGGTGGCCGGGCAGAGGGGCTCCTCACTTCCCAGTAGGGGTGGCCGGGCAGAGTAGCCCCTCACCTCCCGGACAGGGCGGCTGGCCGGGTTGGGGGCTGACCCCCCCACCTCCCTCCCGGGTGGGGCGGCTGGTTGGGCGGGGGACTGATCCCCCCACCTCCCTCCCGGGTGGGGCGGCTGGCCGGGCGGGGGGGCTGACTCCCCCACCTCCCTCCCGGACGGGGCGGCTGGCCGGGCGGGGGGGCTGACCCCCACCTCCCTCCCGGACGGGGTGGCTGCCGGGCGGAGACGCTCTTCACTTCCCAGACGGGGTGGCTGCCGGGCGGAGGGGCTCCTCACTTCTCAGACGGGGCGGTCGCCAGGCAGAGGGTCTCCTCACTTCTCAGACGCTCCTCACCTCCCAGACGGGGTCGCGGCCGGGCAGAGGCACTCCCCACATCTCAGACGATGGGCAGCCTGGCAGAGACACTCCTCACCTCCCAGATGGGATGGCGGCCGGGAAGAGGCGCTCCTCACTTCCTAGATGGGATGGCGGCCGGGCAGAGAGGCTCCTCACTTTCCAGACTGGGCAGCCAGGCAGAGGGGCTCCTCACATCCCAGATGATGGGCGGCCAGGCAGAGACGCTCCTCACTTCCCAGACGGGGTGGCGGCCGGGCAGAGGCTGCAATCTCGGCACTTTGGGAGGCCAAGGCAGGCGGTTGAGAGGTGGAGGTTGTAGCGAGCCGAGATCATGCCACTGCACTCCAGCCTGGGCACCATTGAGCACTGAGTGAACGAGACTCCGTCTGCAATCCCAGCACCTCGGGAGGCCGAGGCTGGCGGATCACTAGCGGTCAGGAGCTGGAGACCAGCCCGGCCAACACGGCGAAACCCCGTCTCCACCAAAAAACACAGACGGCGCGTGCCTGCAATCCCAGGCACTTGGCAGGCTGAGGCAGGAGAATGAGGCAGGGAGGTTGCAGTGAGCCGAGATGGTGGCAGTACAGTCCAGCCTCGGCTCGGCATCAGAGGGAGACTGTGGAAAGTGGGAGAGGAAGGGGGAGGGGGAGGGAGAGGACAAAAAATTAAAATTTAGCCGGACATGGTTGTGTGTGCCAGTAGTCCAAGCTGCTGGGGAGACTGAGGCAGGAGGATCACTTGAGCCCAGGAACTTAAGGTCTATTTAAGTAAAGGGTACAGTGAGCTGTGATTATACCACTGCACTCCAGCCTGGGGAATAGAGCAAGACCCTGTCTCTAAAAAAAGGTAACAAAATAACATGAATGGATTCCATTTTAAGAGAATGAAGCATCATTGTGTAAGACTATGAAATTGGAAGCAAAGAGCATGAAGCCCAAAAAAAAAAAAAAAAACCATCTGAAGTCAGGGTGCCTGGGGTCAGAGGTAGGGGGAGGATTGAAGAGGTGCAGATGTAAAAAACTGAAGCTACTGTGACCAGTGGATTCGGGAGTTGAAGGAGTCAAGAATGACACATTCTCCTGACTGGAGGATAAACAAATATGACTGTTTTCAAGAAATAGCTGGAATATTCTTTGTGTTCAGAAGTACAAGAACAGCACATATGGAGGGCGGACTGATACTGAAGTTGAAGAGAAGCCTTCTGACGTGCACTAACTAGATTCTAGACTCAGCTTCTGTCACAAGGAGCCCCAAACAGTGACTCAGCAAAATAGCTTATTTCTCATGTGACAGTTCAGAGGTGATTGGTCCAGGGTTAGGGTTAGACAACAACCGTTATGCAAAATCATCTAGGGACCCAGGGCTGCGCTGTCATGTTGCTCTTGCATCCCCAAGGTTGTCATCTGTGTGGTTAAAGCGGCTCACCAGCCCCAAGTCCTCGTTCAAGCCCATGTAAAAGGAAGCGGAAATACAGGGCCTGGAAATTACACTGATCCCATTGGCCAGAACTTAGTCTCACCTTCTTACCACCCTATATGCGAGACTAAAATGCCTCTAGCTGGATAGTTACATGTTCATTTAAACTTGGGTCATTTTGTTTCTAAATGAAGGGAAGGGGCACAAGTATTAGTCTGTCACAGAAGAGAAAGAACAGAGAGAAAGGTTTTGAAGGGAATGACTTATAAATAGTTACCCGAAGTCTGGTCGTGGCTGACATCAGAGCCAGCATGTTGACCACTTCCATACTGCGTGCTTTAGCTGCCTTATCTCACTTAATCTCAGAATAACCCTATTGTCATTCCCAACTTGTAGATGGGAAAACAGACCCAAAGAGAAGTGATTTACCTTCCACACAATGGGGAAGTAAGGGGGCTAGGTGCACGTCAAGGCAGCCTGTGCCTGGCTCTTATACCTGGTGCTGCTTACATTTCCAGAGGGGGCAGCCTAGAGGAGAGGCCTAGGGACTGGACTCAACGTGCGAGTGCTTGGTGGAAGGGAAGCCAGAGGATCGAGTGGCCAGAGGTTAAGAACCAGGGAGGAGCAGTGATGAAAAGGCTGGAGAGCTTATGCATTTCAGGGCTGGGCTGCCAAGTACCTCACTTGGCCAGTTCAGCATTCTTAGGCAGGAGGCACAGCCATTGTGTTGTCCAATGCCAGGGTATATACCTTTTTCAGTTTCCAATCTACCAATGGTGACCTTTGAACAGCATTGTCAAACCCTTTTCTGCCCAGGGCTAGATAGTATATATTTTAAGCTTTGTGGGCCACACGTGGATTGTCACTCCTTTTCTTAACTTTTTTTTTTTTTTTTTGAGACAGGGTCTCCGCTCTGTCGCCCAGGCTGTTAACTACCGTTAACATTTTAATGCCTCTCTTTCTGGTGTGTGTATATTTATTACTAGACTGGAATCATCCTATATCTATGTCATCTGTTGCTGTTTCCTGTCCCTTTACATAAAGTGAGCTGCTTTCTGAAATTTTATTTATTTTATAATTTATTTATTTTATAGACAGAGTCTTGCCCTGTCACCCAGGTTGGAGTTCAGTGGTGCAATCTCAGCTCACTGCAATCTCAGCCTCCCGAGTAGCTGGGACTACAGACACTCGCCACCACACCCGGCTAATTTTCATATTTTTAGTACAGATGGGTTTTCACCATGTTGGCCAGACTGGTCTTGAACTCCTGGCCTCAAGTGATCTGCCCGCCTCAGCGTCCCAAAGTGCTGGGATTACAGGCATGAGCCACCATGCCCGGCCTCCCCTCCCTTTAAATAACATGAACTGCTTTCCTAAATTTTAGCTAATCCCCTGGGTTGGAAGGTGGGAGGGCATAGGGGCCAAAAGGACAAGGCTCAAGTCAAGATGCCTGGGTTCACATTCCAGCCCTTCCCTTAGAAGCTGCCACCCTTGGGACAATCTCGCTTCTCTAAGCCTCAGCGGCTTCATCTGTGAAAGATCATCTCTCTTTGTTGGAGTTGCTGTGCATTCCGTGAAAGGGCCGTATATGCCAAGTGACCCTCATGCCAAAGGAGCCAAAAAAAAAAAGGAAGCAGACAAATCCAGTTTGTCAGTTTTGGGTGATTTATTAAGGAACTTACACACAAAAGCATGGTCTTGGGCTGCGCCATGACAGATCTCCACACCACAGCCCCAAGACCTACCGCTTATGTCTTGGAGCAAAAGCATAGTGCTCTGGAAGGAATGTATAGGTGGCTACAGTGCTCACAGCCTGTCATTTCTGCAACAACAGGGTGGTTTTGGAGGAAATTTACAATTAACAGACGTTCCTACATAAACAGTCATACATCCACCAGGCATGGTGGCACACAACTATAGTCCCAGCAACTCAGAAGACTGAGGTGGGAGGATCACCTGAGCCTGGAAGGTCGAGGCTTCAGTGAGCTGTCATCACACCACTGCATTCCAACCTGGGTGACAGACAGACTGTCTCAAGACACAAAAGCACGAGAAGAGAAGCAGTTTGAATAAAGTACTGTCTCTAATGAAAAGTACTTTAGGCTGGGCATGGTGGCTCATGCCTGTAATCCCAGCACTTTGGGAGGCTGAGGCAGGTGGATCACAAAATCAGGAGTTCGAGACCAGCCTGACCAACATGGTGGAACCCCATCTCTACTAAAAATACAAGAATTAGCCAGGCATAGTGGTGCATGACTGTAGTCCAAGCTACTTGGGAGGCTAAGACAGGAGAATTGCTTGAACCCAAGAGGTGGAGGTTGCAGTGAGCCACGATTGTGCCATTGCACTCCAGCCTGGGTGACAGAGTGAGACTCCATCTCAAAAGAAAAAAAGTACTTAAAAAAATTTTTTTTTAATTAAAAAAGCCAGACGTAGGCAGGTGGATCATGAGGTCAGGAGATCAAGACCATCCTGGCCAACATGGTGAAACCCCATCTCTACTAAAAATACAAAAATAAGCCAGGTGTGGTGGCACACACCTGTAATCCCAGCTACTCGGGAGGCTGAGACGGGAGAATCCTTTGAACTCAGGAGGCGGAGGTTGTAGTGAGCCGAGATTGCGCCACTGCACTCCAGCCTGAGCAACAGTGAGACTCCATCTCAAAAACAAAAACAAAAAAAGCAAGCCAGGCACGGCTCACACCAGTAATCCCAGCACTTTGGGAGGCCAAGTCGGGAGGATTGCCTGAGCCCAGGAGTTTGAGACCAGCATGGACAACATGGTGACACCCGTCTTTATAAAAATTTTTTAAAAAATAAAAGGTAATACATCAAGACTGTGTACAGTGGCTCATGCCTGTAATCTCAGCACTTTGGGAGGCCAAGGCGAGAATTGCTTGAGATCAGGAATTTGAGACCACCCTGGGCAACATAACAAGACCCCAACTCTACAAAAAAAAAATTTTAATGAGCAGGGGGCATTTGTTGAGCTGGCCTATTGTCCCAGCTACTTGGAGGCTGACAGTTCAAGTGCCAGGGTCCGAGCCAAAAGATGTGGGGTGTAACCTATGGTGAACGGGTTGTGGTCTGTATCACACCAGAGTTCATAGCCTAAGTAAAGGGGAGAGGAGGCAGCGACTGTGCTGCCGGGGTGGGAACCAAACTTCCCTTTCAGTCTCTTCCACTGACCTGACACTTCCCTTGTAGGGCCTCAGGATCCTCATCTTTCTAATGAAGAGGATCGTTTCCAAAGGATGGCAAACTTCAGTACCTTCTAATCAGTTATCTAAATTTTTTTTTTTGAGACGGAGTCTTGCTCTGTCACCCAGGCTGGAGTGCAGTGGCGTGATCTTGGCTCACTGCAGCCTCTGCCTCGGATTCAAGCGATTCTCCTGCCTCAGCCTCCTGAGTAGCTGGGATTACAGGCATCCACCACCATGCCTGGCTATCAGTTATCTAATTTTATTTTACTTAAAATTATTGAGGTGAAATAACATAAAGTAACCATTTTATTTATTTATTTCTATTTATTTATTTATTTGAGATGGGGTTTTGCTCTTGTTGCCCAGGCTGGAGTGCAGTGGCACAATCTCGGCTTACTGCAACCTCTGCCTCCTGGGATCAAGTGATTCTCCTGCCTCAGCCTCCTGGGTAGCTGGGATTATAGGCACACACCACCATGCCTGGCTAATTTTTGTATTTTATTAGTAGAGATGGGTTTCGCCATGTTGACCTGGCTGGTCTCGAACTCCTGACCTCAGGTGATCTGCCCACTTTGGCCTCCCAAAGTATTTATTTTATTTTGAGACAGGGTCTTGCTCTGTCATCCTGGCTGGAGTGCAATGATAGCTCACTGCAGCCTTGAACGAACTCGTGGGTTCTCAGCCTCCATCTCAGCCTCCAGATAACTGGGGCTATGGCTAATGTTTTTGTTTGTTTGTTTGTTTGTTTTGAGACAGAGTCTCACTCTGTTACCCAGGCTCAAATGCAATGGCGAGATCTTGGCTCACTGCAACCTCCACTTCCCAGGTTCCAGTGATTCCCCTGCCTCAGCCTCTCGAGTAGCTGGGATTACAGGCGCTCATTACCACAACTGGCTAATTTTTTTTTTTTTTTAATACAGAGATGAGGTTTCACCATATTGGCCAAGCTGGTCTCAAACTTCTGATCTCGGGTGATCCACCTGCCTCAGTCTCCCAAAGTGCCATGCCCAGCTAATTTTTAAATTGAGACCAGGTCTCCCTGTGTTAACCATGCTGATCTTGAACTTCCAGGATCAAGTGATCCTTCTGCCTGGGCCTCCCAAAGTGCTGGAATTCCAGGCATAAGCCATCATGGCTGGCCTGATTTTTTAAAAGAAACAGAAATTGGGATTTTATTGTGAAATCTCCTGATCTTAGTATATTGGATTTCATTATTTTTACATCAGGCAGATAATGTGTCAATGTCAAAACAAGGTTTGAGGGAGGTGCAACTCACGCATGAGCATGAAAACACAGTCATCACGTTTATGAACTACAAAAAGATGTGGCTTTAATTATTTGAAAGACATCTTGGCCAGGCCAGGTGGCTCACTCCTGTAATCCCAGCACTTTGGGAGGCCGAGGCAGGTGGATCACCTGAGGTCAGGAGATCGAGACCATACTGGTCAACATGGTGAAACCCTGTCTCTACGGGCCGGGTGCGGTGGCTCAAGCCTGTAATCCCAGCACTTTGGGAGGCCGAGGTGGGTGGATCACAAGGTCAGGAGATCGAGACCATCCTGGCTAACATGGTGAAACCCCATCTCTACTAAAAATACAAAAAATTAGCCAGGTGTGGTGGCGGGCACCTGTAGTCCCAGCTACTCAGGAGGCTGAGGCAGGAGAATGGCATGAACCTGGGAGGTGGAGGTTGCAGTGAGCCGAGATCATGCCACTGAGCTCCAGCCTGGGTGAAAGAGCGAGACTCCGTCTCCAAAAAAAAAAAAAAGAAAGAAAGAAAGAAAAAGAAACCCTGTCTCTACTAAAAATACAAAAATTACCTGGGCATGGTGGTGGGAGCCTGTGGTCCCAGTTACTCAGGAGGCTGAGGCAGAAGAATCGCTTGAACCCAGGAGGTGGAGATTGCAGTGAGCCGAGATCACGCCACTGCACTCCAGCCTGGTGACAGAGTGAGACTCTGGCTCAAAAAAAAAAAAACATTTTACTGGTCAATACTATATAAGACAAGCAGGCCGGGCGCGGTGGCTCAAGCCTGTAATCCCAGCACTTTGGGAGGCCGAGGTGGGCGGATCACAAGGTCAGGAGATCGAGACCATCCTGGCTAACATGGTGAAACCCCATCTCTACTAAAAATACAAAAAAAAATTAGCCGGGCATGGTGGCGGGCACCTGTAGTCCCAGCTACTTGGGAGGCTGAGGCAGGAGAATGGCGTGAACCCAGGAGGCGGAGCTTGCAGTGAGCCGAGATCACGCCACTGCACTCCAGCCTGGGCGACAGAGCAAGACTCCATCTCAAATAATAATAATAATAATAATAAGACAACAAAACATTTGCTGGCCAGGTGATGAAAGGTGAATTCTGCTTTCATCACAGTTACTGTCAAGCATTCAACCACAATTTATTGAGACTTCCATGCAGAACTTTGTGGAAAGCAAAGCACTGGGGAGAGATTCCATGAACATCATTCATTTAAACACCCATTTGTTATTTTATTTTATTTATTTATTTTATTTTATTTTTTTGAGACGGAGTCTTGCTCTTGTCACCCAGGCTGGAGTGTAGTGGCGTGATCTCAGCTCACTGCAACCTCCGTCTCCTGGGTTCAAGTGATTCTGCCGCCTCCTCCTCCTGAGTAGCTGGGATTACAGGCGCCCACCCCAACACCTGGCTAATTTTGGTACTTTTAGTAGAGATGGGATTTCGCCATGCTGGCCAGGCTGGTCTTGAACTCCTGACCTCAGCTGATCCGCCCGCCTTGGCCTCCCAAAGTGCTGGGATTACAGGCGTGAGCCACCACGCCTGGCTATCTTATTATTTTTTTAATTGAGACAAAGTCTCACTTTGTCACCCAAGCTGGAGTGCAGTGGCACAATCTTGGCTCACTGCAACCTCTGCCTCCTGGGTTCAAGCAATTCTTCTGCCTCAGCCTCCCAAGTAGCTGGATTACAGGCATGCACCACCACGCCTGGCTAATTTTTGTATTTTTAGTAGAGATGAGGGTTCACCATGTTGGCCAGGCTGGTCTCGAACTTCTGACCTCAAGTGATTTTTCTGCCTCAGCCTCTGAAAGTACTGGGATTATAGGCATGAGCCACTGCACCTGGCCTATGTTTATTTATTTTTGAGACAGAGTATTGCTCTGTTGCCCACGCTGGAGTGCAGTGGCGTGATCTTGGCTCACTGCAACCTCCGTCTCCTGGGTTCAAGCAATTCTCCTGCCTCAGCCTCCTGAGTAGCTGGGATTACAGGCACCCGCCACCATGCCCAGCTAATTTTTGTATTTTTAGTAGAGACAGAGTTTCACTATGTTGGCCAGGCTGGTCTTGAACTCCTGACTTCAGGTGATCTGCCCACCTTGGCCTCCCAGAGTGCTGGGATTACAGGCATGAGCCACCACGCCCAGCCCCCATTAATTTTTTAGACTTTTATTATATTTTTTGAGACAGGGTCTCACTGTGTCTCCCAGGCTGGTGTGCAGTGGTACAAGCACAGCTCACTGAAGCCTCCCAGCTCAAGCAATCCTCTCACCTCAGCCTCCCGGGTAGCTGGAACGTGCCACCACACCTGGCTAATTTTTCTATTTTTTGGTAGAGATCGGGGTCTTGCTTTGTTGCCCAGGCTGGTCTTGAATTCCTGGGCTCAAGTGATCCTCCCACATTGGTCTCCCAAAGTGCTAGGATTACAGATATGAGGCACCATGCCCAGACTTAAACACCCATTTATTGTGCACTTTCTCTGCACCAGGCCCTGATCTGAGCCCCATGCACAGATGTGAACAAGACCTTACTCTCCAGGGACCAGGGGAAAGAAGTGCTACTTCTGTGCTCTGGAGAACCGAGTTCTCCAATCAGAAAAGATGAGAATGGAGGCCAGGTGCAGTGGTGACTAACGCCTGTACTCACACTTTGGGAGGCCGAGGCAGGAGGATCACCTGAGGTTAGGAGTTCGAGAGCAGTCTGGCCAACATGGTGAAAACCTATCTCTACTAAAAATACAAAAATTAGCCAGGTGTGGTGCCGTGTGCCTGTAATCCCAGCTACTTGGGAGGCTGAGGCAGAAGAATTGCTTGAACCTGGGAGGTAGAGGTTGCAGTGAGCTGAGATTCCCGCCACTGCACTCCAGCCTGGGGGACAGAGAGAGACTGTCTCAAAAAAAAAAAAAAAGTTTTTTAAATTTAAAAAGGCAGCCGGGCGCAGTGGCTCACGCCTGTAATCCCAGCACTTTGGGAGGCCGAGGCGGGCAGATCATGAGGTCAGGAGATCGAGAACCTCCTGGCTAACACAGTGAAACCCCATCTCTACTAAAAACACAAAAAATTAGCTGGGCGCAGTGGCGGGCGCCTGTAGTCCCAGCTACTCAGGAGGCTGAGGCAGGAGAATGGCGCGAACCCGGGAGGCAGAGCTTGTAGTGAGCTGAGACTGCGCCACTGCACTCCAGCCTGGGTGACAGAGCGAGACTCCGTCTCAGAAAAAAAAAAAAAAAAAAAAAAAAGCCAGTCACAGTGGCTCACGCCTGTAATCCCAGCACTTTGGAAGGCCAAGGTGGGTGGATCACAAGGTCAGTAGTTCAAGAGCAGCCTGGCCAAGATGGTGAAATCCTGTCTCTACCAAAAATACAAAAATTAGCTGGGCGCAGTGGCAGGTGCCTGTAATCCCAGCTACTTGGGAGGCTGAGGCAGGAGAATCATTTGAACCCAGGAGGTGGAGGTTGCAATGAGCTGAGATCGTGCCACTGCACTCCAGCCTGGGTGACAAGAGTGAGATGCTGTCAAAAAAAAAAAAAACGGAATTGCTAGGACAGTCAAAAACAAATGGAATTGCTAGGACAGTCTAGACAGTTTTCACAAAGCAAGACTTTGGTCCCCTCTTCAGGACTCAGCATGGCCTCAGATCCAGCCACCAGGCCCTGAATACCTTCAAGTTTGAGTGTAGAAGGGCATATTTCGCCTTCTTTTTGTGCTCCCCCTGACACCCTGACGTTCTTGACTCATCTGTCTTCATCTTCCGAGCCAACTTTGCTTACCCACAAAGGGAGGGCACTATTCCCTCACAAAACACAGCCCAAGGCTCACTCTTTCCTCTTTTCCTATAGAAGAGCCAAAGGGCATGACAGTTGCCTCTGCTCCTTTAACCTACCCACTCTTTCCTCACAGCCCTCCTCAGCCTTCACAGTCCATAATGCAGTCTTGAATTCTGGGCTTCATATTCTCGACACACTCTGCAAACAGAATCCCCTAGGAAGCTATATTTATTTCCTTTTTTTTTTTTTTTTTTTTTTTTGAGACGGAGTCTCACTCTGTCACCCAGCCTGGAGTGCAATGGCATGATCTCGGCTCACTGCAACCTCTGCCTCCCGGGTTCAAACGATTCTCCTGCTTTGGCCTCCCGAGTAGCTGGGACTACAGGTGCCCACCACCACACCTGGCTAATTTTTGTATTTTTGGTAGAGACAGGGTTTCACTATGTTGGCCAGGCTGGTCTCAAACTCCTGACCTCATGATCCTCACACCTCAGCCTCTCAAAGTGCTGGGATTACAGGCATGCGCCACCATGCCTGGCCTATTTACTTATTTTTATTTTTATTTTGAGACAGGTTCTCACTTTGTTGCCCAGGCTGCAGTGCAGTGGCATAAACATGGGTTATAGCAGCCTTGACCTCCTAGGCTCAAGCAAGCCCCCTGCCTCAGTCCCCCAAGCAGCTGGAACTACAGATATGTGCCACCATGTCCGGCTAATTTTTTTTTTTTTTTGAGGTGGAGTCTCGCTCTGTTGCACAGGCTGTAGTACAGTGGTGTGATCTTGGCTCACTGCAACTTCTGCCTCCCAGAGGCAGAGGATTACTCACACCTGTAATCCCAGTTTAGGGAGGCTGAAGTGGGCAGACAGCTTGAGGCCAGGAGTTTGACACCATCCTGGCCAACATGGTGAAAGCCTGTCTCTGCTAAATAAAAAAATTAGCCAGGCATGGTGGCACATGCCTGTGGTCCCAGCTACTCAGGAGGCTGAGGCACAAGAATCGCTCGAACCCAGGAGGCGTAGTTTTCAGTGAGCTGAGATCTCACCATTGCACTCCAGCCTGGGCGACAAGAGACTTCGTCTCAAAAAAAAAAAAAAAAAAAAAAAAAAGATAATAAAGATGAGCAGAAATAAATGCAGCAGAGAATAAAAAATAGAGGAAGTAAGTAAAACCAAAATAATTTGGTTCTTTGAAAAATCCATAAAATTGATGAACCTTTAGATGGACTGACCAAGAAAAAAGCAGAGGAGACTCAAACTGCAAAACAGGAGCAAAAGAGGAGACATCACTACCAACATTAGATAAGTAAAAGAATTATCAGGGAATACTATGAACAGTTGTATGCCAACAAATTAGATGAAAGGAACAAATTCCTAGGGGAATTTAAACACCAAACTTAAGAAGAAATATAAAATCTAGGCCAGGCATGGTGGCTCACGTCTGTAATCCCAGCACTTTGAGGGGCTGAGTCAAGTAGATCATCTGAGATCAGGAGTTTGAGACCAGCCTGACCAACATGGTGAAACCTCATGTCTACTAAAGATACAAAAAATTAGCCAGGCAAGTGGCGCACGCCTGTAATCCCAGCTGAGGCAGGAGAATCACTTAAACCGGGGAGGTGGAGGTTGCAGTAAGCTGAGATTGTGCCATTGCACTCTAGCCTGGGTGACAGGGCGAGACTCTGTCTCAAAAATAAATAAATAAATAAATACAAAAATTAGCCGGGTATGATGGCATGTGCCTATAATGCCAGCTACTCTGGAGGCTGAGGCAGGAGAGTCACTTGAACCCAGGAGGCTGAGGCTGCAGTGAGCTGAGATGGCGCCATTGCACTCCAGCCTGGGCAACAAGAGGGAAATTCCAACTCAAAAAGAAAAAGAAAAAAAGAAATATAAAACCTAAATTGATCTATTGTAAAGACTTTTTTTTTTTTTTTTTTTGAGATGGAGTCTTGCTGTGTCACCCAGGCTGGAGTGCAGTGGCGCAATCTCAGCTCATGGCAACCTCCCCCTCCCGGGTTCAAGCGATTCTCATGCCTCAGTCTCCCAAGTAGCTGGGATTACAGCTGCATGCCACCAGGCTCAGCTCATTTTTTTGTATTTTAGTAGAGATGGGGTTTCACCATGTTGGCCAGGCTGGTCTTGAACTCCTGACCTCAGGTGATCTGCCTGCCTTGGCCTCCCAATGTGCTGGGATTACAGGTGTGAACCACCACACCCGGACTATTCTTTTGTGTATGGATATCCAGTTGTCCCACTGCTATTATCGAAAAGGTTGTTCTTTCCCCCATTAAGTGGTCTTGGAACCCTTGTCAAAAATTAATCTTCCATGTAGAAGGTTTATTTCTGGGCTCTCTAATCTATTCCACTTGTGTCCGGAATTGGTGGGTTCTTGGTCTCACTGACTTCAAGAATGAAGCCGCGTACCCTCGCGGTGAGTGTTACAGCTCTTAAGGTGGCGCGTCTGGAATTTGTTCCTTCTGACGTTCGGATGTGTTTGGAGTTTCTTCTTTCTGGTGGGTTCGTGGTCTCCCTGGTTCAGGAGTGAAGCTGCAGACCTTCGCGGTGAGTGTTACAGCTCTTAAGGTGGCGCGTCTGGAGTTGTTCATTCCTCCCGGTGGGCTCATGGTCTCGCTGGCTTCAGAAGTGAAGTTGCATACCTTCGCGGTGTTACAGCTCATAAAAGCAGCGTGGAGCCAAAGAGTGAGCAGTAGCAACATTTATCGCAAAGAGCGAAAGAACAAAGCTTCCACAGCGTGTAACAAGACCCGAGCCAGTTGCCACTGTGGGCGCGGGCAGCCTGCTTTTATTCTCTTATCTGGCCCCACCCACATCCTGCTGATTGGTAGGGCTGAGTGGTCTGTTTTGACAGGGTGCTGATTGGTGCGTTTACAATCCCTGAGCTAGACACAAAGGTTCTCCACCTCCCCACCAGATTAGCTAGACACAGAGTGTCAGCACAAAGGTTCTCCAAGGCCCCACCAGATAGCTAGATACAGAGTGTCGACTGGTGCATTCACAAACCCTGAGCTAGACACAGGGTGCTGATTGGTGTGTTTACAAACCTTGAGCTAGATACAGAGTGCCCATTGGTGTATTTACAATCCCTGAGCTAGACATAAAGGTTCTCCACGTCCCCACCAGACTCAGGAGCCCAGCTGGCTTCACCCAGTGGATCCCGCACCGGGGCTGCAGGTGGAGCTACCTGCCAGTCCCGCGCTGTCTACCTGCACTCCTCAGCCCTTGGGTGGTCGATGGGACTGGGCGCCGAGGAGCGGGGGACAGTGCTCCTGGGGAGACTCCGGCCTCACAGGAGCCCATGGAGGGGGTGGGAGGCTCAGGCATGGCGGGCTGCAGGTCCGGAGCCCTGCCCGGCGGGAGGGCAGCTAAGACCCCGTGAGAAATCGAGAGCAGCGCCCGTGGGCTGGCATTGCTGGGGGACCCAGTACACCGTCCGCAGCTGCTGGCCTGGGTACTAAGCCCCTCATTGCCCGGGGCTGGCAGGGCCGGCTGGTGGCTCCTAGTGCAGGGCCCGCCAAGCCCACGCCCACTCGGACCTCCAGCTGGCCCGCAAGCGCCGCGCGCAGCCCCGCTTCCCACTCGTGCCTCTCCATCCACACCTCCCCGCAAGCTAAGGCAGCTGGCTCCAGCCTTGGCCAGCCCAGAAAGGGGCTCCCACAGAGCAGTGGTGGGCTGAAGGGCTCCTCAAATGCCGCCAAAGTGGGAGCCCAGGCAGAGGAGGCGCCAAGAGCGAACGAGGGCTGTGAGGACTACCAGCACGCTGTCACCTCTCACACTGGTCTAATATATGTGTCTATTTTTTTCTCTCTTTCTTTATTTTTGAGACGGAGTCTCACTCTGTTGCCCAGGCTGGAGTGCACTGGCATGATCTCAGTTCACTGCAACCTCTGCCTCCTAGGCTTGAGTGATCCTCCCACCTCAGCCTCCTCCTCAGTAGCTGGGACTATAGGCGCAGGCTACCACGCCTAGCTAATTGTATTTTTTGTAAAGACTGGGTTTTGCCATGTTGCCCAGGTTGATTTTGAACTCCTGGGCTCAAGCAATCCACTCACCTCAGTCTCCCAAATTGTTGAGATTACAGGCGGCCTTATATGTTTGTCTTTATGCCAGTACCACACTCTTTTCATTGTGGTAGGTTAGTATTTAAGTTTTGAAATCAGGAAATGAGAGACCTGGTTTCTTCTTTTTCTGCAGACCTTTTTTTCCGTCTTTTTTTGTGTTATTTAGGATGCCTTGTGATTCCACATAAATTTTAGGATGAGTTTTTGTATATCTGTAAAATATTAAAAATACCATTTGGATTTTGATACAAATTGCATTGAATCTGTAGATTGCTCTGGGTAGTACCGTCATCTTAACAATATTAAATCTTACATTCAGGCCGGGCGCAGTGGCTCATGCCTGTAATCTCAGCACTTTGGGAGGCTGAGGCGGGCAGATCACTTGAGGTCAGGAGTTCGAGACCAGCCCTGCCAACATGGTAAAATCCTGTCTCTACTAAAAATGCAAAAAAAAAAAATTAGCTGGGCGTGGTGGCACGTGCCTGTAGTTCCCGCCACTCAGGAGGCTGAGGCAGAAGAATCACTTGAACCCAGGAGGCAGAGGTTGCAGTGAGCCAAGATCGCATCACAGCACTCCAGCCTGGGTGACAGAGCAAGACTCTGTCTCAAAAAACAAACAAACAATAAATTTTACATTCTATAAACATAGGATATCTTTTTATTTATGTCTCTTTAATTTTTTGTAGTTTTCAGTTACAAATATTTTGCCTCATTGGTTACATTTCTTCCTATTTGATTCCTTTTCATGGCTTTTTTTTTTCTTGAGATAGAATTTCGCTCTTTTTGCCCAGGCTGGATTGCAGTGGTGTGATCTTGGCTCACTGCAACCTCTGCCTTCTGGGTTCAAGTGATTCTCCTGCCTCAGCCTCCCAAGTAGCTGAGATTACAGGCACCCGCCTCCACGCCCAGCTAATTTTTTGTTTTTGTTTTTGTTTTTTGAGATGTAGTTTTGCTCTTATTGCCCAGGCTGGAGTGCAATGGTGTGACCTCGGCTCACCGCAACCTCTGCCTCCCGGGTTCAAGCAATTCTCCTGCCTCAGCTTTCTGAGTAGCTGGGATTACAGGCATGTGCCACCACGGCCAGCTAATTTTATTTGTATTTTTAGTAGAGACAGAGTTTCTCTGTGTTGGTCAGGCTGGTCTCGAACATCCGACCTCAGGTGATCTGCCCGCCTTGGCCTCCCAAAGTGCTGGGATTATAGGCGTGAGCCACCGCACCCGGCCAGTTTTTTGTATTTTTAGTAGAGACTGGATTTTACCATGTTGGCCAGGCTGGTCTTGAACTCCTGACCTCAGGTGATCCACCCACCTCAGCCTCCCAAAGTGCTGGGATTACAGGTATGAGCCATTGCACCCGGCCGCATGGTAATTTAAATAGAGTTGTTTTCTTAATTTCTCTTTGGGGTTATTCATCGTTAGTGTAAAGAAATGCAACTGATTTTTGTGTGTTGACTTTGTATGCTGCAACTTTGTTGAATTCATTTATTGGCTCTAATAGTTGTGTATGTATGTAAGCTTTAGGGTTTTCCACGTATAAAATCATTTCATCTGCAAGTACAGATAATTTTACTTTTTCCTTTCCAATTCAGGTAACTTTTACTTATTTTTCTTGCTTAATTTCTCTGGCTAGAAATTCCAATACTCTGTTAAATAGAAGTGGCCAAAGTGGTGGTTCTTGTTTTGTTCCTGATCTTATGGGGAAAATTTTCAGTCTTTCATCATTGAATATGATGTTAACTCTGTTTTTCATGTATGGCCTTTACCATGTTGAGGAAAATTCTTCTAGTTCTAGTTTTATTTTATTTTTTCCAGACAGGGCCTTGTTCTCTCACCCAGGCTGGAGTGCAGTGGCCTGATAATGGCTCCCTGCAACCTCCACCTCCTGGGTTCAAGCCGTCCTCCCACCTCAGCCTCCCAAGTAGCTGGGACTACAGGCATGCACCACCATACCCAGCTTAATTTTTGTTTTTGGTAGAGACATGGTTTTGCCATGTTGCCAAGGCTGGTCTTGAACTCCTGAGCTCCAGCGATCCACCTGCCTCGGCCTCCCAAAGTACTAGGGTTACAGGCGTGAGCCACCGTGCCTGGCTGAGTGTTTTTTTTTAAATCTTGAAAGAGTATTGGATTTTGCCGAATACTTTTTCTGCATCAACTGAGACAATTATAAGATTTTTCCCTTTATTCTATTAATGTGGTATATGACATTGATTAATTTTCATATGTTAAAACATCTTTGCATTCCAGGAATAAATCCAACTTGTTCATGGATAAAATACTTTTTTTTTTTTTCCTGAGACAGTCTTGCTCTGTCGTCCAGGCTGGAGTGCAGTGGCGCAACCTTGGCTCATTGCAACCCCCACCCCCTGGGTTCAAGCAGTTCTCCTGCCTCAGTCTCCTGAGTAGCTGGGATTTACAGGCATGCGCCACCACGCCCGGCTACTTTTTGTATTCTTAATAGAGATGGGGTTTCACCATGTTGGCCAGGCTGGTCTCAAACTCTTGACCTCATGATCCGCCCACCTTGGCATCCCAAAGTGCTGGGATTACAGGCATGAGCCACCATGCCCGGCCCCATAAAATCCTTTTAATATGCTGCTGAAATTGGTCCTCTATTTTATATATATATATATATATATTTTTTTTTTTTTTTTTGAGATGAAGTCTCACTCTGTTATCAGGCTGGTGTGCAGTGGCACAATCTCAACTCACTGCAACCTCCACCTTTTGGGTTCAGGCGATTCTCCTGCCTCAGCCTCCTGAGTAGCTGAGACTACAGGCACGCACCACCACACCCAGCTAATTTTTGTACTTTTAGTAGAGATGGGGTTTCACCATGTTGGCCAGAATGGTCTCGATCTCTTGACCTTGTGATCTGCCCGCCTCAGCCTCCCAAAGTGCTGGGATTACAGGTGAGAGCCACCGTGCCCGGCCATATATATATATATATATATTTTTTTTTTTTTTTTTGAAACAGAGTCTCACTTGTTAACCCAGGCTGGAGTGCAGTGGCGCAATCTTGGCTCACTGCAACCTCCACCTCCCAGATTCAAGCAATTTTGTATTTTCAGTAGAGATGGAGTTTCACCGTGTTGCCCAGGCTGGTGTCAAACTCCTGACCTCAAGTGATCCACCCGCCTCAGCCTCCCAAAGTGCTGGGGTTACATGCGTGAGCCAGTGCAGATATGTTTTGGTCCCCAGCAGGATATGTTTTGGTCCAATTTATGGAGGAGGAGGAAGGAGGAGAGTGAGGAGGAGGCGGAGAAGGAGAGAGGTCCCAAGGAGGCCTCCCATCAAGTTCCGTTCCCAAGGCAATGCTTCCCTGCTGATGCTCAGCAAGCAGTGAAAGAATGCAGCATGCCCAGCCATAAACACTAATGAAATCATGTTCTTCGCTCTGACATGGATGTAGCTGGCGGTCATTATCCTAAGCAAATTAACCCAGGAACAGAAAACCAAGGACTGCGTGTTCTCACTTATAAATGAGATCTAAACATTGAGTACACATTGCCTGGGTGTGGTGGCTCACACCTGTAATCCCAGCACTTTGGGAGGCTGAGGCAGGTGGATCATCTGAGGTCAGGAGTTCAAGATCAGCCTGGCCAATATGGCGAAACCCTGTCTCTACAAAAATACAAAAATTAGCCAGGCATGATGGCAGGTGCCTTTAATCCCAGCTACTCGAGGGGCTGAAGCAGGAGAATCATTTGAACCCGGGAGGTGGAGGTTGCAGTGAGCCAAGATTGCATGATTGCACTTCAGCCTACGCGACAGAGCGCAACTCCATCTCAAAACAAAACAAAAAAAAAACATTGAGTACACACATGGATGTAAAGATGGGAACAATAGATACTGGGACCTCCTAGAGTGGGGAGGGACAGTGGAGAGTAAGAGTTGAAAAACTGTTGGGTATTATGCTTACTTCCTGGATGACAGGATCATTCATAGCCCAAGCCTCAGCATCATGCAGTATACCCAGGTGACGAACCCACACACGCCTCCCTGAACCTAAAATAAAAGCTGGGAGACCAGGCTCGGTGGCTCAGGTCTGTAATCCGAGCACTTTGGGAGGCCGAGGTGGGAGGATGGCTTGAGCCAAGGAGTTTGAGACCAGCCTTGGCAACATAGAGAGACCCCACCTTTACAAAAAATTAGCAGGGTGTGGTGGAACTTGCTATAGCACCAGCTACTCAGGAGGCTGAGGTGGGAGGATTGCTTGAGCCTGCGGGGGTGAGACTGCAGTGACCTGTGATCGAGCTACTGCACTCCAGCCTGGGCAACAAAGCAACACCCCATCTCAAAAAATAATAATAATATGGCCGGGCACGGTGGGTGCCTCACGCCTGTAATCTCAGCACTTTGGGAGGCCGAGGCAGGCGAATCACCTGAGGTCAGGAGTTCAAGACCAGCCTGGCCAACACGGTGAAACCCCGTCTCTACTAAAAATACAAAAATTAGCCAGGCATGGCAGCAGGCACCTGTAATCTTAGCTACTTGGGAGGCTGAGGCAGGAAAATCACTTGAACCTGGGAGGCGGAGGTTGCAGTGAGCCAAGACTGCACCACTGCACTCCAGCTTGAGCGACAGAGCAAGACTCCATCTCAAGAAAATAATAAGATAAAGGTTGAAATTATTTTAAAAAAAATGTGGCATGCCCTGCGAAACGCAGAGCAGCACAGTACGACCCTCTTCTGGGTCACAGGTGAGATTTCCTCATGCACCTGTCAGACCTCAGGTTTCTCTCATCACTTTTCCCAAGCTCCCCCGCCGCCATTTTTTTTTTTTTTTTTTTTTTTTTGAGACTGAGTCTGGCTCTGTCACCCAGGCTGGAGTGCAGTGGCGTGATCTTGGCTCACTGCAGCCTCCGTCTCCCAGGTTCAAATGGTTCTCCTGCCTCAGCCTCCCTAGTAGCTTGGATTACAGGCATGCATCACCACAACCAGCTAATTTTTTTTTTCTTTGAGATGGAGTTTTGCTCTTGTTGCCCCATTGGCTCAATCTCGGCTCACCACAACCTCCGCCTCCCAGGTTCAAGCGATTCTCCTGCCTCAGCCCCCCGAGTAGCTGGGATTACAGGCATGAGCCACCATGCCCGGCTAATTTTGTATTTTTAGTAGAGATGGGGTTTCTCCATGTTGGTCAGGCTGGTCTCTAACTCCCAACCTCAGGTGATCCGCCCGCCTTGGCCTCCCAAAGTGCTGGGATTACAGGCATGAGCCACCGCTCCTGGCTCTAATTTTTGTATTTTTAGTAGAGATGATGTTTTGCCATATTGGCCAGGCTGGTCTCGAACTCCTGACCTCAGGTGATTCTCCCACCTCTGCCTCCCAAAGTGCTGGGATTACAGGCATGAGCTACTTTGCTTGGCCTCCCTGAGCCTTTTAAAATAGAATCAAAGGCTCTATTTCTCCAACCCTCCTTGGTCCACAAGATGAGAGTTCTTGGGAATAACCACTCCCAAGCTTTTAGGTTATTCTCACCATTGCCCTCAACTTCCTTGTAACCCCAACCTCTCCTAGAATTGCCTGCATATGAGATAGAAGGTCTCAGACAAATAGATGGAAGTGTTTATTTTATTTTATTTTATTTTATTTTTATTTTTATTTTTTTGAGATGGAGTCTCACTTTGTCGCCAGGCTGGAGTGCAGTGGCGCGATCTCGGCTCACTGCAACCTCCACCTCCCAGGTTCAAGCGATTCTCCTGCCTCAGCCTTCCAAGTAGCTGGGACTACAGGCGCGTGCCACCACGCCCAGCTAATTTTTAGTAGAGACTGGTTTTCACCATGTTGGCCAGGATGGTCTCCATCTCTTGACCTCATGGTCTGCCCGTCTCAGCCTCCCAGAGTGCTGGGATTACAGGCATGAGCCACGGTGCCTGGCCAGGAAGTGTCTATTAATAATTGATAGTCCATCTGGCTGGGAGCAGTAGCTCACGCCTGTAATCCCAGCACTTTGGGAGGCCGAGGCGGGTGAATCACCTGAGGTCGGGAGTTTGAGACTAGCCTAACATGGAGAAACCCCGTCTCTACTAAAAATACAAAATTAGCCAGGCGTTGTGACACATGCTTGTTGTAATCCCAGCTGCTCGGGAGGCTGAGGCAGGAGAATCACTTGAACCCGGGAGGCGGAGGTTGTGGTGAGCCAAGATCACGCCATTGCACTCCAGCCTGGGCAACAAGAGCGAAACTCCATCTCAAAAAACAAAATAAATAAATAAAATAAAATAAAACACATTAAACTGGCTGGGCGCAGTGGCTCACTCCTGTAATCCCAGCACTTTGGGAGGCCGAAGTGAGTGGATCACCTGAGGCCAGGAGTTCAAGACCAGCCTGGCCAACATGGTGAAACCCTGTCTCTACTAAAAATACAAAAATTAGCCAGGCGTGATGGTGGGCACCTGTAATCCCAGCTACTCGGGAGGCTGAAGCAGGAGAACCACTTGAACCCAGGAGGCGGAGGTTGTGAGCTGAGATAGAGCCACTGCACTCCAGCCTGGGCAACAGAGCAAGACTCTGTCTCAAAAAAAAAAAAGGAGGCGGGGTGCGGTGGCTCACACCTGTAATCCCAGGACTTTGGGAGGCCGAGGTGGGTGGATCACAAGGTCAGGAGATCGAGACCATCCTGGCTAACACGGTGAAACCCCATCCCTACTAAAAATACAAAAAATTAGCCAGGCATGGTGGCAGGTGCCTGTAGTCCAAGGTACTCAGGAGACTGAGGCAGGAGAATGGCGTGAACCTGGGAGGTAGAGCTTGCAGTGAGCCGAGATCATGCCACTGCACTCCAGCCTGGGGGGCAGAGCGAGACTCCATCTCTATAATAATAATAATAATAATAATAATAATAATAATAATAATAATAATAAAGGAGAGGATAAAATCTGTAAGTGGTAGGCAGCCGCCAGGCTAATGAAAACAGATATTTTTTTTCATTTTTTTAAATTCTAATTTTCACTTAAAAAGTAGAATTTTGGCCAGGCGCAGTGGCTCACGCCTGTAATCCCAGCACTTTGGGAGGCCAAGGTGGGAAGATTACTTGAGGTCAGGAGTTGGAGACCAGCCTGGACAAAATGGTGAAACCCTGTCTCTACTAAAAATACAGAAATTAGCCAAGTGTGGTGGCACGCACCTGTAATCTCAGCTATTTGGGAGGCTGAGGCAGGAGAATCACCTGACCCTTCTAGGAGATGGAGGTTGCAATGAGCCGAGATCTTGGCAATGAGCCGAGATGGTGCCACTGCACTCCAGCCTGGGTGACAGAGCGAGACTGTATCTCAAAAAAAAAAAAAAAAAAAAAGAATTTCATCATTGGTAGCACTGTCAGTTGTTTTTCTTGATGTGACCGACTCAGTTCATTTTTGAAACAATGTCTGCCAGCTACCCAAGTCTGAATAATAATAATTTGGCTGGGCGTAGTGGCTCACACCTATAATCCCAGCACAACATGGTGAAACCCCATCTCTGCTAAAGGCACAAAAATTAGCCCAGTGTAGTGGTGTGCACCTGTAATCCCAGCTACTTGGGATGCTGAGGCATGAAAATTGTTTGAATCCAGGAGGCAGAGGTTGCAGTGAGCCAAGATTGCGCCACTGCACTCTATCCTGGGCGACGGAGTGAGACTCAGTCTCAAAATAATAATAAATTGTTCTTGGTTCTTCCATGTATAAATGGTGTTCCATGACAGGTGGTGGTTGGCTCATCCCACAACTCCATCTCTGAGAGCCTTTCCAGAGGTAACCATTGGATTTATGATTAATCTAAACACTTTATCCATTCTTCTCATTTTGACACACAGAATATTAAGAAGAAATATATTCAACGGTTGAGATTTAATAAAATTGATCATTTTTACTGCTTCAACAAGGACATTCTGAAATGAAACTGTGGCCAGGTGTGGTGGCTCACACCTATAATCTCAACACTTTGAGAGGCCAAGGTGGGAGGATCGCTTGAGCCCAGGAGTTCGAGACAAGCCAGGGCAACATAGTGAGGACCTCATCTTTACCAAAAATAAATAAATAAATAAATAAACATTAGCCGGGCATGGTGGTACACACCTGTAGTCCCAGCTACTTGGGAGGCTGAGGTGGGAGGGTTACTTGAGCCTGGGAGTTCGAGGCTTCAATGAGCCCAGATTGTCACTGCACTCCAGCCTAGGCGACAGAGCAAGAATCTCTCTCAAAATAATAATAGAAAGAAAGAAAGAGAAAGCAAGCAAGCAAGAAGGAAAGAGAAACAAAACTTGCCTTTCCTTTTTTTTTTTTTTTTTTTACCATGAGCACATACTGGTGCCAGTTTTCTATCTGTTGCCTCCCAGTTCCAAATCCATTTATTGCACCGCTTGCTACCAGATGTGGAACTGGCAAACATTTCTTCTTTGCCAGTAGAGGGCGCCGGAGGGACACCACAGGAGGAAGGGGCTTGTCCTGGTTCCTCCTCTGTCCCACCCCCGTGGCAGGCAGCCCTGCACCGGACACACAGTGGCATTCAACTTCCTGCCTGCCAGCCCCAGTGTGTGGTTCCCAGCCTGACAACCTTGGCACCCCAGCACCCCAGCAGGAGGGGTTTCTGCTTGTGGTCCCCTGGCCACCAGCCTCGGCCAGCTGGTTGTGGACCAGCCGTGACCTGGGGCAACCCAGCCAACCTCACCGTCCAATGGGCTGCAGCCACCTCTCTCCAGTGAGGTCTGAGACCCAGCCTTAACGAGGCTACCCCCTTCCAGGTTTGTTCTTTCTCTGGGCTCTCTCCCTCACCCTTTGGGTGTTTTTTGGTTGTTGTTGTTTGCGTGTGTGTGTGTGTGTATGTGTGTGTGTTTGTGTGTTGAGACAGAGTCTCCCTCTGTCACCCAGGCTGGAGTGCACTGGCATGATCTCGGCTGACTGCAACCTCTGCTTCCCGGGTTCAAGCGATTCTCCTGCCTCAGCCTCCCAGGTAGCTGAGACTACAGTTGCGTGCCACCACACCCAGCCAATTTTTATATTTTTAGGAGAGACGGAGTTTCACTATGTTGGCGAGGCTGGTCTCGAACTCCTGACCTCTTGATCTGCCTGCCTCAGCCTCCCAAAGTGCTGGGATTACAGGCGTGAGCCACCACGCCCGGCCCCATGGGTGTTTTTTAGAGCTCTCTTTGATTCACACTTAGTCACAATCCCCTGTAAATAGTTCATTTTTCTGTTAAAACTTCCCTGTTTAAATGACTCTGTGGTTTCCGCCTTGTGAGTGGATCCCGATCGATGTAGCATTATTACAAGAGGGGTGCCTGGAGATAGATCCACAAGGATAGCATTTGGGGACTGGTTTGTCCATGCCCTTGGGTTTGAGCTTTGTCTGAGCTCCAAGGGAATGGGAACTGGACGTCGGTAATCTGTGATGTGCTGTGGCATCGAGTTAATCAGACTGTTGCCTACAGCTTGTCTTTATAAAGTACCAACTCCAGCGCATGTCCCGGGAGCCCAAGTGGCTGCTGTACTTGACTGTGATGTCAATAACGATGACTGTAAGGGCTGTGGCGTGGGACGGATTCTTCTCAGTGCACTGCGTCACTTCCAGAAAGAAAACCACAGGCTTGGCTAGGCATGGTGGCTCACGCCTATAATCCCAGCACTTTGGGAGGTGAAGGTGGGTGGATCACAAGGTCAGGAGAGCGAGACCATCCTGGCCAACACGGTGAAACCCTACCTCTACTAAAAAATTAGCTGGGCGTGGTGGTGCACACCTGTAGTCCCAGCTACTCAGGAGACTGAGGCAGGAGAATTGCTCGAACCTGGGAGGCAGAGGTTGCAGTGAGCCGAGATCGCGCCACTGCACTCCAGCCTGGTGACAGAGCGAGACTCCGTCTCAAAAAAAAAAAAAAAAAAAAAAAAAAAAGTTCCAAGAACTGATAAGTGATTTTAGAAAGGGAGTAGAATACAAATCAATGTACTGTTTCTAAAATGCATGTGGGCCGGGCTGGGCACGGTGGCTCACGCCTGTAATCCCAGCATTTTGGGAGGCCAAGGTGGGCAGATCACTTGAGGTCAGGGGTTCGAGACCAGCCTGGCCAATATGGTGAAACCCAGTCTCTACTAAAAAAACAAAAATTAGCTGGGCGTGGTGGCAGGCACCTGTAATCCCAGTTACTCAGGAGGCTGAGGTGGGAAAATCACTTGAACCGTGGAGGCAGAAGTTGCAGTGAGCTGAGATCATACCACTGCACTCCAGCTGGGGCAACACAGCGAGACTTCATCTTGGGGGAAAAAAGGCACTTAATAGAATGAAAAGATAAGCCATAAATTGGGAGAGAGTCTTTGCGATAATAAGAGTAACAAAAACAATAATAATATCTGGGTCAGGCGGAGTGGCTCATGCCTGTAATCCCAGCACTTTGGGAGGCTGAGGCAGGCAGGTCACTGGAGCCCAGGAGTTCAAGACCAGCCCGGCCAACATGGTGAAACTCTGCCTCTACTAAAAATACAAAAAATTAGCCAGTCCTGGTGGCAGGCGCCTGTAATTCCAGCTACTTGGGAGGCTGAGGCAGAATTGCTTGAACCAGGCGGCAGAGGTTGCAGTGAGCCGAGATCTTGTCATTGCACTCCAGCCTGGGCAACAAGAGTGAAAGTCCATCTCAAAAAAAAATAAATAGGCTGGGCGCGGTGGCTCACACCTGTAATCCCAGCACTTTGGGAGGCCGAGGTGGGCAGATCACGAGGTCATGAGATCGAGACCATCCTGGCTAACACGGTGAAACGCTGTCTCTACTAAAAATACAAAAAAATTAGCTGGGTGTGGTGGCGGGTGCCTGTAGTCCCAGCTACTCAGGAGGCTGAGGCAGGAGAATGGCGTGAACCTGGGAGGCAGAGCTTGCAGTGAGCTGAGATCACACCACTGCACTCCAGCCTGGGCAGCAGAGTGAGACTCCATCTCAAAAAAAAAAAAAAAAATTAGCCAGGTGTGGTTGCGGGCGCCTGTAGTCCCAGCTACTTGGGAGGCTGAGGCAGGAGAATGGCGTGAACCCAGGAGACGGAGCTTGCAGTGAGCCGAGATAGTGCCACTGCACTCCAGCCTGGGCAACAGAGCAAGACTCCGTCTCAAAAAAATATATATATATATAATATATATATTATATATATATATATGGAGCAGAAAAAGCCTTTGTTGGACGAATTTACAAAGCTTGTGCAAATGTAAGGTGTTTAAAGCCTATGGTTGCTGGGCACGGTGGCTCACGCCTGTAATGCCAGCACTTTGGGAGGCTGAGGCGGGTAGATTGCCTGAGGTCAAGAGTTCAAGACCAGCCTGGCCAACATGATGAAACCCCATCTCTACTAAAAATACAAAATTTAGCCGGACATGGTGGCACATGCCTGTAATCCCAGCTACTCAGGAGGCTGAGGCAGGAGAATCGCTTGTACCCAGGAGGCGGAGGTTGCAGTGAGTGGAGATCGCGCCGCTGCCCTCCAGCCTGAGCGATAAGGGAGACTCCATCTCAAAAAAAAAAAAAAAAAGCCTATGGTTATTAACTGTATGATTCATCAGCAGGTACTTTGCACACATTTTTGAATCTGTCATAAGATATTGAACCAGTACTGTCAATTGTGAACTTCATTTGCTTGTGTGGATTTAACTGTCAGTTCCATAAATTTTTGTTAGAAATACAAGCTGAATATCCTGACTTGCCATGCCATACAGTAGTTTGATGTCTTGGAAGTGCTAAATTTTATGGTTTTGATTTGTTTTGTTTTTTTGAGACAGGGTCTCACTCTGTCACCCAGGTTGGAGTGCAGTGGTGTGATCTTGGCTCACTGCAACCTCTGCCTCTCATGCTCAGGCGACCCTTCCACCTAAGGTTACTTCCCTAAGAAACTGGGACTACACACATGTGCCACCACGCCTGGCTAGTTTTTGCATTTTTTGCAGAGACAGGGTTTTGCCATGTTGCCCGGGCTGGTCTTGAACTCCTGGGCTCAAGTAATCTGCCTGTGTCAGCCTCCCAAAGTGCTGGGGTTATACGTATGAGCCACCACACACAGACATATGGTTTTTAACTCCGGGCTGAGATTGAATTTTTTTTTCTTTTCTTTTCTTTTTTTGTTTGAGACTGAGTCTCACTCTGTCACCCAGGCTGGAGTGCAGTGGTGCTATCTCAGCTCACTGCAATCTCTGCCTCCCGAGTTCAAGGGATTTTCCTGCTTCAGCCTCCCAAGTAGCTGGGATTACAGGTGCCCGCCACCACACCTGGCTAATTTTTTTTTGTATTTTTAGTAAGGACGGGGTTTCACTGTGTTGGCCAGGCTGGTCTCGAACTCCTGACCTCAGGTAATCCACCTGCTTCGGCCTCCCAGATTGCGGGTATTACAGGCTTGAGCCACTGCACCCAGCCTGAAATTTTTCTAAATAAGAACCGGGCCAGGTGCAGTGGCTCACACCTGTGTTACCAGCACTTTAGGAGGCCGAGGTGGGCAGATCACTTGAGGACCATCCTCACTAACATGGTGAAACCCCGTCTCTACTAAAAATACAAAAAATTAGCCAGGCTTGGTGGCGGGCACCTGTAGTCCCAGCTACTCCGGAGGCTGAGGCAGGAGAATCGCTTGAACCTGGGGAGGTGGAGGTTGCAGTGAGCCTAGATCATGCCACTGCACTCTAGTCTGGGCGACAGAGCGAGACTCCGTCTCAACAACAACAACAACAAAGAAGAACCACACATAACCACTGCTATCAAACACTGAGAGGCTTTGTTAGCTAGCTTTTGAAGCAGTTTTGATAATATCTCTTAATAATTCAACCTAAAATTATAAGGCAAAACAGCACGTATATGTTTAACGTATGCTGCTGTAAAGTAACTTCATTGATGGTATATTGTTTGAATCACAAGCGATGTCAAGCTGCCTTATACACAGCCCATAATATCAAAGTTAAAACAAGGAGCAAGATGTCCATTCCCATATAAATTTTTAGGAGCTACATTTCCAATCTCAAACTGCAGTTCCAGTAGCATTTTTAGGACTTCAGTGAAATTGAGACACATCTCAAGTGATTAAACCATAATGTAGTGACATGCTAAAAGGCAGATAGCAAGAGAAAAATCCAATCCAAATAGATTTTTTTTTTTTTTTTTGAGACACGGTCTTGCTCTGGTGCCCAGGCCAGAGTGCAGTGGCACCATCTCAGCTCACTGCAACTTCTACCTCCCAGGTTCAAATGATACTGAGCATCAAGTAGCTGGAATTACAGGCACACGCCACCAGGCCTGGCTGATTTTTTTGTATTTTCAGTAGAGAGGGGGGTTTTGCCGTGTTGCCTAGGCTGGTCTGGGACTCCTGGCCTCGAGTGATCCACCTACCTCGGCCTCCCAAAGTGCTGGGATTAAGTGAGCCACCGCACCTGGCCAGAGTCCAAATAGAATTCTATAAATGCCTTTCAAATGATGAATGTGCTCGTGACATCATATGCTTGTGGATTGCTATCTGTATTTGGCAATACCTATCTTCAGGAAAAACTATTTTTGCCAAATCTCATTACAGATTAGAATTAACAGATAAACATTTGTCATAGACTTTGATGATAGGGAACACTAACTTTGTTCTTTTTTTTTTTTTTTTTTCTGAGATAGAGTCTCGCTCTGTCACCCAGGGTGGAGTGCAGTGGTGTGATCTCGGCTCACTGCCACCTCTGCCTCCTGAGTTCAGGCAATTCACATGCCTGAGCCTCTCCAGTAGCTGGGATTACAGGCATGCGCCACCATGTCTGGGTAATTTTTGTATTTTTAGTAGAGTCTGGGTTTTGCCATGTTGGTCAGTCTGGTCTCAAACTCCTGGCCTCAAGTGATCTGCCCGCCTCGGCCTCCCAAAGTGCTGGAATTACAGGCGTGAGCCACTGTGCCCTGCCATAATATACTACTTTTTATCTGTTGTCCTACAACACCTAAAATATTTACTATTTGGCCCTTTACAAAAAACATTTGCCAACCCCTGCTCTAGAAAATGCAAATCAGGTCAGGCATGGTGGCTCACACCTATAATCCCAGCACTTTGGGAGTCTGAGGTAGGCAGATCACCTGAGCTCAGGAGTTCGAGACCAGCCTGGCCAATGTGGTGAAACCCCGTTTCTACTAAAAATACAAAAATTACCTGGGTGTGGTAGTGGGTGCCTGTAATCCCAGCCACTTGGGAGGCTGAGGCAGGAGAATTGCTTGAACCTGGGAGGCGGAGGTTGCAGTGAGCTGAGACTGTACCATTGCACTCCAGCCTGGGTGACAAGAGCAAAACTCCATCTCAAAAAGAAAAAAAGAAAATGCAAATCAACCTATGGTGACAGAAAGCAGATCAGTGGTTTCTTGGGTATGAGGGGTCAGAGAGAGGCAGGTGGGAGAGATTACAGTCACAAGGAGACTTCTGCGTGATGCATACCTTCGCTATCATGATTGTGGTAATGACTTCACGGCTATAGATATAAAATATATGTCAAAACATCAAATTCTGGCTGGACACAGTGGCTTATGCCTGTAATCCCAGCACTTTGGGAGGCTGTGGCAGGAAGATTTGCTTGAGGCCAGGTGTTTGAGACTAGCTTGGGCAATATTGTGAGACCATGTCTCCACCAAAAAAAGGTTTTTTTGGTTTTTTTTTTTTAATTAGCTGGGCATGGTTGTGCACACTTGTAGTCCCAGCTACTCTGAAGGCTGAGGTGGGAGGATGGTTTGAGCCCAGGAGTCCGAGGCTGCAGTGAGCTATAATTGCACCAGCGCACTCCAGCCTGAGCAACAGAGCAAGACCTTGTTAAAAATAAATAAATAAATAAGCTGCGCGCAGTGGCTCACACCTGTAATCCCAGCACTTTGGGAGGCTGAGGCAGGTAGATCACCTGAGGTCAGGAGTTCGAGACCAGCCCGGCCAACATGGTGAAACCCCATCTCTACTAAAAATACAAAAATTAGCCAGGTGTGGTGGCGTGCATCTGTAATCCCAGCTACTCGGGAGGCTGAGGGAGGAGAATTGCTTGAGCCCGGGAGGCAGAGGTTGCAGTGAGCCAAGATCACACCACTGTACTTCTGCCTGGTTGACAGAGCAAGACTCCATCTCAAAAAAATAAACAAAAAACTTGCTCTAGTAGCCAAAAACCTAAGTTGAGTTGCCATAGTGAAGAGTTGTAGTCTCTCGCCTGGATTTTAGACCTAAGTCAGCATAGATCCAGAGTCACTTAATTGGAGAGAAGTTTGGTTCTCCCTGAGAGAGGAACATGCCCTGTTTACTAGAGTGTGCATCAGGGAGAAGAAAATACCCAACCTTTTGAGGATTCCTAGACATTGGCTCTGAATTAACGCCAAGTCCTGAGGATCCAAAATGCCACTGTGGCTCATCACTAAAAGTAGGGGCTTAAAGATAGATGGTCAGGTGCTAGATGGAGTCTTAGCTCAGCCCCAACTCACAGAGGGCTCCGTTGATCTATGGTCCCACCCTGTGGTTATTTCCAAATTCCTGAGAGTATAATAGGAATAGCCATCTATGGCAACTGACAAATCTCCACACTGGCTCTCCCACCCATGGAGTGAGAGAATCATGGTGGAAAGGGCTAAGGGAAAGTTCCTGTAACTTCCACTTCCTGTCAAGACAGTTAACCAGAGGGCTGGGCGCAGTGGCTTACACCTGTAATCCCAGCACTTTGGGAGGCCAAGGCAGGCGGATCACGAGGTCAGGAGATTGAGACCATCCTGGCTAACACGATGAAACCCCATCTCTACTACAAATACAAAAAATTAGCCAGGTGTGATGGCGGGCACCTGTAGTCCTAGCTACTCAAGAGGCTGAGGCAGGAGAATGGCGTGAACCCAGGAGGCAGAGGTTGCAGTGAGCCAAGATCATCCTACTGCACTCCAGCCTGGGCAACAGAGGGAGACTCTGTCTCAAAGAAAAAAAATTTTAAAAAGACAGTTAACCAGAAGCATTATCACATCCCTGGAGAGTCGCACAGACTAGTGCCACCCTCAAAGACTTACAAGGGGCCAGGTGGGGTGGCTCAGGCCTGTAATCCTAGCATTTTGGGAGGCCGAGGCGGGTGGATCACCTGACGTCAGGAGTTCGAGACCAACCTGGGCAACATGGTGAAACCCTATCTCTACTAAAAGTACAAAAATTAGCCGAGTGTGGTGGCAGGTGCCTGTAATCCTGGCTACTCAGGATGCTGAGGCAGGAGAATCCCTTGAACCTGGGAGGCAGAGGCTTCAGTGAGCTGAGATCATACCACTGTACTCCAGCCTAGGCAAAAGAGCGAAACTGTGTCTAAAAAAAAAAAAAAAAAAAAGACTTGAATGGGCAGGCGTTTGGCATATGCTGGTTGGATGGATCTTAGAGAATGACTGTGGACTATGGGAAACTCATTTAGATGGTGACTCCAATTGCAGCTGCTGCCTCACATGTGGTATCTTTAGACAGCAGAAGAAATCAACATGACCCCTAGTGTGGTGCAATGATGTATTAAAGACTCAGTTAAGGCAAGATGTGGTGGCTTACACCTGTAATCCCAGCACTTTGGGAGGCCAAATCACTTGAGGTCAGGAGTTTGAGACCAGCCTGGCCAACATGTAAAACCCCATCTCCACTAAAAATATGAAAATTAGCCAGGCGTGGTGGCGCATGCCTGTAATACCAGCTACTCTGGAGGCTGAGGCAGGAGAATCACTTGAATCTGGGAGGTGAAGGTTGCAGTGAGCCAAGATCATGCCACTGCCCTCCAGCCTGGGCAACAGAGCAAGACTCTATCTCAAAAAAATAAAGACTCAGTTAAGGCACCACTGGAGAGACCACACCCCAGAAAGAATGGTTTGGGTTTTTTACCCCGCACAGAGGCTGGGATTCTTTTTTATAGCATGCACACTACTATCTTTTTTTTTTTTTTTTTGAGACAGAGTCTCACTCCTGTTGCCCAGTCTAGAGCGCAATGGGGTGATCTCAGCCCACTGCAACCTCCACCTCCTTGGTTCAAGAGATACTGCTGCCTCAGCCTCCTGAGTAGCTAGGATTACAGGCATGCGCCACCACGCCTGGCTAATTTTTTTTTTTTTTTTTTTTTTGCATTCCTAAAGTGCAAACTTTATTTGAGTTTTTTTTTTTTTAATTTATTTTTTTATTGATAATTCTTGGGTGTTTCTCACAGAGGGGGATTTGGCAGGGTCATGGGACAATAGTGGAGGGAAGGTCAGCAGATAAACAAGTGAACAAAGGTCTCTGGTTTTCCTAGGCAGAGGACCCTGCGGCCTTCCGCAGTGTTTGTGTCCCTGATTACTTGAGATTAGGGATTGGTGATGACTCTTAACGAGCATGCTGCCTTCAAGCATCTGTTTAACAAAGCACATCTTGCACCGCCCTTAATCCATTTAACCCTGAGTGGACACAGCACATGTTTCAGAGAGCACAGGGTTGGGGGTAAGGTCACAGATCAACAGGATCCCAAGGCAGAGGAATTTTTCTTAGTGCAGAACAAAATGAAAAGTCTCCCATGTCTACTTCTTTCTACACAGACACGGCAACCATCCGATTTCTCAATCTTTTCCCCACCTTTCCCGCCTTTCTATTCCACAAAGCCGCCATTGTCATCCTGGCCCGTTCTCAATGAGCTGTTGGGCACACCTCCCAGACGGGGTGGTGGCCGGTCAGAGGGGCTCCTCACTTCCCAGTAGGGGTGGCCGGGCAGAGGCGCCCCTCACCTCCCGGATGGGGCGGCTCGCCGGGCAGGGGGGCTGACCCCCCCCACCTCCCTCCCGGACGGGGCGGCTGGCCGGGCGGGGGGCTGACCCCCCAACCTCCCTCCCGGACGGGGCGGCTGGCCGGGCAGAGGGGCTCCTCACTTCCCAGTAGGGGCGGCCGGGCAGAGGCGCCCCTCACCTCCCGGGCGGGGCGGCTGGCCGGGCGGGGGGGCTGACCCCCCCCACCTCCCTCCCGGACGGGGCGGCTGGCCGGGCAGAGCGGCTCCTCACTTCCCAGTAGGGGCGGCCGGGCAGAGGCGCCCCTCACCTCCCGGACGGGGCGGCTGGCCGGGCGGGGGGGCTGACCCCCCCCACCTCCCTCCCGGACGGGGCGGCTGGCCGGGCAGAGGGGCTCCTCACTTCCCAGTAGGGGCGGCCGGGCAGAGGCGCCCCTCACCTCCCGGACGGGGCGGCTGGCCGGGTGGGGGGGCTGACCCCCCCATCTCCCTCCCGGACGGGGTGGCTGGCCAGGCTGAGGGGCTCCTCACTTCCCAGTAGGGGCGGCCGGGCAGAGGCGCCCCTCACCTCCCGGACGGGGCGGCTGGCCGGGTGGGGGGCTGACCCTCCCACCTCCCTCCCGGACGGCATGGCTGGCCAGGCGGGGGGCTGACCCCCCCACCTCCCTCCCGGATGGCACGGCTGGCCAGGCGGAGGGGCTGACCCCCCACCTCCCTCCCGGATGGGGCGGCTGGCTGGGCGGGGGGCTGACCCCCCCCACCTCCCTCCCGGACGGGGTGGCTGCCGGGCGGAGACGCTCCTCACTTCCCAGATGGGGTGGCTGCCGGGCGGAGACACTCCTCACTTCCCAGATGGGGTGGCTGCCGGGCGGAGAGGCTCCTCACTTCTCAGACGGGGCAGCTGCCGGGCGGAGGGGCTCCTCACTTCTCAGACGGGGTGGTTGCCAGGCAGAGGGTCTCCTCACTTCTCAGACGGGGCGGCCGGGCAGAGACGCTCCTCACCTCCCAGACGGGGTCTCGGCCGGGCAGAGGCGCTCCTCACATCCCAGATGGGGCGGCGGGGCAGAGGCGCTCCCCACATCTCAGACGATGGGCGGCCGGGCAGAGACGCTCCTCACTTCCTAGATGTGATGGCGGCTGGGAAGAGGCGCTCCTCACTTCCTAGATGGGATGGCGGCCGGGCGGAGACGCTCCTCACTTTCCAGACTGGGCAGCCAGGCAGAGGGGCTCCTCATATCCCAGACGATGGGCGGCCAGGCAGAGACACTCCTCACTTCCCAGACGGGGTGGCGGCCGGGCAGAGGCTGCAATCTCGGCACTTTGGGAGGCCAAGGCAGGCGGCTGGGAGGTGTAGGTTGTAGTGAGCCGAGATCACGCCACTGCACTCCAGCCTGGGCACCATTGAGCACTGAGTGAACGAGACTCCGTCTGCAATCCCGGCACCTCGGGAGGCCGAGGTTGGCGGATCACTCGCGGTTAGGGGCTGGAGACCGGCCCGGCCAACACAGCGAAACCCCGTCTCCACCAAAACCAGTCAGGCGTGGCGGCGCGTGCCTGCAATCGCAGGCACTCGGCAGGCTGAGGCAGGAGAATCAGGCAGGGAGGTTGCAGTGAGCCGAGATGGCAGCACTACAGTCCAGCTTCGGCTCCGCATGAGAGGGAGACCGTGGGGAGAGGGAGACGGAGACGGAGACGGAGACGGAGAGGGAGAGGGAGAGGGAGAGGGAGAGGGAGAGGGCATGAAAATAGGAAATGTGAATCCTCCAACTTTTTTTTTTGGAGACGGAGTCTCGCTCTGTTGCTCAGACTGGAGTGCAGTGGCACTATCTCAGCTCACTGCAAACTCCATCTTCCAGGTTCAAGTGATTCTCCTGCCTCAGCCTACCAAGTATCTGGGACTACAGGCAGGTGCCACCATGCCCGGCTAATTTTTGTATTTTTAGTAGAGATGGGGTTTCACCATGTTGGCCAGGCTGGTCTTCAACTTCTGACCTCAAGTGATCCACCCTCCTCAGCCTCCCAGCGTGCTGGGATTACGGGTGTGAGCCACCTCATCCAGCCTCTTTTTTTTTTCTTTTAATATCTAAAATCCTTTTTAGAACATCATTGCTGTTTGCCAAATAGAAGACACAGACAGCAGATGAACAGTGGAAACAGAACCCGGTGACCTGAGCCACCTAGTGGCTGGGGACCCTCCCCTCTACCTGGCGGACCAGCCTGGCGACCTCTGCCCCTCCCCGGGCCCCTGGGCCTTTGGCATGATGCTGATGGGGCGCTGTGGGCAGTGAAGTCCCTTGACTCAAAGCAGAGACTTGAATGGGTGCTGGAGAGTGGGGACAGTGGAGAGGGCGGGGAGGGGGAGAGGGCAGGGAAGGCCTGGCAGGCCCCCAGGGCTAGGGGGAGCAGCGGAAGTGGAGGAAGCCAGGAGCTGGGGAGATGGTGTCTATTTTTGTTTTCTGAAAAGGGGCGCCTAGGGGCTTGCACACAGGTGGCAGCTGCAGCTGGGGTGGGTCACGCACTGACATCCCCGCCTGTCTTGGGAACAGCTTCCAGCAGCCGGTCCCTGAACACTCCTCCTCTCCCTCCTTGGCCTCGCTGACCTCAGAGTTGGGGACCCGGAGGCCGGCGTCGATACACTGCTGCATGGGGAACTTGGCCTTGGTGGGGTCCATCTTGCTGCATTTGCGCGTCCTTCGCATTGAAGCCCTTTTGGAGTTCCTCAGGGGGGAACTCGTCACCTCCACGGGTTCCAGGCCATCAGGGCCAAGCTGCTTCTTGAGCTCCTCCTCCTAGTACTCCTGCTCCACCTGCTTTCTAGACGCGCAGCTTGGCGCAGCCCCGCACAGGCTCCGTGGAGGCTTCCAGCTCGTCCTTGAAGCTCTCCATGCACTAGCAGTCAGCCGTCTGAATCTCAGTGAAGAACTGCCAGAAGCAGACCCGGGGGACCCCTTCCGGCTCCTGACCAACACCAGGTTGAACTGCGTGACAATTGCCTAGTGGACCACCTGCTCCATGAGGGCGCATTTCTCCTGCACCTCTAGATCAGCACACCAGATGACCAGGTAGTTGACCATCTTCTCATCAGGCTTGGTGTTCACCATGCTCCTGCTAAAGCCGTCTTTTCTTTTTTTTTTTTGAGACGGAGTCTTGCTCTGTCGCCCAGGCTGGTGTGCAATGGCATGATCTTGGCTCACTGCAGCCTCCGCCTCCCGGGTTCAAGCGATTCTCCTGCCTCAGCCTCCCGAGCAGCTGGGATTACAGGCGCCCACCACCACGCTCAGCTACTTTTTGTATTTTTGTAGAGACGAGGTTTCGCCATGTTGGTCAGGCTGGTCTCAAACTCCTGACCTCAAGTGATCGCCCCGCATCAGCCTCCCAAAGTGCTGGGATTACAGGTGTGAGCCACCTCACCCAGCCTGAAACTGCTTTTGCTGAGCGTGTCCACGTTCCAGGTCATGCTCTTTTTCTTGGGCATCTCCTCCAGCTTTTGCTCCCAGCTCAGCTCCTCGTGTAGCCACTCCACCTCCACCCTGGCACCCTCTGACACCTCCAGCTCCTTCAGCTTCCTCTGGCACTCGGCCATCTTGCACTTGTACTCCCAGCAGCCCCTGTCCAGTTCCTCCTTCTCCTTCTGGAACTGCTCCATGAGCTCCACCCGGGCTTGGTGCTGCCAGCGGAAGAGGTTAGCCCGGTGGGTGTTGGGATGCCTCTCCTCTTCATCATCGCTCAGTGTGGCCCCACACGCTGTAGTCCAACATTTTGCCTCTGCGACCCAGCTAACTCCCTGAACAGTGGTTCTCAGTGAGGTAGTACTGCCCCCTAGGGCCATTTTGGAAGCTTGTTTGTGGGGGCTTTGATCTCACTGTGAATGTGACAATGTCCTTAGAGGGAGAGAGCAAAGCCATCCTGCCATGCACAGTATGGTCCTGGATGAAGAGAGATTCTTCTACGTTTGAGTGGTTTTTTTAATATCCCCGCCAGACATCCAACAATATGTGCTAAGAATCTAACTTCATTTTACATATGAACCCAAAGTCGCTTGTTTTGTTTTGTTTTAGATAGAGAGTCTTGCTTGGTCACTCAAGCTGGAGTGCAGTGGCGCGATCTCAGCTCACTGCAACCTCCGCCTCCCAGCTTCAAGCGATTCTCCTGCCTCTGCCTCTTGAATAGCTGGGATTACAGGCATGCACCACCAAACCTAGCTAATTTTTGTATTTTTAGTAGAGACAGGGTTTCGCCATGTTGGCCAGGCTGGTCTCGAACTCCTGACCTCAGGTAATCTGCCCGCCTCAGCCTCCCAAAGTGCTGGGATTACAGGCATGAGCCACTGCGCCCAGCCTAAACCCAAAGTATTTCTTGCTTGGTTTTAATATACACTGAATTTTTCAAGAATTCGACTATCGTGTATTAGTATGAACTAAATGTTTGTGTTCTCCTGCCAAATGCATATGTTGAAGCCCTAATCCCCAATGTCATAGCATTTGAAGGTGAGAAGGTGAGGCCCTTGGAAGGTAATTGGGGCTAGATTACGTCATGAGGGTGGGAGACTTCATGATGGTATTAATGCCCTCACAGAAAGAGAACGAGACAAGCAATCTCTTTCTCCACCAAGTGGGGATATAGCAAGAAGGCAGCTGTGAGCAAACCAGAAACAGAGCCCTCACCAGACACCAAATCGGTTTTGCCAGCACCTTAATCTTGGACTTCCCAGCCTCCAGAACTGTGAAAAATAAATATTGTTTTTTAAGCCACCCTGTTTATGGTATTTTGTTATAGCAGCCTGAGCTGACTAAAATCTCAGGTCATTGAAGGAAGATGTATTTTGCTTCGTTGGGATCTTTACCAAGAGCTGTACTTGGACAATTCCTTTACTGAAGGCAACACACACATTAAAATCCATTGCTTACCAGCTGCACTGCAGTGCCTCAGTCACCATGATTCTAAGTATAAAAATGCTAAGTATAGGCCAGGTACAGTATCTCATGCCTGTAATTTCACCACTTTGGGAGGCTGAGGCACTCAGATCACTTGAGATCAGGAGTTCGATTCCAGCCTGGCCAACATGGTGAAACCCTGTCTCTACTAAAGATACAAAAATTAGCTTAGCATGATGGTGTGTGCCTGTAATCCCAGCTACTTGGGAGGCTGAGGCAGGAGAATCGCTTGAACCTGGGAGGCAAAGGTTGCAGCGAGCTGCACCATTGCACTCCAGCCTGGGCAACAAGAGTGAAACTCCATCTCAAAAAAAAAAAAAAAAAAAAAAAAACTAGCTACTAGCTATATGCTATTTCAAGATGTATATAAATATCATTATTATACAGAAATATTGAAAAGCAATTAATAAAAAAATACATCAGGCCAAAACCAACTAAAATGAAGTTGGAAAGCTATATTAGTATCAGAAAAAATAGACTCACAAAAAGTATTACTGCAGATAAAGAGTGTCATCTCATAATAATAAAATAGTCCCAGCCTGTCCAACATGGCGAAACCCCGTCTCTACTAAAAAATACAAAAATTAGCTGGGTGTGGTGCCACGTTCCTGTAATCCAAGCTACTTGGAAGGCTGAGGCAGGAGAATCACTTGAACCTTGGGGGTGGAGGTTACAGTGAGCCGAGATTGTGCCAGTGCACTCCAGCCTGGGTGACAGAGTGAGACTCCATCTCAAAAAATAAATAAAAAATAAAATAAAATATTCAATTTAACAGGGATGTATAACAAAAACTACTCTGTACCTAATAATAAAAATTTAAAACATATGATGTAAATATTGAAAAAAATGTTGATACAAGCTTTATTTATAATATGGCCAGGTATGGTGGCTCACACCTGTAATCCTAGCACTTTGGGAGGCCAAGGTGGGAGGATCACCTGAGGTCAGGATTTCCAGACCAGCCTGGCCTGGTCTCTACTAAACATGGTGAAACCCCATCTCTACTAAAAATACAAAAATTAGCCAGGTGTGATGATGCACGCCTGTAATCTAAGCTAATTGGGAGGCTGAGGCACGAGAACCTCTTGAACCTGGGAGGCGGAGGTTGCAGTGAGCCAAGATCATGCCACTGCACTTCATCATGGAGGACACAATGAGACTCCATCAAAAAAAAAAAAATCTACAGGAGAATGAATACATTGTGGTATCGATCGTCATTCAATTGAAAACCATTCAGGAATTTAAAAAGAATGACTGGGCTGGGCGCGGTGACTTACGCCTGTAATTCCAGCACTTTGGGAGGCCAAGGTGGGCAGATCACCGGAGGTCAGTAGTTCGAGACCAACCTGACCAACATGGAGAAAACCAGTCTCTACTAAAATTGTAAAATTAGCTAGGTGTGGTGGTGCATGCCTGTAATCCCAGCTACTCATGAGGCTGAGGCAGGAGAATCGCTTAAACCCGGGAGGCAGAGGTTGCAGTGAGCCAAGATTGCGCCATTGCACTCCAGCCTGGACAACAAAAGCAAAACTCCATCTCAAAAAACAAACAAACAAACAAAAAAGAATGTCCTACCATACTGGTGCACTTAACACGGATGAATCTCATAATAAGTATTATGGTCAACAATAGAAGCCAGGTACAAAAAAGGATATGCCTTATGATTCTATTTATATGAAGCTCAAGAACCGGCAAAACTGGCCAGGCGTGGTGGCTCACGCTTGTAATCCCATGCTTTGGGAGGCTGAGGCAGGATGATTGCTTGAGGCCAGGAGTTCGAGACCAGCCTGGGAACATAGTGAGGCCCCCCCCGTCTCTACAAAAAACAAAAACCCCACAAAAAACATTAGCTGAACTCGGTGGTGTACACCTGTGGTCCTGGCTACTTGGGAGGCTGAGACAGGAGGATCCCTTAAACCCAGGAGTTCAAGGCTGCTGCAGTGAGCTGGGATCTTGCAATTGCACACCAGCCTGGGCAAGAGAGTGAGATCTTGTCTCTAGTAAAAAAAAATCAAAAAACAGGCAAAACTAATAGATGATGATAGACACCAAACCAGTGATTGATTAGTGCAGCTGATTCATTTAGCTATATGTATGTTGTCTTTTAATAATTACAATAATAGGCAGAGTGTGGTGGCTTATGCCTGTAATCCCAGCATCCTGGGAGGCCGAGGCAGGCAGATCACTTGAGGCTAGGAGTTTGAGACCAGCGTGGCCAACATGGTGAAACCCTGTCTCTACTAAAAATATAAAAATTAGTTGGGTGTGGTGGTGCATGCCTGTAATCCCAGCTACTCCAGTGGCTGAGACAGGAAAATTGCTTGAGCCTTGGAGGCGGAGGTTGCAGTGAGCAGAAATCGTGCCACTGCACTCACACCTGGGCGACACAGCAAGGCTCTGTTTCCAAACGAAAAATTTATAATAATAATAGAAACATATCATTGAACATGTACTATGTGAAATGCACTGAGGGGATACTAAGACATTCCTGTCTTCAAGGTACTTGAGGTCTATTTGAGAAAATTAAACACAAAGCAAAATACAATAAAATTGTGTGTATCAGAAAGTTATATTATCTGTGAATTTCATAGTCTTGACTTTTCTTTTTTTTTTTTTTTTTGAAATGGAGTCTCGCTCTGTCGCCAGGCTGGAGTGTAGTGGCGTGATCTCGGCTCACTGCAACCTCCGCCTCCCAGGTTCAAGCGATTCTCCTGCCTCAGCCTCCCGAGTAGCTGAGACTACAGGCACGCGCTACCATTCCCAGCTAATTTTTGTATTTTTAGTAGAGTTGGGGTTTCACCATGTTGGCCAGGATGGTCTCTATCTCTTGACCTCGTGATCCTCCCACCTCGGCCTCCCAAAGTGCTGGGATTACAGGCATGAGCCACTATGCCCAGCCTGAATTTCAAAGTCTTTTGAGACATTTATTTTAGAAAGGGGATATTGAAGCCAGGCACATTGGCTCACACCTGTAATTCCAACACTTTGGGAGGCCAAGGCAGGAGGATTACTTGAGCCCAGGAGTTTGAGACCAGCCTGGACAACATAGCGAGAATCCATCTCTAAAAAAATTTAAAAAATGAATCTCAGCCAGGCACGGTGGCTCACGCCTGTAATCCCAGCACTTTGGGAGGCCAAGGTGGGTGGATCACTTGAGGTCAGGAGTTCAAGACCAGCCTGACCAACATGGTGAAACTCTGTCTCTACTAAAAATACAAAAATTAGTTGGATGTGGTGGTGCATGCCTGTAATTCCAGCTACTCACAAGGCTGAGGCAGGAGAATCGTTTGAACCCAGGAGGTGGAGGGTGCAGTGAGCCGAGATCACACCACTGCACTCCAGCCTGGGCAACAGAGCAAAACTCTATCTCAAAAAATAAAAAATAAAAATAAATAAGTCTCGTGTGGTGACGGGCGCCTGTAGTTCCAGGACAATGATTGTATCACTGCACTCCAGCCTGGGTGAAAGAGCAAGACCCTGTCTCAAAATAAATACATAAATAACAGTCCAACGTGGTGGCGTGCACCTGTAGTCCCAACTCGGGAGGCTGATATGGGAGGATCACTTGAGCTCAGGAGTTTGATGCTGCAGTGACCTATGATCACACCACTGCACTCCAGTCTGGGTGACAGAGTGACACCCTCTCTCAAATAGTAATAATAATAATTTTTAAGATTAAAAAAAGAAAGAAAAGGAAAAAATAAAAGAAAAAGGGGGGATATCAGTGGCTGGAGTTGCGTGAGTGAGGGGGAGTGTGGTACCCAGCATTTTGTCCCACAGAGGGGTTCCCATGGCACTCCCTCCCCTTTTCCCACGCTCTGTCCTCTCCTTCCGCTCAGTTCATTCCCCTTCTGCAATAAAATAATATACTTGGAAGCGTCTTCTGTGACCTGCGAGTTAGAGGACCTGGTTTCAGAATCTCATGCTGTCACAACAGAGCCCTCCCCCGCACTGCAGAGTCCTGCTTTTCTCATTTGTAAAATGAGGTTAGTAATAGCTGCTTTTCCTGCCCACCTATAAGTTTTCATGAGTTTCAAGCACCTCTATGCATTTGAAATTGTTATTCAAATGCCAGTTATGGTTATCATCTTCCTGCTTGCTGGCTGTGTTATTACAGGCACATGAAGAGAGTCAATCTGCTGTGAGAAATACGTACGCCCACATGAACTGGAGACACCAGACTGATCAAAGCTCTTCCAGGGTGTCGTTCCCACTCTGGGACCATTAAGGACCCCATCAGAATCTGGGTATTAACAAAATTCACCTATTAAATACACCCATGTTACGTTTGTCTCCAGTCACAGAGCCTACTACACTCATAAAGGAAGAAATTATTAGGTAAATTACTAGGTTTTCTTTCCCTTTTTTTTTTTTTTTTTTTTTTGGCGACAAGGTCTTGCTCTGTCGCCCAGGCTGGAGTGCAGTGGCAAGATCTTGGCTCACTGCAACCTCTGCCTCCTGGGTTCAAGCGATTCCCCTGCCTCAGCCTCCCAAGTAGCTGGGATTACAGGCGTGCACCACCATGCCCGGCTAATTTTTGCATTTTTAGTAGAGGTGGGGTTTCACGGTGTCAACTAGGCTGGTCTCGAGCTCCTGACCTCAGGTGATCCACCCGCCTCGGCCTCCCAAAGTGCTGGGATTACAGGTGTGAGTCACCATGCCCGACCTAGGATTTCTTTAAGTCAGCTGCCTTCATTCCCATTTTTCCTATTTACAAAATGAAGTTGAGGCCAAGCACAGTGGCTTAGTCTTGTAATCTCAGAGCTTTGGGAGGCCAATGCTAGAGAATTGCTTAAGGCCAGGAGTTCAAGATCAGCCTGGGCAATATAGTGAGACTCCATCTCTACAAAAAGTAAAAATATTAATTGGGTGTAGTGGTGTGTGCCTGTTGTCTCAGCTACTCAGGAGGCTGAAGTGGGAGGATCGCTTGAGGCCAGGAGTTTGAGGCTGCAGTGAGCCGTAATCACACCACTGCACTTCAGCCTGGGCAGCAGAAATTGCAAAAAAAGAAAAAAGAAAAAAGAAAAAAGAAAAAAAAGGCCGGGCGCGGTGGCTCACACCTGTAATCCCAGCACTTTGGGAGGCTGAGGTGGGCGGATCACAAGGTCAGGAGATCAAGACCATCCTGGCTAACACGGTGAAACCCCATCTCTACTAAAAATACAAAAAATTAGCTGGGCGTGGTGGCAGTTGCCTGTAGTCCCAGCTACTCGGGAGGCTGAGGCAGGAGAATGGCATGAACCCGGGAGGTGGAGCTTGCAGTGAGCCAAGATCGCGCCACTGCACTCCAGCCTAGGTGATGGAGCAAGACTCCGTCTCGAAAAGAAAAAAAAAAGACTAAGTTGAATTCACTCAAAAATTGTTGGAGTCTGGCTCTAAAACAACACATCTCTCAACAGTTTAGATAGCTGTGGAATAATGTTTGGGTTGGAATGCAAACTATCGATTTGACCTTAGACAGGTCACTTGACCTTTTAGGACATCAACATTCTCCTCTCTAAAGTGGAACAGTGTGGCCTGCCTTCTGGGGTTATTATGCTTTTTTTTTTTTTTTTAAATGGAGTTTTACTCTTGTTGCCCAGGCTGGAGTGCAATGGCGTGATCTCGGCTCACTGCAACCTCCACCTCCTGGGTTCAAGCAATTATCCTGCCTCAGCCTCCCAAGTAGTTGGGATTACAGGCATGTGCCACTACACCCAGCTAATTTTGTATTTTTAGCAGAGATGGGGTTTCACCATTGTTAGTCGAGCTGGTCTCGAACTCCTGACCTCAGGTGATCCACCCACCTCAGCCTCCCAATGTGCTGGAATTACGGGTGTGAGCCACCACACCCAGCCTATTATGAATACTTTTAAAAGGCAATCAGGCTGGGTGTGGTGGCTCATGCCTTTAATCCCAGCACTTTGGGAAGCAAAGGCAGGCGGACCACTTGAGGTCAGGAGTTCAAGGCCAGCCTGGCCAACATGGTGAGATCTCATCTCTACTAAAAGTACAAAAATTAGGTGTGGTGGCAGGCACCTGTGATCCCAGCTACTCAGGAGGCTGAGGCAGAAGTATCGCTTGAACCTAGGAGGCGGAGGTTGCAGTGAGCCAAGATTATGTCCAGCCTAGGCGACAGAGCAAGACTCTGTCTCAAAAACCAAACAAAAAAAAAGAGAATGAGACAGAGCCATATGCACTGATACAGAATGAGCTGCAAGATATATGATGAATAATGAAATAAGATGCAGGAAACAATGGTAGAGACAGATATGTTCCAGGTAGACGCACACACACACACACACATACCCTGATCTATATAATTCATATACATATATTGAATATATATATATACACACACACATATATATATACATACACACATACAATACATCTATCTATATCCTTTCTGTCTCTATCTAGTCATTTCTTGGTATCCTCAAGGGATTGGTTCTAGGATTCCTGGGAGATACCAAAACCTGTACATACTCAAGTCCCGCAGTTGCCCCTGTGGAACCTGTAGTTACAAAATTTGGGCCCTTGGTATACATGGGTTTCAAATCCAGTGAATACTGTTATTTTTGATTGACATTTCGTTCCAGATGTGGAACCCACCTGTATGGAGGATTGACTGTATTTATTGAATAAAATCCACATATACGTAGACCTACACATTCTTCAAGAGTCAACTCTGTGTGTGTGTGTGTATGTGTGTGTGTGTGTGTGTATACACAAAGAGAGATAAGGAGAGAGAGGGCACAAAGTGACATCTGGAAGATAACGCTATAAACTGACAATTGTGTTTGCTTCTAGAGAGAAAAGCTGATGAACATGAGGTCAGGGCAGGAAGGAAACATTTTTTCCTGTATATTTTTTCTTCCTGTGTATTCTGTTGTACCATTTTCATTTTGTAAAAATGTACACATATTATTTAAAATAAAGAGAGCTGGGCGTGGTGGCTCACGCCTGTAATCCCAGCATTTTGGGAGGCCGAGGCGGGTGGATCACCTGAGGTCAGGAGTTCGAGACCAGCTTGGACAACATGGTGAAACCCCTTCTCTATTACAAATACAAAAATTAGCTGGATGTGGTGGTGCACGTCTGTAAATCCCAGCTACTTGGGAGGCTGAGGCAGGAGAATTGCTTGAAACTGGGAGGCGGAGGTTGAAGTGAGCCAAGATCATACCATTGCACTCCAGCCTGGGCAACAAGAGCAAAACTCCATCTCAAAAAAAAAAAAAAAAAAGATATTTATGGATTTACAGACGTACAATGAACCCCTTGGTTTTTTTTTTTAACTTTTTTTTTTTGGAGACAGAGTCTTGCTCTGTCGCTCAGGCTGGAGTGCAGTGGCACGATCTTGGCTCACTGCAACCTCCACCTTCAGGGTTCAAGCAATTCTCCTGCCTCAGCCTCCTGAGTAGCTGGAATTACAGGCATCTGCCACCATGCCAGGCGAATTTTTGTATTTTTAGTAGAGATGGGGTTTCACCATGTTGGCCAGGCTGGTCTCGAATTCCTGACCTCAAGTGATCTGCCCACCTCTGCCTCCCAAAGTGTTGGGATTACAGGCATGAACCACCATGCCCAGCCTCATATTAAGTTTTGACGGTGCTGGGTGGGTTGTGAGTACATAGATGTCCATTGGAATAGTCTTTATTCTTGTCTGTTGAAATATTTCACAATAAAAAACAAAACGGCCAGGTGTGGTAGCTCATGCCTATAATCCCAGCACTTTGGAAGAGCATGCTCTTCCCTTCCCAGCACTTCCCTGTCCCGCTCCCATATCAAAACCACCTTGAAAAATGTAACACAGTCCCTTGCACTAAAACCTCTGCCGATGGCGGCTCCAAACCACAGGCCTATAAAGACCTGCAAGATCTAGCATCGTCTACTTTTTTTTTTTTTTTTTTTTTTTTTGAGACAGAGTCTTGCTCTGTCACCCAGGCTGGAATGCAGTGGTGTGATCTCTGCTCACTGCAATCTCTTCCTCCTGGGTTCAAGTGATTCTCCAGCCTCAGCCTCCCACGTAGCTGGGATTACAGGCAGGTGACACTGTGCCAGGCTAATTTTCGTATTTTTTAGTAGACACGGGGTTTTGCCATATTGGCCAGGCTGGTCTCGAACTCCTGACCTCAGGTGATCCACCCACCTCAGCCTCCCAGAGTGTTGGAATTACAGGAGTGAGCCACTGTGCCTGGCTAGCATTGTCTACTTTTTTTTTTTTGAGATGGAGTTTCGCTTTTGTTGTCCAGGCTGGAGTCCAGTGGCTCGATCTCGGCTCACCACAACCTCCGCCTCCCGGGTTCAAGCGATTCTCCTGCCTCAGCCTCCCGAGTAGCTTGGCTTACAGGCATGCACCACCACGCCTGGCTAATTTTGTATTTTTAGTAGAGATGGGGTTTCTCCATATTGGTCAGGCTGGTCTCGAACTCCCGACCTCGGGTAATCCGCCTGCCTCGGTCTCCCAAAGTGCTAGGATTACAGGCGTGAGTGAGCCACCGCACCCGGCAGGATTATCTACTTCTATACTATTAATGCCTATTAATGCTGTAATTACACGCGTGAGCCACTGCGCCCCGCCGATCTTCGTGTTTTAAATCCCGACACCAACGCGCGGTAGGATTCGCGACGCCTGCAGCCAAGGTCTCAGCGCCCGGTTCCCTCAGGCTTGTCCCCGCCCCCTTATGGCGCGAAGGCCACTGGGAGTTGTAGTCTCCCAGTGTAGTTAGTCGGCGCTTCCCGGAAGTGACGCGAGGACCCGCCTTCTCTCTCGGCGTTTCCGCTGTCAGGGCCCTGCGGTGTGACTCGCGGGCTCAGCTGGTTGGTATTTTTTGGGCCTCGTGCTTCGTGGTGGGAGACCCAGGTCGAGGTCCGGGTGGGGCCGGTGAGGGGTTGGGCGTCGGGAGGTGTTGGCTCGGGCCTCTTCGCGTGGCCGGTGACGCCTTGGCTCCCCCGCAGGTCCGGCCGTAGCACCTCCGCGCCGTCGCCATGTCGCGGTTTTTCACCACCGGTTCGGACAGCGAGTCCGAGTCGTCCTTGTCCGGGGAGGAGCTCGTCACCAAACCTGTCGGAGGCAACTATGGCAAACAGTGAGTTGCGGGGGCTGTGGCTGTGACCATTCTGGGAGTGCGGGGTTAGGCAGGCTGTGGAACGCAGTGCACATGGGAGGGGATGGAGGTGAGGGCGGGGAGAGTGGGTTTGGACAATGACCAGAGTTTGCAGGATCGGAGCGGTGTTGGAGAGAGACAGCCTTAGAGGGCTGTGATAGCCGGTAGCCACCCACCAGGCACAAGGGATAGAATCACAGAGGTTTCCCAAGCCAGATCTGTTGCATCAGCTTCTTAACTGGCCTTAAGTCTACAGCCTCTACCTGTCTCCTCTCATTTTACCGCCGAGAAGTCCTTAGTGACTTCTCACTGCTCACAGAAGGAAATGCAAAATGCTTGATTGGTATCTGGGAGCCCCCTGATGCGACTCTGAAGTCTGGTCACCTGCTGTGTACGCAGGTGCTTAAACATTTTCTATGCCTGTTCACTTCTACGTAAATACCCATCCGCCATTTCTGTACATTAATTTTTTTTTTTTTACCCTTTGGAACAATAGAATGGTTTTTCTTTTTCCTTTTTTTTTTCTTTTTTTGAGGGGTCATAGCTCACTGCTGCCTCGACCTTCAGATCTCAAGCGATCCTCCCACCTCAGCCTCTCAAGTAGATGGGACTACAGGTGCACGCCATCGCAGCAGGCTAATTGTTTTTAATTTTTTGTAGAGAAGGTGTCTCACTGTGTTGCTTAGACTGGTTCTGAACTCCTGGGCTCAAGTGAACCTCCCGCCCAGCATTCTAAAGTGTTGGGGTTACAGGAATGAGCCACTGTGCCCCACTGGAATGGTGTTTCTTAAACATCTGCCACGTTTGTGCTACTGTTTTAAAAGTATGTATTGCACATGTATATGCCAATATGCATATGGTTTCGTATCACTTCCACAGGTGGAAACCAGTGTCATTTGCCATAAAATACCAAATAATCCAGGCTGGGCAGGTGGCTCAAGCCGGTAATCCCAGCACTTTGGGAGGCTGATTACTTGAGGTCAAGAGTTTGAGACCAGCATGGCCAATAAGGTGAAACCCCGTCTCTACTAAAAATACAAAAATTAGCCGGTTGTGGTGGCACATGCCTGTAACCCCAGCAACTTAGGAGGCTGAGGCAGGAGAATCTCTTGAACCTTGGAGGCGGAGGTTGTAGTGAGCCGAGATTGCGCCATTGCACTCCAGCCTGGGCGATAAAAGCAAAACTCCACCTCAAAAAACACCGCTAAAATAATCCAAAAAATAATAAAAAGGGAAAAGAGGCAGGCAAGATGGTGCATGCCTGTAGTCCCAACTACTCTGGAGGCTGAGGTGGGAGGATCCCTTGAAACTCAGGAGTTGGAGGCTGCCTGGGCAACATAGTGAGACCTTATCTCTTAACAAACAAAAAGAGTAGAGATACTGTTGCTGACTGTGAGCCTGTGGTCTGGTCTTATTATCGTAGAAAAATACTAGCAGTGGAGGTGTTAATACCATTGAGACTTTCTCCTTGCTGTTGGCCTCTCATACTTTGGGAAATGTTGCTAAGATCTAGTTTAGGTACCACCTCCCTAAAGCCTTTTCTGTTCATTATAGCTCAAGTATCATTTTTCTCTACCTCTTTTTTTATTCATTACTTCTGTGGTGACTTGTGTCTCTATGTCATTAGTTACACAGTAAATTAGCACTTTCATTTGTTTTTGAGAGGATAGTGAATGTCATCTTTGTGTTGCTACAACACTGAGCAAAAGGCCTTACTTAGTGTACACTTAAAAGATTGAGTTGTATATGAAGTGGCCCTGAGGAGGAGTCAAAAAGAGGATGGGTGTGGTGTGGATGGCCTGGATTACTTAGTTCTACCTGTCCTGAGTAGGGAAATACGGATCTCTTGGAAAGACTGGGAAAGGAGGTTAATGGCCTCTGTTCCTTCCAAACAGGCCATTGTTGCTGAGCGAGGATGAAGAAGATACCAAGAGAGTTGTCCGCAGTGCCAAGGACAAGAGGTAAAGCCATGGCGAGGCTGGGTGATGGGAGTCTCTGGGAGCAATGAAGCTGTGGGGAGGCTGGGTGATAGGAGTCTCTGGGAGCAGTGGTGAGTTTTCCCTCGGTGGGCACGTTCAATGTGGTATCGGGCTCCCAACCCAGGTTTGAGGAGCTGACCAACCTTATCCGGACCATCCGTAATGCCATGAAGATTCGTGATGTCACCAAGTGCCTGGAAGAGTTTGAGCTCCTGGGAAAAGCATATGGGAAGGCCAAAAGCATTGTGGACAAAGAAGGTGTCCCCCGGTTCTATATCCGCATCCTGGCTGACCTAGAGGACTATCTTAATGAGGTGTGATGCCTATATTTATTACCACCACTTATTCATGGTTTTGTACTTTTAGTGGTGGGATGTATAGGATCTTTTAAAAATAAGCTAACAGATGTAGTTAATAAGTAGTACCAGTGGTGTTCCAATAGCAAGACTCAAAAGTGGAGAAGAAGCCTGGAGTTTAGGAAATGTTACTTAGTTTCAAATCACTGTTCTCTGTTTCTTTCCTCTTCTTCCCTTTAGCTTTGGGAAGATAAGGAAGGGAAGAAGAAGATGAACAAGAACAATGCCAAGGCTCTGAGCACCTTGCGTCAGAAGATCCGAAAATACAACCGTGATTTCGAGTCCCATATCACAAGCTACAAGCAGGTGGGGAGGCTAGAGGCACACTTACTGAACTGGGAACAGTGACCCCGTGACTGAGGCCCAAAGATGGAATTGCTAGTGGGAGGTGTGACTGGAGCAGGAAGATGACAGAACTGTCTGGGGTGGAGGGGTGGGGTGGGCTGATGGCTGGACAGCGTCCATGATTGTTCTCTCACTTCCCTCTCTGTCCAGAACCCCGAGCAGTCTGCGGATGAAGATGCTGAGAAAAATGAGGAGGATTCAGAAGGTGAGCCAAAGAACCTTTGTTGCAAATAGGAAGTCCAGAGTTAGTGTTGCCCTTCGCCTGGTTTCTTGGCTGCCCTCCAGTCTGGCTTTTCAACATTCAGGATCTTTTTCTCCCTCCATTACCACTAGGCTCTTCAGATGAGGATGAGGATGAGGACGGAGTCAGTGCTGCAACTTTCTTGAAGAAGAAATCAGAAGCTCCTTCTGGGGAGAGTCGCAAGTTCCTCAAAAAGATGGATGTAAGAGCCAGGGTTAGATGGATGATTTCCTGCCAGAGGTAGTTCCTGAGTCCCTGGGGGAAAAAGACAAGACTCAAACCCCTAGGGTTGGGAGGGGTGGAATTTAGTGGAGTTGAGAACAAGCTTCCTCTTACATCAGAGCAGTGGGCAAACAGGGATCTGGGCCCAGCTCTGCCAGGGGAAGCTGTGTGTGTTCCTGCGGCCAAATTGCAGCATCACTCTGGGACTTGATGGTGAGTCCCAGCCCTTGGTATCTTGATTCCATGAGTAGCTGCTCTTGTTCTACTCATGTAAATAAATCTCGAACATGCGTTAGTAAGGAGGAGACACCAGTCAATCTCCCTGTCTTCTTGCTGATCCTCTTTTCTTCCCTCTAAGGATGAAGATGAGGACTCAGAAGATTCCGAAGATGATGAAGACTGGGACACAGGTTCCACATCTTCCGATTCCGACTCAGAGGAGGAAGAAGGGAAACAAACCGCGCTGGCCTCAAGATTTCTTAAAAAGTAAGGAAAGTAGTGGGACCTAGGGTTACACTGGAACTGGTGGAAAGCTCTTAATTGTCTGGAAGGTTATTGATTCTTCCATGGAGTCCTTTTAGGTTGGAGCAGCCAACTGTTAGCATTTTACAGTAGGATCAGAGAGTCAAGTACATTAGTTGGCTAAAGTCACGAAGCTAATGTGTCCTAAAGATGAGAATTGAAGGCTCCAGAGTCCAAATATTTACCCACAGCCTTACTCACTGCGTGTGGATTGGGTGCAAATCTCACTTTGGCACCCGATACCTGTGTGACATTGGACAAACTACTTAGCCTGTCTAATCTTCAGTTTTCTCATCTGTAAAATAAGGCAGGGAACCCTCCCTTCCAGAATAGCTGCAGGAATACAGGGAGGTGTGATGTAAGAAAGTAGTTCATCTAGGACTGACGTGTGGTGAGCCCTCAGTGTGCGTTGCTACTGTGTTACCCTTCCTGATAACTTCTTAGTACACATACAGCATACAGACTGCCGCAAGTGTTCATGACCTTTACTGGGACAGTCAGAATAGGGGAGGATCCCAGTGTGGATTCTGTCTCCCAGCCTTTATCAGCTGTACAACATTGTATAAGTTACTTGACCTTAAGTCTTAGTTTCTCCCTTTGAAGTAAAAGTGATACCTGCTCTTTTGTATCCCATGGGAGTGAAATCTCAAGCTCACTAAAAATAGTGCTTTTATTTATTTTTTCTTAGCCAGTTTGCACAAACTACAGATAAAAAGTGCTTTTTTTGAGACAGGGTCTCACTCTTCCCAGGCTGGAGTGTAGTGATGCAATCTTGGCTCACTGCAACCACAACCTCTTGGGCTCAGGTGATCTTCCCACCTCAGGCTCCTGGGTAGCTGGGACTACAGGTACACTCCAGTACATCCGGCTAATTCTTGTGTTTTTAATACAGACAAGATTTCACCATGTTACCCATGCTGATCTTGAACTCCTGGGCTTAAGCGATCCTCCCGCCTCAGCCTCCCAAAGTGCTGGGGTTATAGGCGTGAGCCACTGCACCCAGACAAATAGTACCCTTTTAATGGGAAGATTATTGCTCTCAAGGTTGCTTTCCTGTGTTTAAAAGTTGTGGTCGTGCTGCTTTAGGGAGGTAGTGAGTTTCCAGCCCTCTAGAGGTCTAGAGAGGCTGAACAACTTACTTGGTGGGCATTTTGTTGAGAAGGCCTTTTTTGTCCAGTGCTTCAGGGAACACTGGTCAAGGTCTGGGCCACATTGTCTATCACACCCCTTCTTGGAGGGTTTACAACCACCTCTGGAAAGTTCCATGAGAATAAATATACCTAACTTTGTTTTATTAACCATCTCAAAAACTTGCTTGATCATGAAACTCGTTTTTTTAACCTGTTGACATCTTACAGAACTATCAGCGTTACTATTGGTTCAGGTCTTTTATATCTACTGTACTTTGTGTTTTTGTCTTTGAATAATTGTGTATTGAAGTCTCCCATTGTGTGGACTCCGGTGTGTGATGTGCACTGCACATGTGTGTTACACAAAGGCTCCTGTCTGAGGGAGCAAATGGGGCCTAAAATTAAACTTAAGACATCAAGGCTGGGCACGGTGGCTTACGCCTGTAATCCCAGCACTTTGGGAGGCCGAGGCGGGCAGATCACGAAGTCAGGAGATCGAGACCATCCTGGCTAACACAGTGAAACCCAGTCTCTACTAAAAATACAAAAAATTAGCCAGACATGGTGGCAGGCGCCTGTAGTCCCAGCTACTCGGAAAGCTGAGGCAGGAGAATCGCTTGAACTGGGAGGCAGAGGTTGCAGTGAGCCGAGATCGTGCCACTGCACTCCAGTCTGGGCGACAGAGCAAGACTCTGTCTCAGAAAACGAAACAAAACAAAAAAAACTCTAAGACTATAAAGCTATACTTTTATAAATACAGACTCAAAAGTTCTTAACAACATAGTAGAAAACCAAACACAGCAACATACAATAAGGATTATATGGGAGCACCCCCTCCTTGCCTGTAGGGGGATGGAGGATGGGTGGGCTCATCTCCCAAAAAAGTTTTAAAAAAAAATTTAATAACAAGGAGGATTTATCCCAATAATAGAAGGATGTTTTAATATGAAAATCAACTAATATACTATATCAATAGAATAACAGACAAAAGCCGTAGAGTCATCTCAGCAGATGCAAAAAAAAGCATTTGAAAAAAATCCTAATATTCTTTCATGATAAAAGACTGAAGCTAGGAATAGAAGGGAGCTTCCCTCTACCTGATAAAGGATGTTTATGAAAAGGACGTTTCCTGTCCTTTTATTTTTAACTCTGCCATGCTGTATGATTAAGAGTGTTTCTTGGCTGGGCGTGGTGGCTCACGCCTGTAATCCCAGCACTTTGGGAGGCGGAGGCAGGCAAATCACAAGGTCAGGAGTTCGAGACCAGCCTGGCCAACATGGCGAAACCCCATCTCTACTAAAAATACAAAAAAATTAGCCCGGTGTGGTGGCCTGCGCCTGTAGTCCCAGCTACTCATGAGGCTAAGGCAGGAGAATTGCTTGAACCCGGGAGGCGGAGGTTGCAGTGTGCCGAGATCGCGCCATTGCACTTCAGCTTTGGGCAACAGAGCAAGACTCCGTCTCAGGAAAAAAAAAAAAAAAAAAAAAAAAGAGTGTCTCTTAAGCACAGCTAGGTTTTTGGTTTGTTTTTTTTTTAATCTCATAAAATCTCTGCTTTTTTTTTCTTTTATTGTGATACATAACATTTCCCATTTTAACCATTTTCAGGTATACAAATCAGTGGCATTTAGTACGTTCACATTGTGCAATGACCGCCAGAACTTGATCTCTGCTTCTCTGGCAATTTAGTTCATTTACGTTTATTATAGTTATTTACATATATATGATGGTTATTTATATATGTGTCTACATAATTAGTTTTTATCAAGATGGGGTCTTGCCCTGTTGCCCAGGATGGTCTCGAACTCCTGGGCTCGAGTAACCCTTCTGCCTGGGCCTCCTAAAGTGCTGGGATTACAGGCGTGAGCCACTGCGCCCAGCCTATTGTGGTTATCAATGCATTTATTCTTACCATTTTATGGTATCTTATACTTTCTGTTTATCCTCTTTATTTTAAATTTTGTAATAGCTTTATTGAGGTGTACATGACATACAATAACTGCACTTGTTTAAAGTTTTTTTTTTTTTTTTTTTTTTTTGAGACAGAGTCTTGCACTGTCGCCCAGGCTGGAGTGCAGTGGCGCAATCTCGGCTCACTGCAAGCTCCACCTCCCGGGTTCACACCATTCTCCTGCCTCAGCCTCCTGAGTAGCTGGGACTACAGCCACCCGCCACCACGCCTGGCTAATTTTTTGTACTTTTAGTAGAGACAGGGTTTCACCATGTTAGCCAGGATGGTCTCGATCTCCTGACCTCGTGATCCACCCGCCTCGGCCTTCCACTAAGTGCTGGGATTACAGGCATGAGCCACCGCACCCAGCCTTAAAGTTAAATTTAATAAGTTGTGACATATGTTTACACCCATAGAACTCACCACAATCAAAACATAATATCCTAAAAATTTCACACCTAAACATTTCCACCTTCCCCTTTGTAATACTTCTCCCTGCCTCAGTTTCCTCACCCTATCCCTGGGCAACCACTAATTTGCTTTCTGTCACTAGGTAAGTTAGCATTTTCTAGAATTTTATGTAAATGGAATCAACGGTATATAATTTGGAGGGGGTAGTTTCTTTAATCATAATTATTTTGAAATTCATTCTGTCTTCTAAAGATTGGGCATCTCTAATTCCAAAGTCTGAAACTTCTGGAGCACCATAAGTGGACAATTCCACATCTGACCTCATGTGACAGGTTGCAGTCAAAACTTTGTTTCATGCACAAAATTATTTAAAATACTATGTAAAATTGCCATCAGGCTGTTTGTATAAGGTGTAGATGAAACACACAAATTTCATAGTTAGACTTGGAGCCCTTCCCAAGATACCCCATTATATATATGCAATTATTTGAAATTTGAAACACTTCTGGTTCTAAGCATTTCAGATAAGGGATATTCAGCCTGTATTTTATTTTTCTTTTATTTGTGTGTTTTTTGTTTTTGTTTTTGAGAAGGAGTCTCACTGTGTTGCCCCGGCTGGAATGCAGCGGTGCAATCCTGGCCCACTGCAACCTCTGCCTCCTGGGTTCAAGTGATTCTCAGGCCTCAGCCTCCTGGGTAGCTGGGACTACACGTGAGCACCACCACGCCCAGCTAATTTTTATATTTTTAGTAGAGATGAGGTTTCAGCATGTTGGCCAGGCTGGTCTTGAACTCCTGACCTTAGATGATTCGCTCGCCTCAGCCTCCCAGAGTACTGGGATTACAGGCATGAGCCACCACACCTAGCCTACATGTATTTTCTCATCCTCTTTTTTTTTTCCCCGTTTCTAGTTATATATATTTTCTTATTATTCATTTTGTTTTTTTCTGCTGGTTTGGGAGTTAGACGTGCTATGCTTTTAGAGGTTATTCTTGAATTTTTTTTTTTTTTTTTTTGAGACACTAGCCTGTTGCCGAGGCTAGAATGCAGTGAGTGGCGCAATCTCGGCTCACTGCAAGCTCCGCCTCCCGGGTTCACGCCATTCTCCTGCCTCAGCCTCCTGAGTAGCTGGGACTACAGGCACCTGCCACCATGCCCAGCTAAATTTTTTTGTATTTTTAGTAGAGACGGGGTTTCACTGTGTTAGCCAGGATGGTCTCGATCTCCTGACCTCGTGATCTGCCCACCTCAGCCTCCCAAAGTGCTGGAATTACAGGCGTGAACCACCGCACCCAGCCAAATTTTTTTTTGTTAACCTGTAAACTAACTTGTATACCTAATCAGAATAGTCTAAAATTAGTTGAATCAATGTTCTGAGGAAAACCCTTGAGAAAATAAAGTTAGAATTTCAAGTGTCAGAATCTTTTTGACATTGAGAGTTTGTGGCTTTGTAGTGTAGAAGAATAATTCACAGACACTATTTCACTTGTGTAACAAGGGAGACAGATTTTCAGATTAATTTCCAACCGAGCAAAAGCAGGATTTATATAGGAGAAAGAGGAACAAGGAGAGAGGGCAAAACCACAGAACAGTGGATTCTGTTTGCCCGTTTTTCTGTGTAAACTCTGATATTAACTCTCCTTGAGTATGCCACCCAGGGTTGGTGGATGCTCTAGAAAACACGATAGGCCCTCTGCCAGTAAGGGTTTTCAGCAACTCCAGATTCAGCCAGTCTAAATATACCCTTTCCATCATCAGCATTTCTCAGCCTTCATCTTTTGGTCAAAACAAGCTTGTAAAGGAGTGGGTTTATTCTCATGAGCTTCAGCCTCTTTGATGTGGGATAAGGCCATCTGTTGTCTTATGGTGATCTGAAGGTATTAGGGGGAAGTTCATCTATACCTGATGTCATGATTGACCTGTGAACTCTTTTTCTTTTTTTCTTTTTTTAGATGGAGTCTTGCTCTGTTGCCCAGGCTGGAGTGCAGTGGTGCAATCTCATCTCACTGCAACCTCCGCCTCCCTGGTTCAAGCAGTTCTCCTCAGCCTCCCAAGTAGCTGGGATTACAGGCACGTGCCACCACGCCTGGCTAATTTTTTGTATTTTTAGTAGAGACGGGGTTTCGCCGTGTTAGCCAGGATGGTCTCGATCTCCTTATCTCTTGATTGCCTGCCTCGGCTTCCCAAAGTGCTGGGATTACAGGCGTGAGCCACTGCGCCCAGCGACCTGTGAACTCTTACAGAGCTGCTGTCTACTTCTAAGAGTTACCTGATTCTGGAGGCGTTTTTTTGTTTTTGTTTTTGTTTTTTAAGTGAACCCCAGGATCTCTAGTGAGACTGAATGTCCGAGTTAGGATCCTAAGCAAGGGTATACATCTAGGGCTTTCCATCAGTAGTTGTGGTTGGGAAGGCATGGGAAAATGGTGTGGTCCTCTGCAGTGTAGTTAGGCCTGACTTCCGTTGGTGTCTCTCAATAATGAGTTTTTAGTCTCTTAACTATGTATTAAGTAGAGGTAATACTCGTTTAGAAATGTTGCTTTTATCTGTTGATTATATAGCTGAGGATATAAACATTTGTTATCTGATAATTTCTAACAAGATATGAATATACCAGAGTATAATCTGTCATAGGAGAGGTCAAGCCAAGTCTTAGGTCTTTCAGTTAGAATTTCATACAATAGTACATTTCCCTTTTGAGGTGTGTATCATACTATCTTTAGTGCTAGAAGTAATACTTTAGCCAAGGAAGTTTAAGTTCTTTTGAAGCATTCATTTTAAAAAATAGCTTTAGTTCTTCTGATCTCAGAGCTATACAGATGGTTTGGACCAAGAGGTTTTAGTTTAATGAACATGCTTTGCATATTTGCAAAGGATTTTACCTATAAAGTGAGTCATCATTAGAGTCTTGCAGTGGTACAGGGGAAAGATCCATAAGCTTTTGTTGTTGTTGTTGTTGTTGTTGTTGTTGTTTTTAATAGAGACGGGCTTTTTACCTTGTCACCCAGACTGGTCTCAAACTCCTGGGCTCAAGCAATACGCCCACCTCGGCCTCCCAAAGTGCTGGGATTACAGGCTTGAGCCACCGTGCTTGGCCAGTCCATACACTTTTGTTGAGAGTTATGGCATTGGTCTTCTGGCAAGGGAAGACTTAATTTAACTGGTAAACTTATAGACTATTCCAAAAACATATTCAAACCTTTTAAGCAGTGAAAATGAAATTTATTTATAAATGTTCAAATGGTAGATTATGGTTATTACATATGAGTTTTCAAAAATGTTGAGTCTTTCTGGAAAGATTTATTCTTCAGTATCTGTGCAAAGTTTGAAGTAATTTGTCTTTGCCATTTGGTTTGTATTTTGTTACATAAATACATACTCAAGTCTGGAGATGGTTTCAGGCAACATCCAGTAGCCTAAGACCATTTTAAGGTAGCTGGTGATCTTTTTCTGTTTTGTGGGGACCTTTTTTGTAATGAACATTTTTTTTAAATTCAGAATTTAGATTAATCGGTTGTCAAGAGAGGAGAGAAAGCGATAAAACAGTTTAGGAATAGTAAAAAAGAAAAAAATGTTTTTATATATTTGGGGGAACTGATTCATTGATTAGTTGGTCAGTCTGGAGAAAGCAGCTGGTATCAAAGAAAATAAGTTGTTTGTGGATTCTTTGGAAAACTGTAGATGTTAGCTTTGGAGCAAAATGACAGGTTGGTTTTTTTTTGTTTTGTTTTGTTTTGTTTTTTTGGAGACTGAGTCTTGCTCTGTCACCCCGGCTTAAGTGCAGTGGCATGATTGTGGCTCACTGCAGCCTTCTCTGCCTCCCAAGTTCAAGTGATTCTCGTGCCTCAGCCTCCTAAGTAGCTGGGACTACAGGCGTGCACCACCATGCCTGGCTAATTTTTGTACTTTTAGTAGAGATGGGGTTCCACCATGTTGCCCAGGCTGGTCTTGGATTCCTGACGTCAAGTGATCTACCATGCTTAGCTGACAGGTTGTTTCTATTAATATGTCTACAGTGGCCTGGTTAGTACTCTGTCTTGTTAGAGATGGCTATGGTTATGGTTCACTGTGCCCTCTAGGTCATTGTTGTAGAGCATAACTTGGACCCAGGAGCTGCTGGAGGAAAAGAGGAAGTTGATGGGAGGAAGAAGCCTTAGAGGTGGGGAGGGGCTGATCTGTCATCTTCTCCCATGTCTGTCGGCAGGGCACCCACCACAGATGAGGACAAGAAGGCAGCCGAGAAGAAACGGGAGGACAAAGCTAAGAAGAAGCACGACAGGAAATCCAAGCGCCTGGATGAGGAGGAGGAGGACAATGAAGGCGGGGAGTGGGAAAGGGTCCGGGGCGGAGTGCCGTTGGTTAAGGTGAGGGTTTCAGAGGTAAAATGAATTGGGGAACAGTTTGGGAGGACATAAAGGTCCCCTTGTGGGGAAAAGGCAAGGACAGTTTCCCGCTGGCATGTACATGACGGGATATGTGCTGATACAGGAGAAGCCAAAAATGTTTGCCAAGGGAACTGAGATCACCCATGCTGTTGTTATCAAGAAACTGAATGAGATCCTACAGGCACGAGGCAAGAAGGGAACTGATCGGTAAGATTCGTGGGCCTGGGCAGTGGGATTGCAGGGTGGCAGAGGGTGGAGGTTGGGGGAAGGGATTGTTGGGAGGGTCTGTGTGTGGCTGTAGTAGAGGGAATTGTATGCTTGGGGCATCCCCGTCCATTATCTGCTGTTTACTCTTCTTGTGACTTAAAACCAATCACTTAACGTTTTGGATCTGTTTTCCCATCTATACAATGAGATAATGTTCTCCTCTTTTTTTTTTTTTTTTTTTTTTTGTTTGAGATGGAGTCTCGTTGTTGCCCAGGCTGGAGTGCACTGGCGCGATCTCGGCTCACTGCAACCTTTTTGCCTTCTGGGTTCAACCGATTCTCCTGCCTCAGCCTCCTGAGTAGCTGGGATTACAGGAACCCGCCACCATCCCTGGCTGATTTTGTACTTTTAGTAGAGATGGGGTTTCACCATGTCTCGAACTCCTGACTTCAAGTGATCCGCCTGCCTCAGCCTCCCAAAGTGCTGGGATTACAGGCATGAGCTACCACACCTGGCTTTTTTTTTTTTTAAGATTAAAAAAGTAAAAGAGTGTTTACCTTCTTTAGTTATTAGGTAACAGAGGATGGTGGTAGGTGTGAAGCATTTCACAGCATTCCAGGATGGTTGGGATTATTGTTGCTTCTGTTTGGAATTTATAAAGGAGAAGCAGGGATATGGGTGATGAGGAGGGCGCGTTATCCGAAGCGGGCATGCTGGGAGAGACTTTGTGATTTGTCTCCAAAGCCTCACCCAGCTCTCTGGCCCTCTAGTGCTGCCCAGATTGAGCTGCTGCAACTGCTGGTTCAGATTGCAGCGGAAAACAACCTGGGAGAGGGCGTCATTGTCAAGATCAAGTTCAATATCATCGCCTCTCTCTATGACTACAACCCCAACCTGGCAACCTACATGAAGGTGAGAGCAGTGAAGAGGCTCATCTCAGGGCATCGCTGGTGGGTTGGGGGAAGAAGGTACCTAGCATCTTAAGACTCAGGGGCTATGGAGGCAGTCTTGGTGGTGGAAGGCCCCATGATTCCTGCTGAAGGGGGAGGCATCCGCTTACTCTACCTTCACACCTCTGACTCTGATGTGGCCTGAAATCTTGGCAGCCAGAGATGTGGGGGAAGTGCCTGGACTGCATCAATGAGCTGATGGATATCCTGTTTGCAAATCCCAACATTTTTGTTGGAGAGAATATTCTGGAAGAGAGTGAGAACCTGCACAACGCTGACCAGGTAAAGGGAGGAGTTGGCAGGATAACTGGAGGTGTGTATTTTATGCTTTGGGAAGGCTCAGTGGGACCCGAGGGTTGAGGTTTGAGACTGAGATCTGGGCTAATTTGTTGACTCCTCCTTCGCCTTCCTTTTCAGCCACTGCGTGTCCGTGGCTGCATCCTAACTCTGGTGGAACGAATGGATGAAGAATTTACCAAAATAATGCAAAATACTGACCCTCACTCCCAAGGTGAGCCTGAGCAAGCGTGGGCTTTGCTGAGAGGAAAATTGTGGGGAATATTACTAGGTTTAGAGCTTTGTGAGGATTATACTAAGTCAGAGTGCTTGAAAAGCCAGCCTTTCAACTTACCTAGCGTTCACACGGAAGGGCCTGATGAGATGCTGGCTCCCAGTCCCATCGTTTCTGATTCCATAGGTCTGAGTGGGGCTTGAGAACCTGCACCTCTAGCCTGCTCCCAGGTTGCTGGTCTCAGGGCTATACTTTGAGAACCTTTGGGGTAAGGCATCTATTCACTTCTCTTGTTTAGCTTGGATGAGAGGCATTGGGGTGTGAAAGTGCAGCATAGTTTACTCAGTAAAAGTGTGAATGTGCCCATCAAGTCAAGGGTGTAGTGATTAACAAGGCAGCCAAAAGCTTACCTTTTGTGCTGGATGGAGAAAGGCAGATTGAAAAATAATAGTAGTAAGATATGGCCGGGCGTGGTGGCTCACGTCTGTAATTCCAGCTCTTTGGGAGGCCGAAGCAGGCGGATCCCGAGGTCAGGAGATTGAGACCATCCTGGCTAACACGGTGAAACCCCATCTCTACTAAAAATACACACACACACACAAAAAAAATTAGGCGTGGTGCTGGGCGCCTATAGTCCCAGCTACTTGGGAGGCTGAGGCAGGAGAATGGCATGAACCCAGGAGGCGGAACTTGCAGTGAGCCGAGATCACACCCCTGCACTCCAGCCTGGGCGACAGAGCAAGACTCCATCTCAAAAAAAAAAAAAAATAGTATGATGTTAAGATAATTCTGGGCCAGGTGCAGTGGCTCACGCCTGTAATCCTAGCACTTTGGGAGGCCGAGGTGTGTGAATCACCTGAGGTCAGGAGTTTGAGACCAGCCTGGCCAACGTGGCAAAACCCTGGCTCTACTCAAATACAAAAATTAGCCAGGCATGGTGGCAGGTGCCTGTAAATCCCAGCTATGTGGGAGGCTGAGGCAGGAGAATCCCTTGAGCCCAGCGGGCCAGAGGTTGCAATGAGCTGAGATCACACCACTGCACTCCAGCCTGGGCGAAAGAGTGAAACTCCATCTCAAAAAATAATAATAATAATTCTAGATGATATAAAGTTCAGAGTTAAACTAGGGCCCTGTGGTAAGAAGTGGCTGGAGGGGTGGCTGCTGTAGCTAACAGCTGGAGAAAGCACCCTTAAGTAGGGACCACCTGAGGTGAGATCCAATGAGGAGGAGTTAGGGGAAGAATCAGCTGAAGACAGCGCCTGACAGGAGGAGCAGAGAGCGAGCTTGATGTTCCAGGAGTAAAAAGGCCAGTGGGACTCCAGCACAGGAAGCCAGAGGGAGAATCGTGGGAGACCAGGCAAGGGCCAGGCCTGGCAGACCCTTATTGGCAGAGGTTGGCAGTTGGGATTTTTTTCCTAAGCTGTGGGACTGGAAGGTTCTGGGTCCTGGGAGTGGGAGATGGCCTTTCTGGGGCACACTGACTAGACTTTTCTGACGGGTGCAGAAGAGGGACGGGTTGATTGGAATGAGTGGGGACAGATGGGAAAGCCTGGCTGCCCAGCTGAGACAAGGGTGGGTGCTCTCCCTGCCAGAGTACGTGGAGCACTTGAAGGATGAGGCCCAGGTGTGTGCCATCATCGAGCGTGTGCAGCGCTACCTGGAGGAGAAGGGCACTACCGAGGAGGTCTGCCGCATCTACCTGCTGCGCATCCTGCACACCTACTACAAGTTTGATTACAAGGCCCATCAGCGACAGCTGACCCCGCCTGAGGGCTCCTCAAAGGTGAGCACGTGGCAGTCATGGCAGAGGGGAATGGGTGTGTCCACCTGTCCTCCACTTCTGTCAGGACTTGACAGCAAATCTGTTACTCTCTAGACTTCCGCAGGTGGAGCAGGGAGGGAAACTGAGGTATTAGAATGAGACTGGATAGAGTCTCATCTTTAGTTGCTAGAGCCTGTGCCTTTTAAAGCTGGATCTCCTTTGCAAATAACCTCCCTTCCTCCCCAGTCTGAGCAAGACCAGGCAGAAAATGAGGGCGAGGACTCGGCTGTGTTGATGGAGAGACTGTGCAAGTACATCTACGCCAAGGACCGCACAGACCGGATCCGCACATGTGCCATCCTCTGCCACATCTACCACCATGCTCTGCACTCGCGCTGGTACCAGGCCCGCGACCTCATGCTCATGAGCCACTTGCAGGACAACATTCAGCATGCAGACCCGCCAGTGCAGGTAGGATGGGGAGGCCTTGGAGGTGAAGGAGTGCCAGGCCCCTGGCCTCTTGGCAAACTGGCTTAACCAGAACAGCCACCTGTCTGGCCGGTGCAAATTTAAGTAGACACTTGGTCTTTCCCAGTTGCCAGCATCCTGCAGTCCTCCTGCATGTAAACACATAATTTCGTGTCAAAAAAAAAAATTATCCAGGCTTGGTAGTGCTTGAGCCCAAGAGGCAGAGGTTCCAGTGAGCCGAGGTTGTGCCACTGCACTCCAGCCTGGGTAATGGAGCAAGACTGTTCAAAAAAAAAAAAAAGCTGTGTCTGGAAGTGTAGATCATGTAAAAGTATATTTGAGGCAACTAGGAAATGTTTATGTGTAGAGCACCTGGTGAACCTGTCTGGGGGTACTGCTGGTTTTTAAACAGCCCTCCTATTTGTGTTTCTATTCTATGGTATGAACATATCACTGTGTCTGTTTTCCTCTTGGCGGACACCCAGTTTATTTCCAGTTTTTGGCTCTAATGTATGAAGCTGCTGTGAACATTCTTGTAAGAAACTCAAAAGTGGTTATACCATTTTACACTCCTGTTAGTGTTTGGGAGTTCCTTGTCAACTTTTGGTGGTGTTGGTCTTTTTTTGAGAGGGAGTCTCGCTCTGTCGCCAAGGCTGGAGTGCAGTGGTGCAATCTTGGCTTACTGCAACTGCCACCTCCCAGGATCAAGCGATTCTACCTCAGCCTCCCGAGTAGCTGGGATTACAGGTGCCCGCCACCACTTCCGACTAATTTTTGTAATTTAGTAGAGATAGGGTTTCACCATGTTGGCCAGGCTGGTCTCAAACTCCTGACCTCAAGTGATCTGCCTGCCTCAGCCTCCCAAAGTGCTGAGATTACAGGAGTGAGCCATCATGCCGGCGGTGGTATTGGTCTTTTAAACTTTTTTTTGTTTTTGTTTTTTGAGGCAGGGTCTTGCACTGTCACCTAGACTGAGTGTAGTGGCATGATCATGGCCCGCAGTAGCCTCAAATTCCCAGGTTCAAGTGATCCTCCCACCTCAGCCTCCATAGTAGCTGGGACTACAGGCATGTGCCACCATAGCTGGGACTACAGGCATGTGCCACCATGCCTGGCTAATTTTTTATTTTTTGTAGAGACAGGGTCTCACTATGTTGCCCAGGCTGGTCTCAAAGATCTTTTAGGGGTGTGTGTGTGTCTCTTTTAGGGGGTGTGTGTGTATCTTTTAGGGGTTGTGTGTGTATCTTTTAGGGGGTGTGTGTGTGTGTATCTTTTAGGGGTGTGTGTGTGTGTGTGTGTGTGTGTGTTTTGAGACAGAGTCTCGCTCTGTTGCCCAGGCTGGAGTGCAGTGGTGCAATCTTGGCTCACTACAACCTCCATCTCCCAGGTTCAAGCCATTCTCCTCCCTCACCATCCCATGTAGCTGGGATTATAGGCACGTGCCACCACACCAGGCTAATTTTTGTATATTTAATAGAGACAAGATTTCACTATGTTGGCCAGGCTGGTCTTGAACCTCAGGTGACCCACCCACCTCAGCCTCCCAAAGTGCTGGGATTACAGGCATGAGCCACCGCAACCGGCCACTCAAAGGTCTTTTAAATTTTAGTTGGTTGTCTAATGGTATCTCATTGTGGTGTTAGTTTGCATTTCCCTGGTGACTATTGATATTGGCTACTTTTTTACTTTTTTATGTTTATTGGCCATTTATCTTTCATGAAATAATAAATATCTAGTCAGTTCTTGCCCATTTAAAACAATTGGATTGTTCACTTTATTGAGTTGTAGGAGTGCCTTATCTATCCTGGATAGCTAGTCCTGTGTCAGAATTTTTTTTTTTTTTTTTTTTTTGGAGACGGAGTCTCGCTCTGTCGGCAGGCTGGAGTGCAGTGGCGCGATCTTGACGACTCACTACAACCTCTGCTTCCCAGGTTCAGGCAATTCTCCTGCCTCAGCCTCCCGAGTAGCTGGGACTACAGGCGCCCACCACCATGCCCAGCTAATTTTTTTTATTTTTTAGTATCTGTGTTGGCCAGGATGGTCTCGATCTCTTGACCTCATGATCCGCCCGCCTCACCCTCCCAAAGTGCAGGGATTACAGGCATGAGCCACTGCGCCCGGCCCAGTTTTTTCTTTTATAGTAATTATTTTCTGGATCCTGTCTAAAAAACCTTTGCCTAACTGAAATTCATGAAGACTTTTTAAATTTCTCTCTTTTTTTTTTTTGTAAGTTGCTATGGGTGTTAGCTTTTACATTTAGTCTTATAGTTGGTCTTGGTTTGATTTTTGCATCTGCTGAGGTTGGGATCAGGGTTTCTTTTTCCTCCATATGGATACCTAGTTGTTCTAGCATCATTTGTAGAAAAGACTTCCTTTCCCCTATTGTATTGCTTTGGTGTCTTTGTGGAAAACAATATGAAAAACCACATTACCTATAAGAGTAGGTGTTTTTCAGGTCATTCCCTCTGTCCCATTCATTTACCTTTTTGTCTGTCCTTATGCAAGTCCCATACTATCTTCATTGCTGTGCAACATAACAAAACCCTGTCTCTACAAAAAATACAGAAACTAGTCAGGCATAGTGGTGCACGCCTGTAGTCCCACCTACTCAGGAGGCTGAGGTAGGAGGATTGCTTGAGCTCAGGAGGTCGAGGCTGCAGGAGCCACGATCACGCCACTGCACTCTAGCCTGGGCAACAGAGCAAGACTGTCTCAAAAAGAAAAGAAATACCCGGTTACTTCTCCTTCATTCTATTCATATAATGAATAACTATGAGTTCATTATTGTGTGTTTTTTGTTTTTTGAAAAAGGGTGTCACTCTGTCACCCAAGCTGGAGTGCAGTGGCGCGATCTCGGCTCACTGCAATCTCTGCCTCCCAGGCTCAAGCAATTCTCCTGCCTCAGCCTCTCGAGTAGCTGGGATTACAGGTGCACATCACCACTACCCGGCTAACTTTTGTATTTTTAGTAGAGACGGGGTTTCACCATATTGGGCAGGCTGCTCTTGAACTCCTGACCCCACGATCCACCCACCTCAGCCTCCCAAAGTGCTGGGATTACAGGCATGAGCCACCACGCCCAGCCGAGTTCATTACATTTTTATACCAACCTTTTATTCCTGAAGTATATCCAGTTTGGTCATGTATATTGTCTCTTTTATATTATATATTGCTGGATTCTGTCGCTAACATTTTTAAGGCTTTTTGCATGTAAGCTTATGACTGGTATTGATCTCCACATTTTTGTTGTTATGACTACACTTAGCCTTTTCCCCCAAGATTTGTACCACTTACCGTCTCCCCTGTCTTAATTAGTGCCAAGTCCCTCTTCCCAGTTGCTTAGACCAGAAACCTTGGAGTCATTCTTGATTTGAACTTTTCCCTCATATACTGTATCTGATTCCCCAGCCATTCCTGTTTACAGTCCATTATGAGAACACTTCTGTCACTTCTGCTTGTACCCTCTGCTCTAAGCCACCATCATCTGCCTTTGTGTCCCTTCAGTCCCTTTGTTCTGTTCATAATACAGATTAACCCTGTTCAGTTATGTCAGATCATATTACCTGTTTGCTCAAAACCTTCCCATGGTTTCTTGTCTTAAAACTCATAACAAGGCCAGGCACGGTGGCTCACACTTGTAATCCCAGCACTTCGGGAGGCCGAGGCGGGTGGATCACGAGGTCAAGAGATCGAGACCATCCTGGCTAACACGGCGAAACCCTGTCTCTACTAAAAATACAAAAAATTAGCCGGGCGTGGTGGCGGGCGCCTGTAGTCCCAGCTACTCGGAGAGGCTGAGGCAGGAGAATGGCGTGATCCCGGGAGGCGGAGCTTACAATGAGCCAATATCACACCGCTGCACTCCAGCCTGGGTGACAGAGTGAGACTCCGTCTCCAAAAAAAAAAAAAAAAAAAAAACTCATAAATGGCTGGTGCTCGCCCATCCCCCAGCTTGTGGTGGCATCTTTTCCCAGCCCTAGCTGTGTTGCGCCCCTTGTTTCTTGAATATGCCTGGCCCGGTTCTTCCACAGGATCACTGCGTTTATTTTTCCTTTTTATAGGATATTCTTTCCCCAGATGCCTGCATGACTTGCTCTCTCTTTAGGTCTTTATTCAAACATTCTTTCCCAATGAGGCCTTCTGTAGTTATATGAACATTTGAGCCTCCACCACTGCGCAGACTGCCTTCCTGGCTCCGTCCTCTGCTTTATTTTTCTTCTCAGCATGAGTCACCATCCTTGTAGTGCAGCTCTCTTGCCCACCACACCCCACCCCTAGACATAAGCTCCATGCAGACTGGGGACTTGTCTGTTTTGCTCTCCCTCCCCAGCCTAGTGCTCAGCACATAGTAGGCACTTGAAGTAGATTTGTTTAGTTTTGTTTTTGTTTTTTATCTTTAGCGATGGGGTATCTCCATGTTGCTCAGGCCCATCTTGAACCCCTGGGCTCAAGTGATCCTCCCACCTTAGCCTCCCAAAGTGCTGGGATTACAGGCGTGAGCCACTGCACCCGGCTTAGTTATGGAATAAATGAAGACTTGTCTTGCAGCTGTCATCTCTGAGTGCATTATGACCCTTTGCCCCCAGATCCTTTACAACCGCACCATGGTGCAGCTGGGCATCTGTGCCTTCCGCCAAGGCCTGACCAAGGACGCACACAACGCCCTGCTGGACATCCAGTCGAGTGGCCGAGCCAAGGAGCTTCTGGGCCAGGGCCTGCTGCTGCGCAGCCTGCAGGAGCGCAACCAGGAGCAGGAGAAGGTGGAGCGGCGCCGTCAGGTCCCCTTCCACCTGCACATCAACCTGGAGCTGCTGGAGTGTGTCTACCTGGTGTCTGCCATGCTCCTGGAGATCCCCTACATGGCCGCCCATGAGAGCGATGCCCGCCGACGCATGATCAGCAAGCAGTTCCACCACCAGCTGCGCGTGGGCGAGCGACAGCCCCTGCTGGGTGAGTGTGGAGCTCCAGGGTTCAGCAGGCTGCCTTGCTCCCTGATTACACATAAGGATTAAGAGAAGTGAAGGGAGTAACTCTCCCACCACTCGACTCCATCTGATTTAATGACACCTCCTCTGCCTGGCACTGTGCTAAGTGTTTTACAAATAATTATTTAATCTGCATTAGTAATAACCCTATGCCGGTAGGTACTAGTAATACCCTTTTTCCCAGTGGAGAAACTGAGGCACAGAGTAGTTAAGTGACTTGCCCGAGTTTAATGCAGCTCATGTGTACCTCTGATCTTTCTTTCCCTTTTCTTCCCTTCATGTACATTATATTCCAGCCAAACCAACTATCATAGAGCCTTATCGTTCAAGAGGCTAACGTTGATTCCTTTGGCCCCTTTTGAAAGACAGATCCTGCAGGGTTGCAGTGAGTGGTGACTCACTGGAAAGGAATTGAGCTGCGCCCTTCCTGTGACATTGGCCCACAGGAGGGCTTGACGAGTGAGCTGAGCCCAGTGTCCACAGCCACATCCCCCTACAGATTTGTCCTCTCCTGGTCATGTATATGTTTGGGCTAAAGGGCAAGTTCCCTTAGGCACATTTTGTTTGGCTTATGTAGTGAGATTTACTTTGTGGGGAAATTTCCCATGAAAATCGGAATTTTCATGTCTTAGAATATTGGCAGTCTGTCGCTCCTGGCCCTGCCTTCCTGCAGAGCTAGCCTTGGCTGGAGCTGAAGTAGCAGCGATGGGAAAGGGCTGTCTGCTTCTCCACAGTCCCTGCCTCTCAATTTCTCCCTACAGTGGTTCCAAAAGCCAGTTTCCATCAGCCCTGCACTGTTGTTCGGCCTATAGAGAAATATTCTTTGAGCCCCTAAACTTGCCTTTTTCTTTCTTTCTTTCTTTTTTTTTTTTTTTTGAGACGGAGCCTCACTGTTGCCCAGACTGGAGTGCAGTGGCGCAGTCTCAGCTCACTGCAACCTCCACCTCCTGGGTTCAAGTGATTCTGCTGCCTCAGCCTCTCGAGTAGCTGAGACTACAGGCCCCCGCCACCATGTCCAGCTAATTTTTTGTATTTTTAGTAGAGATGGGGTTTCTTCATGTTGGCCAGGCTGGTCTCGAATTCCTGACCTCAGGTGGCCCGCCCACCTCGGCTTCCCAAAGTGCTGGGATTACAGGTGTGAGCCACTGCGCCCAGACCAACCTTGCCTTTTGCAAGTGTTAATATGGTTAAAATGGAGGTTCATCCAGGAGGGCTGTGTGCCTCTCCTTACACTCTTAACACTTAGCCCTGCTCCTATGGTTCCATTTGGACCTGATCCCCGTTCGCATTGAGCTTGCCGTTCTTGCTGTGGAGTCTGCGTGTTTGTGTTTCACTGTCTGCCACCCATTTCTAGCCGTAGAACTTTTGCACTTTGTCTACCCTGAATTCCAGTTACTATGGCGTACCATGTCTTACCTTCCTGGCTTGTCTTAGGATTGTATTTGGGGGCCTGAGTTCATAATTAATATATAAACTTGTGATTTTAGAGATAATTTTGACCGGGGCTAAGTTTTTTAAGGAAAAGAAGTGAGCTGCTTGGAAGAATAATAAGCTGGCAACAGTGTAATTGATGCATGGGCATGGCACCATTCATGAAGGTGATGTGAGTGAGGAAGGGTTGGTAAATTCCATTCCAGTTGAGCTGGAAGAGGTGGTTTTGTTTTGTTTTGTTTTGTTTTTTGAGACAGAGTCTCGCTCTGTAGCCCAGGCTGGAGTGCAGTGGCAAGATCTCAGCTCACTGCAAATTCTGCCTCCCGGGTTCAAGCAATTTTCCTGCCTCAGCCTCCCGAGTAGTTGGGATTACAGGCGTGTGCCACTATGCCTGGCTAATTTTTGTATTTTTAGTAGAGACGAGGTTTTGCCATGCTGGCCAGGCTGGTCTCCAACTCCTGACCTCAGATGATCCGTCTGCCTTGGCCTCCCAAAGTGCTGGGATTATTACAGGTGTGAGCCACCACGCCTGGCTGGAAGAGGTGTTTTTAGGTCAAGGAAGCTTACGAGAATCTGATGAAAGCCATGGGCCTTTTTCCTAGGAAGAATGTACATGAGGACATGTGCACAATTTGTCAACATTTTTGAGGGTTTCGGCAGTCCCCTGAAGTGCATCTATGGACTGATTGAGTTCAAACATTTGTGCAGATGGAGTGGCTTGGGCGACTACGTGGCTGTTTGGTGGAGAGGCGGGGAGAGTCTCTAGTATGGTTTGCTCCTCCAGCCTCTGTTCCTCCTTAAAGAGTGCTAATGGAACTTGTCCCAAGTTCCCTAGGCCCTGCCTCATTCCCACCCTTTCAGGTCCCCCTGAGTCCATGCGGGAACATGTGGTCGCTGCCTCCAAGGCCATGAAGATGGGTGACTGGAAGACCTGTCACAGTTTTATCATCAATGAGAAGATGAATGGGAAAGTGTGGGACCTTTTCCCCGAGGCTGACAAAGTCCGCACCATGCTGGTTAGGTGAGCAGACAGAGAGGCCGTGATGGGTCGGGGAAGAAGAGACTGGTTGGTCCCCTTCCCTGAGGCCCTGTTGTGTCTTCTGTCCCCTCTTCCCACAGGAAGATCCAGGAAGAGTCACTGAGGACCTACCTCTTCACCTACAGCAGTGTCTATGACTCCATCAGGTAGGCGGGGCCCTGGGGACACAGAAGGGCCCCAGCCTTGTGGGCAAGTGTCCTGACTGCCCCTGCCCTCTGCCTTCTTTCTTCCCAGCATGGAGACGCTGTCAGACATGTTTGAGCTGGATCTGCCCACTGTGCACTCCATCATCAGCAAAATGATCATTAATGAGGAGCTGATGGTAGGGGCCGGGGTGGGAAGCGGGCAGGTGGAGCCATGGAGGGATTGGAGCGTAGGGGCCGGGGTGGGAAGCGGGCAGGTGGAGCCATGGAGGGATTGGAGCAGAGGGGCCTGATCTGTGTCGTGTCCCCTCCTCTGCCTTGGCGCCTGTCAGGCCTCCCTGGACCAGCCAACACAGACAGTGGTGATGCACCGCACTGAGCCCACTGCCCAGCAGAACCTGGCTCTGCAGCTGGCCGAGAAGCTGGGCAGCCTGGTGGAGAACAACGAACGGGTGTTTGACCACAAGCAGGGCACCTACGGGGGCTACTTCCGAGGTGAGTACTTCGGCTCCTCTCCTTGCCCACTCCTGGTGCCCTCACCGCCTCTCACCTGGCATTCCCTGCCCTTCCTTCCCATCTCTCTCCTACAGACCAGAAGGACGGCTACCGCAAAAACGAGGGCTACATGCGCCGCGGTGGCTACCGCCAGCAGCAGTCTCAGACGGCCTACTGAGCTCTCCACTCTGTTTCCCGCCTGGGCCATCCAACCTTGAAGTCCTAAACCACACCTCAGTCACTAAAGGTCTGTTTAAAGTTGTTCTGGTTGATTGCTTGTTGCCACAAAGGTGTGTTGAGCCCATTCATTTGCTGATTATATTTCTGAGCTGCTACCACATGACAGACACAAGGCTCAGATGAAGAGGTGAATTGAACACGTTCCTGACCTCAAAGAGCCTGCTGCTTTTTGACATTTAACAGAAAATTATAGTAACATAAGTTATAATGGGTGTTTTAAAAGGCCAGTCGCAGTGGCTCACGCCTGTAATCCCAGCACTTTAGGAGGCCCAGGTGGGCAGATCACAAGGTTGGGAGTTTCAGACCAGCCTGGCCAACATAGTGAAACCCCCTCTCTACTAAAAATACAAAAATTAGCCGGGCATGGGGGCACATGCCTGTAGTCGCAGCCGCTTGGGAGGCTGAGGCAGGAGAATCGCTTGAACCCATGAGGTGGAGGTTGCAGTGAGCCAAGATCACACCACTGCTCTCCAGCCTGGGCAACAAAGCGAGACGCCGTTTTAAAAAGAAAGTCACAGATGTATTGAGGATGTGACCGGGGGTGGAACATCAGGAAGACATAGTGGAGACAGTAGTGACAGTTGGACCCTGAGGGTTCACCAGGCAGGGAGAAGGGAGAGCTGGTCCAGACCAGCGTGGATGCACTGTTACCTGTTCATAACAAGACAGGTGCCATCAGTAAGAGGGTGCATTGAGAGACTGGGCCTTTGCTCTGATATCTAAGCATGTGGTTATTTTCTGATCATTTAAGTTTATTGTGTTTTTTGTTTGCTTGTTTTTTGTTTGTTTGTTTTTGAGACAGAGTCTCACTCTGTCGCCCAGGCTGGAGTGCAGTGGCGCGAGCTCAGCTCACTGCAAGCTCCGCCTCCCGGGTTCACACCGTTCTCCTGCCTCAGCCTCCCAAGTAGCTGGGACTACAGGCGCCCAACACCACGCCTGGCTAAATTTTTGTATTTTTTTTTTTTTTTTAGTAGAGACGGGGTTTTGCCATGTTAGCCAGGATGGTCTCCATCTCCTGACCTCGTGATCCACCCGCCTCCACCTCCCAAAGTGCTGGGATTACAGGCGTGAGCCACCGCGCCCAGCCTTATTGTGTTTTACATAAGTATGGGTCCACAGTAGATTGTTTTTTTTTTTTAAGACATGGGATCTTGCTGTGTTGCCCAGGCTGGTCTTGAACTCCTGGACTCAAGCAATCCTCCCACCTCAGCCTTCTAAGTAACTGGGACTACAGGTATGCATCACCATGCCTGGTCTAGATTGGAAATTTTTTTTAAATGATCCTTTACCACATTTGAGAAGCACTGATGTAGGCAGAGGGAAAAAGTGCAAGCTCAAAGGGTTGGAGAAGTGAGATAGTGGCATGATTAGTGTAACGCAGGTGTGGAGCATGTGCAGGAGATGCACTGAAGACTTACCCGGGCCGTCTCTTAAAACTTTCAATGCTCTGGGTTTTTATAAACAAATTCACAGCTGGGGCTGGGCGCAGTGGCTCACACCTGAAATCCGAGCACTGTGGGAGGCCGAGGCAGGACGATCACTTGAGGCCAGTAGCAGGGCACAAAAATTTTTTTTTTTTTTTTTTTTTTTTTAGTATTTATTGATCATTCTTGGGTGTTTATCGGAGAGGGGGATTTGGCAGGGTCATAGGACAATAGTGGAGGGAAGGTCAGCAGATAAACGTGAACAAGGGTCTCTGGTTTTCCTAGGCAGAGGGCCCTGCGGCCTTCCGCAGCTTTTGTATCCCTGGGTACTTGAGATTAGGGAGTGGTGATGACTCTTAACGAGCATGCTGCCTTCAAGCATCTGTTTAACAAAGCACATCTTGCACCGCCCTTAATCCATTTAACCCTGAGTGGACACAGCATATGTTTCAGAGAGCACGGGGTTGGGGGTAAGGTTATAGATTAACAGCATCCCAAGGCAGAAGAATTTTTCTTAGTACAGAACAAAATGGAGTCTCCTATGTCTACTTCTTTCTACACACGCACAGTAACAATCTGATCTCTCTCTCTTTTCCCCACATTTCTCCCTTTTCTATTTGACAAAACCGCCATCGTCATCATGGCCCATTCTCAATGAGCTGTTGGGTACACCTCCCAGACGGGGTGGCGGCCGGGCAGAGGGGCTCCTCACCTCCCAGATGGGGCGGCCGGGCAGAGGTGCCCACCTCCCGGACGGGGTGGCGGCTGCGTGAGGGCTGCCCCCCACCTCCCTCCCGGACGGGGCGGCTGGCCGGGCGGGGGGGCTGACCCCCCCACCTCCCTCCCGGACGGGGCGGCTGGCCTGGAGGGGGCTTACCCCCACCTCCCTCCCGGACAGGGTGGCTGCCGGGCGGAGGGGCTCCTCACTTCTCAGACGGGGCGGTCGCCAGGCAGAGGGTCTCCTCACTTCTCAGACGGGGCGGCCGGGCAGAGACGCTCCTCACCTCCCAGACGGGGTCGCGGCCGGGCAGAGGCACTCCCCACATCTCAGACGATGGGCGGCCTGGCAGAGACGCTCCTCACATCCCAGACGATGGGCGGCCAGGCAGAGACGCTCCTCACTTCCCAGACGGGGTGGCGGCCGGGCAGAGGCTGCAATCTCGGCACTTTGGGAGGCCAAGGCAGGCGGTTGGGAGGTGGAGGTTGTAGCGAGCCGAGATCACGGCACTGCACTCCAGCCTGGGCACCATTGAGCACTGAGTGAACGAGACTCCGTCTGCAATCCCAGCACCTCGGGAGGCCGAGGCTGGTGGATCACTAGCGGTTAGGAGCTGGAGACCGGCCCGGCCAACACAGCGAAACCCCGTCTCCACCAAAAAAATACGAAAACCAGTCAGGCGTGGCGGCGCGCGCCTGCAATCACAGGCACTCGGCAGGCTGAGGCAGGAGAATGAGGCAGGGAGGTTGCAGTGAGCCAAGATGGCAGCAGTACAGTCCAGCTTCGGCTCGGCATCAGAGGGAGACCGTGGAAAGAGGGGGAGAGGGAGACTGTGGGGAGGGAGAGGGAGAGGGAGAGCCTGTTTCTAATAAATATACAAAATCAGCAAGGCATGGTGGCACGCACCTATAATCCCAGCTACTTGGGAGGGTGCAGCAGGAGAATCGCTTGAACCCAGGAGGCAGAGGTTGCAGTGAGCTGAGATCGTGCTATTGCACTCCAGCCTGGGCAACGAGAGTGAAACTCCATCTCAAAAAAAAAAAAAAAAAAACACGAAAATAAAACGGCATTTAGAGTTGAAAGCTTCGCCTTCCTCTCTGGATGGTGAGTCCTCACTCTCCCAGCAGCCCACACCTCTGCCTCAAACCTCCATAGCTCCCAAGAGTCTGGATAAAGCTAAGGAGTCTCAACGCACCCCAAGTCCTGGGGGTAGTCAACCCCTCTCACCCCTCCCTCATCCTCTCACACAAGAGTTGTTTACTGTTCCTCCAGTTATGCCTGGTCACGCAGACACTCTGCTGCTCAAGTGCCCTCACCCCATCCTCAGCCTGCTCCCAGGCCACCTCCCTCCAGAATCCACCCTGCCTGCCAGGTGGCCATAGGGACCCTCGCCATACTGTCTGCTTGTGGCAGTGCCCTCCGGCCTGGGGGGTCTTCCAGAGCAGATCTCTGGCCTAGTGCAGTGGCTCATGCCTGTAATCTCAGCACTTTCAGAGGCCAAGGCAGGTGGATCACCTGAGGTCAGGAGTTCGAGACCAGCCTTGCTAACATGGTGAAACCCCGTCTCTACTAAAAATACAAAAATTAGCCAGGTGTGGTGGTGCACGCCTGTAGTCCCAGCTACTCAGGAGGCTGAGGCAGGAGAATCTCTTGGACCCGGGAGGTGGAGGTTGCAGTGAGCTGAAATGGTGCCACTGCACTCCAGCCTGGGCAACAGTGAGACTGTCTTAAAAAAAAAAAAAAGATCTCTGATATAAGCTCCCCTGGCACACAGTGAGCTTCCAGAAATGGTCCCTCGACCTCTAAATCCACCAAGACCCAGGGAACACGCCCACTCTGAGCACCCTGACAATGTCCCAGTCCCAACACAGTACCCTGAAGCTGTCCCCAAAGTTTCCCCTGCCACACTCCCTGACCACACTCTGGTATCTCAGAGCCCTAGCAACAGCCCTATAGAGGGAGGGTTCTAGGTATGGGGCAGGCATGAGCACTGCTTATAACCAAGCAAAACACTCCCTCTGTGCCAACATAGGTGGGGCAGGTCACTCTGGGGTCTGTTTGCCCTGTCTGCCCGCTGCAGCCTCCTCGGGGAGGGCCAGGGTTGTCTGTGCATCCTGTGAGCCCCAGGGTCTATGTGCACATATGTGTGTCTGTGCTGCTCTGTGTGTGTGTGTGTGTGTGTGTGTGTGTGTGTGTATATACACGGCGCATCTGAATTGTCCTGAGTGCTGTCTCGGGTATCCTTGAGCTGTGTGTGCATGTGTCCCCCTAGCGGTATCTCAGTATTTTTGCCTGTGGGAGCTGCACACCGTGAGCTGCACACCTGAGGGCCAGGTGAGTCTGGGGCTGGTCCTGTGCCTGCGCATCTGTGTGCTGGCGGTGTCTGCATAGTATTCTGTGGCTACATGTATCTGTGCACCCCAGAAATGGGCAGTCACCCAGGAGACCTCTCTACAGTGACCCCAAATGATGGATAGTGAGATAGGGACAGTATGATCTATATTTTTTTTTTGGTCACAGGGGTTTGTTGTACAGGGGCACAATATATTCTTCTCCCACCCCCAAGCCGGGCCCTTTCTGCCCCTGCTCCTCCCACCCTCTGGTGTCTCACATCTCAGGGATAGGTGGAATGAAGGATAAGTTCGCGGACCCCAGATCAGGACAAGCGGGAAGCTTCCGGGCTGCTGGAGAGGGTCACAGCCGGTTAGGGGAGGGAGCCAGGAGAGGACTCTGTGGCCCCGGGGAAGGGCTGGGCTAGTTCTGGGTCCCTGGGAGGAGTGAGTTGGGGGCCCTGCAGAGGGCTGGGACCCAGAGTGTGGGTGAGCATTAGAAGAGCGAGCTGGGGGCTCTAGGGCAACTAGGAACTTGAAGAGGGATGGGAGGCAGGGCTGCTGGGTCCCTAGGAAGGGCTGGAGGAATCCCGGAACGCCTGAGTTCCGGGAAAGCCCCTTCCTCACTTACCCTCGCCGGACCTGGGGCCAGGTTCAAGCAGCAGCAGCAGCAGCAGCAGCTACGGGAGCCGCAGGAGCAGCTTGATTGGCAGGCGCACAGGTAGCGGCCCCATCGGAGGGTGGCAGAGGTGGGGCGGTGCTGCCGGGCCGCCGGAGGCAGCAAGCCCAGCGGACACACACCCTGGATGCCACGCCTCGGCCCGGCCCTCGACCTCACCTTCCCTCGGGGCCCAGGCGGAACCAGCTAGGGGTGGGCACCTGGGGTGGCGCAAAGGCATCCTGATCTCTGCATCTTGGTCACTGAAGGGGCTCGAGAGGCCGCGGGGCGCTGGGGACAGGACCGGGAGTCAGGCCCAGGAAAGTCTCCTCGGAATAAGGGAGGAAAAGGCGCTCTTTTGATGTTATTATTCCCCCAGCCCCTCCCCCGCTCACCTGGGCGCCCAAAGGGGACAGAAGACTTGGAGGAGGGGTAGTCCTGAATTTACTTTAGCATTTTATTTCATTTGGCCGGGTGCGAGGTGGCTCACGCCTGTAATCCCAGCACTTTGGAAGGCCGAGGCTGGCGGATCACCTGAGGTCAGGAGTTCAAAACCAGCCTGGCCAACATGGCGAAGCCGTCTCTACTAAAAACACAAAAATTAGCAGGGCGTGGTGGTGCGGACCTACAATCCCAGCTACTTGGGAGGCTGAGGCACAGGAATCGCTTGAACACGGAAGGTGGAGGTTGCAGTGAACCAAGATCACTCCACTGCACTCCAGCCTGGGTGAGAGCCAGACTCCGTCTCTTTCTCTTCCTCCCTCTCTCTCTCTCTCTGTCAGTCTAGAGAGAGTTGATTGTCCCCAGTCAGTCTCTCTCAGTCGAGAGAAGGGTGGGGGGGAACGGAGGCTGGGCACAGGGCTCACGCCTGTAATCCCAGCACTTTGGGACACTGAGGCGGGTGGATCACCTGAGGTCAGGAGTTTGAGACCAGCCTGGCCAACATGGTGAAACCCTGTCTCTACTAAAAATACAAAAAATTCCCTGGGTATGGTGTTGGGCGCCTATAAACCCAACTACTCAGGAGGCTGAGGCAGGAGAATCACTTGAACCTAGGAGGCAGAAATTGCAGTGAGCCAAGATCGCACCACTGCACTCCAGCCTGGGCAACAAGAGTAAAACCCTGTCACACACACACAGACACACACACACACACACACACACAAAATTAACCAGGCATGGTGGCATGTGCCTGTAGTCTCAGCGGCTCAGGAGGCTGAGGTACAAGAATCGCTTGAATTTGGGAGGTGAAGGTTGCAGTGATCCAAGATTGCGCTATTCCACTCCAGCTGGAGCGAGAAGACCGAGACTCCATATCAAAAAAAAAAAAAAGTCTGTCTCAAAAAAAAAAAAAAAAACAATAAAAACCAGAAGTCTTGATCTGTGATCTTGGGAAAAGCTGTTCACATCAAGGATGCCATCTTCTTCCAGTGAAAAACTTCCCTCTTGTGAGATTATGAACCCAAAGTTCAAGGTCCTGAAGTTCTGCTGTAGTGTGGATGGCAAGGACATTCTTTCTCTGATGTTCTCAGAAGATCCAATCTTCAGGTTCTAGATTGTGAAGGAATTGATTGTCCCCAGTCAGTGAGCCATAAAAAGCTTTCAGTATCTGGTGAAAATACACCATACCATAGATCTACTGTTATAATATCAGCCCTCTTGCATGGGAAAGCAACCAGAAAACATGCATTGAAAATGACAGTTGACAATTGAAATGTTCAAATTGCCCATGAGGTAGCCAAATGCACCTGAAGCTTTGATTGTCTTCCCAGGAACATGGATTTGACAAACGAAACATTGGTTATGAACTATTTTAGCAATTTATAAGTCAGCATAGAAATACATATTTAATTTGGATCATTTTATCTTTTCCATGATGAGTCATGGAATGCGGAGCCTTTTATTTTTTGTTTTTAGACAGAGTTTCATTCTTGTTGCCCAGGTTGGAGTGCAATGGTGCTATCTCGGCTCACCGCAACCTCTGCCTCCTGGGTTCAAGCGACTCTCCTGCCTCAGCCTCCCGAGTAGCTGGGATTACAGGCATGAGCCACCACGCCTGGCTAATTTTTTGTATTTTTAGTACAGATGGGGTTTCACCATGGTCTCGATCTCCTGACCTCGTGATCCACCCACCTTGGCCTCCCAAACTGCTGGGGTTACAGGCTTGAGCCACTGTGCCCGGCTTAATTTTTGTACTTTTAGTAGAGACACGGTTTCACCATGTTGGCCAGGATGGTCTCCATCTCTTGACCTCATGATCTGCCTGCATTGGCCTCCCAAAGTGTTGGGATTACAGGCATGAGCCACCACACCCGGCCCCCCTTTTTTTTGAGATGCAGTTTCGCTCTTGTTGCCCAGGCTGGAGTACAATGGCGTGATCTCAGCTCACTGCAACCTCCGCCTCCTGGCTTCAAGCAGTTCTCCTGCCTCAGCCTCCCAAGTAGCTAGGATTACAGGCATACCCCACCACACCTGGCTAATTTTGTATTTTTTTTTTTTTTTTAACTAGAGATGGGGTTCCACCATGTTGGTCAGGCTGGTCTTGAACTCTTGACCTCAAGTGATCCACTCACCTCGGCCTCCCAAAGTGTTAGGATTACAGGCGTGAGCCACTGCACCCGGCCAGCATTTTCTTATAGTAAAGAAAGTGAAACCACGGGTTGTTGAAAGAAGGAAGAAAGAGCGTGAATCTTGGTAGGAAAAAGAAGGAAAGCAAAAGGAAACAAAAGCTTCCAGCTGTCTGGCTTGTATTGGCATTTACAATGTTTGCTGGTGTCCCACTTTGATCAGTGAAATGTGGCTGGGAGGAACCCTGTGTCACTTTTTGTTTTTTCTTTTTGAGACTCACTCTGTAGCCCAGGCTGGAGTGCAGTGGCGCAATCTTGGCTCACTGCAAGCTCCGCCTCCTGGATTCTCACCATTCTCCTGCCTCAGCCTCCTGAGTAGCTGGGACTACAGGCGCCCGCCACAACGCCTGGCTAATTTTTGTGTTTTCAGTAGAGACGGGGTTTCACTGTGTTAGCCAGGATGATCTTGATCTCCTGACCTTGTGATCCGCCCGCCTCGGCCTCCCAAAGTGCTGGGATTACAGGCGTGAGCCACCACGCCCGGCCTGAACCCCTGTCATTTTTTAGCAGAAACTTTCAGAGTCAGTAAGTGGCCAGGCATTTCTCTTTTTTTTGTGCCACAGGACTCTGGATGTTTCCAATGCAGACTAATCCAAGGCTGCTGTGGATGTGTCCTATGGGAGAGAAATCGACTTTGTCTATTTCTCTATGGAGAATGGGGGGTGCACCAGGCAGGATGACTCATGCCTGTAATTCCAGCACTTTGGGAGCCCAAGGCTGGTGGATCACTTCAGGCCAGGAGTTCAAGACCAGCCTGGCTAACACAGTGAAACCCCGTCTCTACTAAAAATACAAAAATTAGCCAGGTGTGGTGGGGCATGCCTGTAATCCCAGCTACTCAGGAGGCTGAGGCAGGAAAATTGCTTGAACCAGGAGGTGGAGGTTGTAGTGAGCCAAGGTCACGCCACTGCCCTCCTGCCTGGGCAACAGAGCGAGATTCTTATCTCCATAAAATGAAACAAAGCAAAACAAAGGGAGAGAGAATGGAGGTTGCCTGTTACTGCATCATAATCTTGTTTATGCTGACTGATGCATTAGAGGTACTAATGGCATGAGAGGAACAATTTCCTGAGACACAGTTTACTGACCATGAATTTCCTCAAAACCCCAGAGAGCAGGCTTCTCAGGAGGAGACTCAGTGTGGAATCCCTTGCCAAGGTAGACCCTGGTTCTGTAGCAGGACGAGCCGCAGACAAATCTCCTCAAGACACCGGATTAAAGAAGGAAAAGGTTTATTTGGCCAGGAGCGTCAGCAGATTTGTGTCTTAAGACCCGAGCTCCCCGAAAAAGAAATTCTTGGCCTTTTTAAAGGCTTACAACTTTAAAGGGTCCACGTGAAAGTGTCGTGATAAATCGAGCAAGCATGGGGAAGGTGAGTGCGGGCTACATGCATCAGCTAACAGAACAGAAAGCTTTGCAATGCTTTTTCATACAAGGTCTGGAATTTACAGATAACACAAGTAGTTTAGGTCAGGGGTTGATGTCATTATTATTATTATTTTTAACTCCTGTGGCAGGTGGTGGTGCCAAGGTGTCTGGCTACTTATCTTACTTTTGTTTCTAAATTTTTGCTTTCTCTCTTTCCTCCTGTCTTGTGAACTAGGCAAGATGGTGGGAGGAGGGCAGCCGGAGTAGTAGTGGTCTCCTTCCTTAGTTCAGGTTCCAGCTACAAACACTTACCACCTGTGAGACCTTGGGCAGTTCACATCCCCTCTCTGTGGCTCAGTCTGCTCAACTGTAAAATAGGTTAAATCCTGAAAGATCAAAATCCCTCACATCTAAAATCTCAAAAATCACAGTCCCAAAGTGATCGTTCTTGTTGCCCAGGCTGAAGTGCAATGGTGCGATCTCAGCTCACTGCAACCTCCGCCTCCCAGGTTCAAGTGCTTCTCCTGCCTCAGCCTCACGAGTAGCTGGGATTACAGGTGTGCACCACCATGCCTGACTTATTTTTTGTCTTTTTAGTAGAGACAGGCTTTCACCCTGTTGCTCAGGCTGGTCTCAAACTCCGGACCTCAGAAGATCCACCTACTTCAGCTTCCCAAATTGCTGGGATTATAGGCATGAGCCATGGTGCCCGGCTCCTTATTTTATTTATTTATTTTTTTGAGTTTTGCTCTGTCACCCAGGCTGGATTGTAGTGGCACAATCTCAGCTCACTGAAACCTTCGCCTCCTGGGTTCAAGCAATTCTCTGTCTTGGCCTCCCGAGTAGCTGGAATTACAGGCGTCCGCCACTACGCTGGCTAATTTTTGCATTTTTAGTAGAGACGGGGTTTCATCATCTTGGCCAGGCTGGTCTTGAACTCCTGACCTCGTAATCCACCCGCCTAGGCCTCTCAAAGTGCTGTGATTACAGGCATGAGCCATTGTGTCTGACCCCTTACGTTTTTTAAAAACAACTTTATTGAAATAGAATTCACGTAGCATACAACTTCCCCATTTAAGGCATACAATTCAATGGCTTTTAGTATATTCACAAATCCTTTCTTTTTGTGTATATGTACCACATTTTCTTTGTCCATTCATCTGTTGATGGATACTTAGGTTGATTTTGTATTTTGGCTGTTTTGAATAGTGCTGCAATAAACATAGGAGTGCAGATGTGTCTTTGAGATACTGAGTTTCTTTCTTGTGGACTTATACCCAGCAGTGTGATTGCCGAATTATACGGTAGTTCTATTTTTAGCTTATTGAGGACCCTCCATGCAGTTTTCCATAGTGGATAAGCTATTTTACATTCCCACCGGCCAGGCGTGGTGGCTCACGCTGGTAATCCCAGCTCTTTGGGAGGCTGAGGCGGGAGAATAACGAGGTCAAGATATCAAAAGCATCCTGGCCAAAATGGTGAAACCCCATCTCTACTAAAAACACAAAAAATAGCTGGGCATGGTGGCAAACGCCTGTAGTCCCAGCTACTCGGGAGGCTGAGGCAGGAGAATGCTGGAACCCGGGAGGCGGAGGTTGCAGTGAGCCGAGATCCGCGCCATCGCACTACTCCAGCCTGGGCGACAGAGAGAGAGACTCTGTCTCAAAACAAACAAACAAAAAACATTCCCACCAAGAGTGTTTGAGTGCTCCTGTTTCTCTGCGTCCTTGTCAGCATTTGTTGTTTTCTGACTTTTTGATAGTCGCCATTTTAGTTGAGGTTAGATGAAATTTTACTGGGTTTTGATGTGCACTTCCGTGATGATTAGTGATGTTAAGTTTGCATATACCTGTTGGCCACTTGTATGTCTTCTGTTGGAAAATAGCCATTGAGATCTTTTGCCTTTTTTTTTTTTTTTTTTTTTTTTGCCAATGCTGTCGTTTATTGCGCGGAGTGGGGGCGTGGGGGTTAGTGGGGCGTGGGGGTCGTGATGGGGGCACTGCTGCCTCGGTTCGTCAGTACATTAATCACAGCGGCGGGACTCCAGCCTTTGCAGCCTCGCCCACGCGCCCTGCGCAGCCAGGACGGCCCGCCCCTCGGCGCAGGTGCTGGAGGGAGCTGGGGCACTGCTCCAGGAGGTCACCGCGGGACGCGCGTGGACGGCGGCTGGGCAGGTTATTGCGTGAGCACGGTGGGAGCAGCGGGAAGCCGGAGGGCCAAGTATTGCACTTAGAATAACAATCCTCATCAGACGGCGGGCTACCTAGAGGGCAGGGGGCGGGCAGGGCTCCACAGCCGGCTCCTCTCCGCCACTGGGTCGCCCTGTCCCTATCTTACAGCTGGGGAAACTGAGGCACCGAGGTGAAGGAAGCCCTCTCGCACGCGAGGCCGCCGCCAGGGGCAGGGGCGATGGTGGGCGCAGGGCGATGAGGGGGGACGGCCGGGGGCTCGGAGGGGACTGCTCCCCGGCCAGTGTAGTCAGTCCGACTACGGCTACCTACGTCTCATCTATAGCTTCTTGAGGGGCTGGCGGCCGGGGCAGCGTAATGACAGGGCTTTGGTCTGGATGACGCCCCGCCCCGGGCCAGCCTGGGCCCCGCAGGGCAGTTGGTGAGGGACACAAGTTGGACCAGAAGCGCGAGCGCGGAGAGTCCTGCGGGTCCAAGCCGCGGGCGGCACCGGGCGAGGCCGAGTCCATGCGGTCCGGGCTGGGCGCCGCGCTTGGGGGCAGCGGGCCTGGGCCCCAGACGAGGCGTGGACCTGCTGGCCCGGCCCGCCGTGGCTGTTGTCCATTTTTTAATGGGATTATTTGGGATTTTTGTTTTTGAGTTCTTATATGTTCTGGGTATTAATCCTTTGATGGATGAATAGTTTGCAAAAATTTTCTCCCATTCTGTGGGTTGTCTCTTCACTTTGTTTTTTTATTTATTTTAGACGGAGTCTCACTCTGTGGCCCAGGTTGGAGTGCAGTGGCACAATCTCGGCTCACTGCAACCTTCGCTTCCCGGGTTCAAGCAGTTCTCCTGCCTCAGCCTCCCTAGTAGCTGGGGATTACAGGCACCCACCACCATCCCCAGCTAATTATTTGTATTTTAGTAGAGACAGGGTTTCACTATGTTGGCCAGGCTGGTCTAGAACTCCTGACTTCAAGTGATCTGCCCGCCTTGGCCTCCCAAAGTGCTGGGATTACAGGCATGAGCTACCGTGCCTGGTCTACTTTGTTTATTTTTAATTTTAATTAAACAAATTTTTTTTCTGTGCAGAAGCTTTTTAGCTTGATGTAATTCTATTTATCAATTTTTGCTTTGGTTGTCTGTGTTTTTGAAGTCTTACTCAAGAAATCTTTGCCTAGACAAGTGTTATAAAGCATTTCCCCAATGTTTTCTACTAATATTTTCATAGTTTCTTTTCTTTTCTTTTCTTTTTTTTTTTTTGAGATGGAGTCTCACTCTGTCACCCAGGCTGGAGTGCAGTGGTGCAATCTCAGCTCACTGCAACCTCCACCCCTTGGGTTCAAGCAATTCTTCCGCCTCCCTCCCTAGTAGCTGGGATTACAGGTGTGCGCTACCACGCCTGGCTAATTTTTGTATTTTTAGTAGAGACGGGGTTTCGCCATGTTGGCCAGGCTGGTCTCGAACGCCTGAGCTCGGGCAATCCTCCCGCCTCGGCCTGGGCTGGGATTACAGGTGTGAGCCACAGTGCCCAGCCTGTAGTTTCTTACATATAAGTTTTTAATTAATTTCAATTTGATTTTTATATATGGTGAAGCACAGGGGTCTAGTTTTATTCTTCACACATAGATATATCTCATTTTCCCAGCACCACTTATTGAAGACACCATCTGTTTCCCCATGGTATGTTTTTGGTGCCTCGGTGCAAAATGAGCTGGCTGTAAATGCATGGATTTATTTCTGGGTTCTCTGTTGTGTTCCACTGGGCCATGAAATCCTTCCTTTCCAATATTATAAAGTCACCATTTTCCCGTTTCCCTCCTGTCACCCTTGCTGTGTTTGGGCCAAGCAGGGCAGGCAGGACCCAGAACTTGATGTGGCCAGGTGAGGCCAGAGCCTCTCTAGGCTGCTCAAGAAATCTGCGCTGAGGTCCTTGGTCTGCAGGGAGAACCAAATCCCCATCGATGACCCCACAAAACACTGTTAGGTAAACCACAGTGTGAAACAGCTTGAGAAATAGAATCTGTGTCATATCCAACATTTACTCACACTCATGATTGCGAGACTGGGATACCTAAGCAGGAGGAACCAGAAGAGCACCCTCTTCCCCTGCATGTCCAGGTCCCCTTTAGGTCACCTAGGGCATGTGGCTGGAAGCAGGGGCTTCTGGATAGGGGCAGGCTATGGTCGGGGACAGTGGGGGTGGTGGGCCCTGGGCAGTAGGGGTGGTGGTGTTAGTGAAAGGTCTGAGGCAGGGCAGAGATCAGGAGGAATGGCATTCCAGCAGGATTCAGAGATAGGCCAGTAGGTCGGCAGACACAGGAGCAGGTGGCCTGGGACTCAGAGGAGCAGCTGGAGTTGGAGGAGAAGGGCCCTGCTTTCCTCCAGTCTTCTTCTGTTTGGGTGCTGCATTAGCACCCCACTGCACCCCCAACCCCTGTCCCTCCCCTTCCCTCACTCCCTGAGTCTTAGAACCCATTCCTTCATCCCCAGCATGCACCTTCTTCTTTTTTTTTTTTTTTTTTTTGAAACAGAATCTCATTCTTGTTGCCCAGGCTGCAATGGAGTGGCACGATCTCAGCTCACTGCAACTCCCACCTCCCAGGTTCAAGCAATTCTCCCTGCCTCAGCCTCCCAAGTAGCTGGGATTACGGGTGCACACCACCACTCCTGGCTAATTTTTGTATTTTTAGTAGAGATGGGGTTTCGCCATGTTGGCCAGGCTGGTCTCGAACTCCTGACCTCAGGTGATCTGCCCGCCTCGGCCTCCCAAGGTGCTGGGATTACAGGCGTGAGCCACAGTACCCAGCCGCAGCATGCACCTTCTTAAGGACAGTTCCTTTCTGGATCCTTCCTAGGGTTCTGATTTCTAATCCTTCCTAACCCAGCTCACTGCCCCCCACCACCACCCTCCATCCCCCCATTCTGCCTCAGTTTCTCCTTTCCTGATTCCCACAATTTCCAGCAATCAGTCTTGGCCTCAGATTCCTGTCCTTCAGGTTCCAGTGTTCCTTGGGTCCTCTCTCTCCTGTGATCCTCTCTGATTAGGGGTGGGAGGGTGTGAGTTGGAATTAAACCCAGCCTTTATTGGAGTCCTAGGGCTGGATTCTGCATTGTGCTCTGCTGTGTCATTGCACCTTCTCGTTTCCGCTCTTTCTGACTTGCTTCATCCTCTTCATACTCTAAGCTCAGCCAGCGCATGTTGACCCCACCGGTGGAGCGCCGCTCCTTCCCACCTGCTGCTTCTCCTTCTCCATCTCCACCTCTCCATCTTCTGCTCCTGGCCATTCCTGGCACGGGGACCCGAGCTCTGAGCTCTTGCCTTTTTCTGGGGCACCGTCTTCTCCTTCTCGTCACCCCGGGCAGTGCCCCTGGGCTCCTCGGCTGCTGCGGGCCTGGGCCACCCGTGTCAGCGCGGCCCTGCTGACAGCGCAGTTCACACCCGGGGCGGCCGCGGCAGGTGCAGTGCGAGGGGCGCCACCTGTAGGCTGGTGTGGGCACTGCCTAGAGGTTGCTGTGGCGCCGTCTGGAGGTTGCCGTGGCTCTCGTTGGCGCCCAGCGCCGCGCCCGGGGCTTCATGGCTGTGTCGCTGCTGCCCCCTCCCAGGGCCGCAGGGCCCGGGTTCCACTTGGCGGCGTCTTCTCGCGAGTCGCTTTCGCTGCTCCAAGAAGTCGGCGGTGCAGCAACTGACGCCGCTGCTGCTCCGGTCGCCGCAGGTCGCCATATTCCTCGCGGGGGCCGGCCGGGCTCTCGGCTCAGGCCGCCCACCCTGCTCCGGCCGCCGCCGCCTCTCCGTTCCCGCAGCCAGAGGAGGCGAGGGAGCGACCTCCAGGCACTGGGCGCCCGCCGCTTCCCCAGCAGCCGGCGGGGCGGGGAAGAAAGACGCCAGGAAGCGGAAGGCCCCCGCCGGCCCGAGGGTCGCCCGGGGCTGTGCCCCATGGTTCCTGGCCCGCGAGCAGCTGCTGGGACCCCCCCTTGCCAAGTTGCTCCCCGAAAAGCTCTAAGGTTCTCAGGCCTGCAGGGAGTGACAGTTTCCCCCTGACTGTAACGTAAGGCTGCAAACTCGAAGCCAGGAATTTTCTGCATATTCTTAAATAGGATGTTTCAGTCAAAGCCTTGATAATATAACCAATCTTTCTGATTGTAGCCTGCTTATAAAGAGAACATATGTACATGAAAATAAGAATATTTATGAATAGTTTCCAAACTTTAGAAGGATCAGATAGGGAGGAAAAACAAACGCTTCCACCCACCTTTGTTCACAAAAGTGTGCTTTACCAAATCGGTGTAAATTCTAGATAACTTCTGAGAAAAACCTTTCTTCAATCTAGAAAACAAAACAAGGGCCGGGCGCGGCGGCTCAAGCCTGTAATCCCAGCACTTTGGGAGGCCCAGGCAGGGGGTGATCACCTGAAATCGAGAGTTGGAGACCAGCCTGGCCAACATGGTGAAACCCCGGTCTCTGCTACAAATACAAAAACTAGCTGGGCGTGGTGGCGGGCGCCTGTAATCCCAGCTACTCGGGAGGGTGAGGCAGGAGAATTGCTTGAACTGAGCGGAGATCCTGCCACTGCACTCCAGCCTGGGTGACAGAGTGAGACTCTGTCTCAAAATAAAAATAAAGAATGAATCAACAATGTTTTAAATACCAGTTATAAAAACATTATCGTAATAGATTTTTTTGTTTTGCTTGATCTCGCTTAGCAGTTTTTTGAACCATTTTTTCCTTATTAGAAACCACTAGAAATTGGTTTTTAGTTCATTGATTTTTGTTTATTTTTATTTTTATTTCTGAGACACAGTCTCAGTCTGTCGCCCAGGCTGGAGTGCAGTGGCACAATTTTGGCTCACTGCAACCTCTGCCTCCCAGGTTCAAGCAATTCTCATGCCTCAGCCTCCCGAGTAGCTGGGATTGTGTGCCAAATCATTCACCCCTCACCACAACCGAATGAGCTAAGGATTCTCATTATATATAGTTTATGGAGAGGGAAGTGCAGACATAAAGAGGTGAATTGTCTTACCCAGATCACACAGCTGATAAGTGGTGGAGGCAGAATAGAATCTAAACAGTGTGGCTCCGGAGCCCACATGCATTGATTCGACAAGTGTTTATTGAGCACCTGCCACGGACAAGGCCTTGTGTGATTAAATAGGGTTATAATTAGTAATATAAAAATGAGAAATCACTAATGCTTTTTAGACTTAACATTTTCTTTTTTTGTAGGTTTCAGGCACAGAACTGTATATCCAATAATAGTGAAATGGATCCCACTAATTATGACAGAAATGATGATACATTTAAATGACTTGGATGTTTTATAGGTATGATCTCGTGAAACCTTGAGAGAAACTGAATGACGAATGAAACTATTGTTCCTGTTTCACACAGAAGAAAACTGAGGTTAAAAGGGGTAAAGTAATTTTGCATGGCATGAAGTAGAAATTCAAAGTACAGGAATTTGAACTTGGTTCTGTCCTTTTCTGAAGCCCTTGACCACTATAGACTCAAACATCACCTTGTTTTTCCACTCATTCAACACTTTTTTTTTAAATTATCTAATAGGTTGGCACTCATGATGAGCCCCTGTTCTCATTCTGCAAATGGTGAAGCTCTCTATTGTCCTGACCCCACAGTTCCTGTCGCATGACCAGAGCCAGTTCACCAAGGAGCTGCAGCAGCATGTAAAGTCAGTGACATGCCCATGCGAGTACCTGAGGAAGGTGAGTGAGTGCAGACAGATGGGGCCTGGTGCCCTTGAGCAGTTCCCGGGTCTCAGCTGCCACACATCTCATAGCGGGTGATGCTGGGGGAAGCTTACGCAGTCACAGTACTGGCTTCTTCCTCTTTTTCTTTCCATACAAGTGGCTTAGGGATGGGGTAGAGTAGTTGACTTATTTGGATGAAAACCACTATCTTCTGTCAGAAACTCAAAAGGAATCATTGCTGGCATGGTAACCTAAAGAAAAACAACCAGACAAGTGCCCAACGACACTTAAAAAGTTTATTTATTATCTTGCCAAGTTTAGGCTGGGCATGGTGACTCATGCCTGTAATCCCAGCATTTTGGGAGGCTGAGGCTGGTGGATCACCTGAGGCCAGGACTTCAAGACCAGCCTGACCAATATGGCAAAATCTCGTCCCTACTAAAAATACAAAAATTAGCCGGGCATGGTGGTGTGAGCCTGTAGTCCCAGCTACTCAGGAGGCTGAGACAGGAGAATTGCTTAGATTCAGGAGGTGGAGGTTTTAGTGGGCCGAGATCATGCCATTGCACTCCAGACTGTGCGACAGAGCGAGACTCTGTCAAAAAAAAAAAAAAATTATCCTGCAAAATTTGAAAAGGAAATTCAAATCAACAGCTTCTAAACTACTTTTTAACATGACTCATAATAAGAAATACATTCTATAGTACATATATATGTTCTATAATTTTGAATAAAAGAATTAACCACATCACATTTATTTTACTACATGTAATACATATTTTTTATTCTCCTTCATTTGTTTTGAATGCTCTGTGCAGTCTACAAAAAGTCCAATGGTAATAATTAAATTAGTCATTAAGTTGAACATTATCTTGTCTTTTAAAATGATAATCTCAAAAATGATCTTTTATTTTTGAGATTTATATAGATACACACACACACACACACATACATACACACACACACACACACACACACACACACACACACACACATATAGAGAGAGAGACAGAGTTTCACTCTGTCGCCCAGGCTGGAGTGCAGTGGCACAACCTTGGCTCACTGCAACCTCTGTCTCCCGGGTTCAAGCAATTCCTCTGCCTCAGCCTCTGAGTAGCTGGGACTACAGGTGTGCACCATCATGCCCAGCTAATTTTTGTATTCTTAGTAGAGATGGGGTTTCACCATATTGGCCAGGCTCGTGTCAACTCCTGACCTCGTAATCTGCCCACCGTGGCCTCCCAAAGTGCTGGGACTATAGGTGTGAGCCGCTGCACCCGGTCCAAGATAAAATTATTTTAACAATATACTATGAAGAGAAAAACACTGGCTATGAAAGAATATGCATAGTTTTACCCTGTTTAAAAATAAAGATTGAAAGAATACATATGCAAATAAGTTTACTTTTATTTTTGGTAATACTTTACTGGATTGTCTGAATATTGACAATCAGTATGCATCATGAAGCTACATGGCTAACATTGAGTACTGACTGTGTGTGCCAGGCCCTGGGTTCAATGCTCTACATGCACTTATATTTCATTTAATTCTCTCTGCAACCTGAGATGGTATAGCCACCTCATTTTACAGAGTTGAAACTGAGGCTCAGAGACTGAAAGTTAAGCCTGAGGTTACAGTCAATAAGAGGCAGAGCTGGAACTGAAACCTACGTGTGTCTGACCACCAGTTCCTGTTCTGACGGCAGGCTAGTCTGCATCACAGAGTGTGGGGTAGATGGTGCATGCCTGCTAGGATGGGCTAGGTATCACTGTAGGTAAGAAACAGCCCCAAACGATGGAAATGTACACCACTGAAGGCTCTTTTCCTGCCCATGCTGCACATCCTCCATGGCTCTCCTGTGCCCTGTGCCCCACATGCCCTCATCCTGCCACGAGAATAAAGGAGCAGCCTCCATATGGGAGCTGTCAGCTGCTCTAAGAGATGAAGGAGAGGGTGGCCAGTCTCAATGGCTCCCAACTCTTTTGCCTCGAGGTGACACGCTTCACTTCCACTCACATCTCTTGGGTCAAAGCAAATCCCATGGGTACATCCACTTTCAAGTGGCCCAAGAGAGAACCTGAAATACTCGGTGGACTCCATTAAGGCTGTCATATGGTGTCAGCCTGCATGGGAGACTGTGGAGGGGCAGAGGAGGAGAGTGGGGAACTGATGGGAAATGACAGGAGGACTAAGTCACCGCAGATTTGCTTTATCCTCAGCCAGGTGGAGTTTGTCCCAGAGCTGCACAAAATCATCACCAACATGATGAAACAGAGTAGACTTCAGAAAAAGCAGTTTGGTCGGATGTAATCAGCAGTGAACTCAGAATCAATTGAGTGACATTGAGTCAGTAAATCTCTGACTGCCTCAGTTACCCCATATGATAGTTTTGAGGATGGGAACATTGAGAGAGTTGATTTGGAAGGATATCAAGAGTAAAAATTCCAACATTTTTAGTTCCTTTAAGTTAAATCCAGGCACTGTCTTTCCTGCAAGTCTCCTGTTCCTTTCAGATTGCACAGGTGAGAGTGCTCAGATTAGGGCTGGAGGTTGTAAACTATTGCTCCCACACTGACAGTGCCCCCGTGTCGTGCATGTATTCTGTGCATTTTCCTGTGCTAAACACTCTCCCAAAACAGCGTGGGGCCTGATTCTTCCTCTTTGTTCCAATGGCCCTGGGTGACTCAAGTGCCCATTCAATGACCAGGACACAGAGGTCTTAGAGAGATGCTCCATGAGGCCCCAGGTGCGAGCCTGTACCCTGCCGGAGCATGAGGCAAGGGACAGGGCATCGTCTGTGGGGATAGTGGGGGTAGTGGTCAGCCAGGCTTGGTGACTCTACTTGCTCACCAGATGATCCTACACCTGCCACCTCCAATGGATCCACTGCCTCTGTGCCTGCCTGTACTGCTGATGCTCCAGTGGATAACTCAGCATCCCAGCCTAGGCCCAATGCCACTGAAGATGGACCTGCACCCTGGGGACCCAGGAGTCCTACCACTCAGCTGTCCCCAGGAGTGCCCAGACCCTCATTCTTATCCAGGACCTAGGAGCCCTACCCCTGGCCTTCCCTCATCAGCCGTAAATGATGATTTACTGCTGTTACCATCATCACTGCCTTCAGTGACCAAGGGCCTTCCAAGGTGCCAGCTCTGGAACGAAAGATGCCCTTGGGAGGTGATGACACTCAGGTACACGGGTGCTCAACAGATTGCTTCCTCCTATCCTCAGACGGTCTTTGCATTCATGCAGCCATTGGCACTCCCATTGTATGGAAGGAAACCAGCCCAGGGTCACACAGCTGGTCAGCAGCAACATAGCTGGTCTCAAATCTAAGGTGCCTGGCCATGCCTCCATGAGGGACCGCCTGCAAGGGAGGTTGATCCTGGCTTTGGGGAGCCTTTCCTGGGCTGCACGAATAACCTCCATTGTTCGAGACCCCAAACTCTGCTCACATCTTCCTTTCCCTGTCTCTGCTTGGGCTATGATCACGGTGACTCTAGCAACCCTTCATGGACATTATAGTACTCTCTGCCATTCACTTTTGGTCTAATCTGACTTCAACCCCCACTTACTTGGTCTCTCCTTTTACAACCAACACAACCGAAATCTAGGGCTTTTTTTTTTTTTTTTTCTTTTTGAGACAGAGTCTCATTCCATTCTGTCACCCAGGCTGGAGTGCAATGGTACGATCTCGGCTCACTGCAACCTCCGCCTCCCGGGTCCAAGGGATTGTCCTGCCTCAGCCTCCTGAGTAGCTGGGATTACAGGCGGGTGCCACCATGCCTGGCTAATTTTTGTATTTTTAGTAGAGACAGGGTTTCACCATGTTGGTCAGGCTGGTCTCGAACTTCTAACCTCGTGATCCGCCTGCCTCAGCCTCCCAAAGTGCTGGGATTACAGGCGTGAGCCACCATGCCCAGCCAAATCTAGGGCTGGAACATGGCTGCAGCATATAAATAGAATTGAATTCCATAGTTTTGTTAACCCTGTTTTTTGTTTGTTTGTAGTTGTTGCTGTTTTTGAGACAAGAGTCTCTCTCTGTCGCCTAGTCTGGAGTGCAGTGGTGCAATCTCGGCTCACTGCAGACTCTGCCTCCCGGGTTCAAACTATTCTCCTGCCTCAGCCTCCCAAGTAGGTGGGACTAAGGCGCCCACCACCACACCCGGCTAATTTTTATATTTTATTAGAGACAGGGTTTCACCATATTGGCCAGGCTGGTCTGGAACTCCTGACCTTGTGATCCGCCGACCTCGGCCTCCCAAAGTGCTGGGATTACAGGCGTGAGCCACCACACCCAGCCCCTGTTTTGTTTTTGTTTTGCTTGTTTCTTAGGGTTGTTTTTCTATTTATGGTAAAGGCATTGGCTTTCCATTTGTAGCATCAATAGAATATTTCCTGTTTACAATAACCTTATGTCATAGTAAATGGTAAAGGGATTTAAAGCAGTGGTTTTCAGCTCCCAGAGGCCTGAGTGAGTTTGGGCACACTCTGTGTGATCAGGCAGAAGGCCTGTGGGAAGTTTAGCTGAGGACAGGGCCAGGAAAGGTGATGGACAGTGGGGGTCTGTCCTGGTCACCAGACCCCTGCGTCCTGCCCACCTGCTTGGAGCTCCCCACCCATCACACATGATGCTGCCAAGCCCTCTGGGTATTGTGGGCAAATACCTTAGGAGAGAAGCTGCTGAACTTTGTTTCTTGAAATGCACAGATTCCTTGGACATCCCTGAGAGGTCAATCATGAAGGTCAACTTGGTTTTCTCCCCCTCATTTGGGTTCAGAATTTAAAGTCCACACACACAGGCAGTAAGATGATTATAGATAAGGACATCATCACTCGGTTTCGGATGTTAAAATGTCTAGGTGGGTTAGGGGTGATTTGAGATCACACAACCTTGTGCCACAAAGAGGAATTCCCAGGCCAGAGGGAGACATTTTATTGCCATGTTATGATCTTATCATTGAGTTGAAAGGCAATCTTGTTTCATTTTGGATTCTTTCTTATGTTTATGTCTTATAAGGGCACTTTGAATTTCCAAGCAAATAATAATTTTGAATTAGCTTTTAATCATTGACTTCTAGCACAGTTATATGATCAGAAACGTGCTGTGTGATTTGATTGCTCTCAAATATATTGAGATTTGCTGGAACAAAATAAGTCAGGTTAATTTTTGTAAATGTACCATGCATGCTTAAAATGAATGTATCTACATTTGTTCCTGAGATACAGGTTGATGGACGGATGGCTACATGGATGTGATGGAGATGGTTTACTATCGGGACCTTCCGCATCCTGCTGATGTTTTGTTGCTTAGGATATGAATGGCTGAGCGGAGGCTGTAAAACCTGGCACTCTGCTTGGGTATGAGGTTCTTCCTGCCATCCTGCCATCATTTGTTTTTTATGTTTTGTCACCAAAAGTGACCTTGAGGAACCCTGGGAGCTCAGGAAGGAAGGAGCGCCCAGAAGCAGGGACAGGGAGCTGGTTGGGGAGGACCAGAAATCAGGTTTGTGAAGGTTCCAGAGAGGACCTGTCCTTGCGAGGAGTGTGGGAGACTGAGATGGGGGAGGGGTCATTGGAATGATGCGGGCGCTACTTGGCATTGTCCATTGTGAGGCACCACCGGGGTCATCAGGGATTGGTGGAGAGGGAGTATAAAGCCCCAGGTTTGCTAAGGGAGGGCCCAGACCGAAGAAGGTTTGGCGGATAGCAGAACCTTTTTGTCTCCCTCTAATTGCTCCTAAGCCTCACGCTCCCTTGCCCCGCGTGTCCTGTTGCTTCCCTGATCTTCTCCGTGACCTGTAGCTAAACCTTCCACCAGCGCTTGAGAACTTAATTTGAACCGGATCCTTTCCCAGACCCCTTTCTTCTTCTCCTCCTCCTCCTCCACCTCCTCCAGGTGCCCAACAGCCCCCTTCTCCTTTCCCTTCCCTTACTTCCCCCCTTCCCCTCCCCTTCCCCTTCCCCTCCCCCTCCCCTTCCCCTCCCCCTCCCCTTCCCCTCCCCCTCCCCTGCCCCTCCCCAACTCAGATCCGGCCCCGGTCCCCGTCCCCTTCCCTCCCCCCTGCCCTAAGCCACCTCCACCTCTGTCCTGGCCGCCTCAGGGCACCCTGAAAGGATCATGACATGCGGCTGCGCTTTTGGCTCCTCATTTGGCTCCTGCTGGGATTTATCAGCCATCAGCCCACCCCTGTGAGTAGACGCTGGACCCGCGGGGTTTCTTCCTTTTTACTGGGCTGTGTCACGCGGCATGAAATTACACAGCTCAGGCCTTGTAATCCCAGCACTTTAGGGGGCCGAGGTGGGCAGATCACTTGAGTCCAGGAGTTGAAGACTAGCCAGGGCATCATGGCGAAACCCCATCTCTACAAAAAATTCCAAAAAAGATTAGTCGGGCCTGGTGGTGCGTACCTGTTATCCCAGTTACTGGAGAGGCTGAGGTGGGAGGATCGCTTGGGCCGAGGAGCTGGACGTTGCAGTGAGCCGAGATGGCCCCGCTGCACTCTTGTCTCTAACAAACAAAATGGACCAAAACAAAGTGAAATGTCATTTGATTTGTGTCATCTGGTTTGATGACTTTTTTTTTTTTTTTTTTTTAGACAGAGTCTCACTCTGTCGCCCAGGCTGGAGTGCAGTGGCAAGATCTCGGCTCACTGCAACCTCCGCTTCCGGGGTTCAAGCAATTGTCCTGCCTCAGCCTCCTGAGTAGCTCAGATTACAACGCCTGGCTAATTTTTGTATTTTTAGTAGAGACGGGGTTTCACCATGTTCGCCAGGATAGTCTCCATCTCTTGACCTCGTGATCCGCCTGCCTCGGCCTCCCAGTGCTGGGATTACAGGCGTGAGCCACCGCGCCTGGCCAAAATATATAACCTTAAGTGTAAGTTTACTAACTTTGGAAAGTACTTACACCAGCATAAACCGACCCCCTTTCAAGATCTACATTATTTTATTTATTTATTTATTTATTTGAGACAGTTTCTCCCTTGTTGCCCAGGCTGGAGTGCAATGGGGCAATATCAGCTCACCGCAACCTCTGCTTCCCAGGTTCGAGCGATTCTCCTGCCTCAGCCTCCCGGGTGGCTGGGATTACAGACATGTGCCACCACTCCCAGCTAATTTTGTATTTTTAGTAGAGATAGGGTTTCTCCATGTTGGTCAGGCTGGTTTTGAACTCCCGACCTCAGGTGATCCGCCCGCCTCGGCCTCCCAAAGTGTTGGGATTACAGGCGTGAACCACCGTGCCCAGCCAAGATCTACACTATTATGTCACCCCAGAAAGTGAACTCTCACTCTTCCCAGCCAGTCTCTTTCTTATCATAGGTTAGCTTGCTTATTCTGGAATTTCGCGTATACAGATGCGTGCCATGCCATAGGTACTCTTTTGTGTCTGCTTTATTCTGCTCAACACCATGTTTCTGAAATCATTACCATTGTTGTATGGTTCTCTAACTCCATCATTTCCATTTCAGACTCAGCATATGCTGAGTTCAACCTGTTGAAGGGCTATCTCTGTTTAATTCACCATCTTGAAAGAAACATTTAAAATTGAGATGTTTTCAAGAATATATAGTTAAATCCTGAGGAATCGACGTAGAAATGTTATCACAAGCTGTCTGAACTTACTCAGGGGAAGTCTTCGTCTTCACTCACATAAGAGTCTACTGGAATTAATATCAACAATCTTAGAGAAATCCCACACTATTCATGCCATTTTCATGATCTCCACCTTGGTAATTTTTTTTTTTTTTTTTTTTTTTTTTTTTGAGACAGAGTCTCGCTCTGTCACCCAGGCTGAAGTGCAGTGGTGCGATCTCGGCTCACTGCAACCTCTGCCTCCCGGGTTCAAGTGATTCTTCTGCCTCAGCCTCCCAAGTAGCTGGAACTATAGGCACGTGCCACCATGCCCTGCTAATTTTTTGTAATTTTAGTAGAGATGGGTTTCACCGTGTTAGCTAGGATGGTCTCAATCTCCTGATCTCGTGGTCCACCCACCTCGGCTTCCCAAAGTGCTGAGATTGCAGGCGTGAGCCACCACGCCCAGCCCACCTTGTTAATTTTTAAGCACTAAAATTTGACACTTATTTGTGAATGAAGTAATCTCTTCATTGTATTTTTTTTTTTTTTACTTATGCTGAGCTTCAAATGACAAAGATTCATATAATCCAAGAGAGAAGTATTATTTAGAGGGATTCTTTTACCATGTGATATATAATAAATGCATCCAATGTTATACATCAATTTAAAAAACAAGTAAATAACTTTAAAGAAAAGATAACTACTGGCCAGGTGCAGTGGCTCACACCTGTATTCCCAGCACTTTGGGAGGCCGAGGCAGGTGGATCAAGAGGTCACGAGTTGGAGACCAGCCTGGCCAAGATGGTGAAACCCTGTTTCTACTCAAAATACAAAAATTAGCCGAGTGCGGTGGCAGGCGCCTGTAATCCCAGTTACTCAGTAGCTGAGGCAGGAGAATCGCTTGAACCCGGGAGGCGGAGGTTGCAGTGAGCTGAGATCATGCCACTGCAATCTAGCCTGGGTGACAGAGCAAGACTTTGTCTCCAAACAAAAAGAAAAGATAATTACTTTATACTTAGCTTGTCTTAGCCATGAGTGACGGGCTGCATGTGGCCCAGGACAGTTTTGAATGCAGTTCAACACAAATTTGTAAACTTTCTTAAAACATTAGGAGATTTTGGCCAGGTACAGTGGCTCATGCCTGTAATCCCAGCACTTTGGGAGGCTGAGGCGGGCAGATTACCTGAGGTCAGGAGTTCGAGACCACCCTGGCCAACATGGCAAAACCCCATCTCCACAAAAAATACAAAAATTTGCTGAGTGCATTGTCAGGCACCTGTACTCCCAGCTACTCAGGAGGCTGAGGCAGGAGAATCACTTGAACCTGAGAGGCCGAGGTTGCAGTGAGCCGAGAGCACGCCACTGCACTCCAGCCTGGGTGACAGAGTGAGACCCCATCTCAAAAACAAAACACCAAACAAAAACAAAAACAAAAAAAAATGGCTGGGCACGGTGGCTCACACCTGTAATCCCAGCACTTTGGGAGGCCGAGGCAGGTAGATCGCCTGCCAGGAGTTCAAGGCCAGACTGGCCAACATGGTGAAACCTCATCTCTACTAAAAATACAAAAATGAGTCAGGCATGGTGGCAGAGACCTGTAATCTCAGCTACTCGGGAGGCTGAGGGAGGAGAATGGCTTGAGCCCAGGAGCTGGAGGTTGCAGTGAGCCGAGATTGCACCACTGCACTCCAGCCTGGGCGACTGAGTGGAGCGGAACTCTGTCTCCAAAAAAAAAAAAAAAAGAGTTTTTTTTTTAGATCATCAGCTATTGTTAGTGTTAGTGTATGTTATGTGTGGCTCAAGACAACTTTGTTTCTTTTAATATAGGCAGGGAAGTGAAAAGATTGGATATCCCTGCTTTATACCAAGAAAGACAACACCCCACATTTGCAATGCCTAAAAACACTACCAGCCATCTGAAAAACATGAGACTTCTAACTTCTGTTCTTTTTTGTAGCAGTGGAATCCCACGGTGATATCTGAGGGATGTGGTTACCTTTTGGAGGAGGTTGACGGTTTCTAAGGATGATTCTTTCTGAGTGAAATATTGTCGGTGTCATTGACCTTTTCATTATTTCAACTATTATTATTCCAGGTTATCAATAGTCTGGCTGTCTATCGTCATCGTGAGACTGACTTTGGTGTAGGAGTTCGAGACCACCCTGGCCAACATGGCAAAACCCCATCTCCACAAAAATTGGATAATTTGATAATTATCATTATTGGGTTTCTGAGACGTTACACATTTAACATTCTCTTCTGCACAAGTTGCCTTTGTGTGAGTATACTAACTTTCTGTAGAGGTATACTTGTAATCACAAATAAGAATAAATTATATAAAACAATTCACGTTTCTGGACTTCATTATGAATATGTGGTTTTACCCAAAAAATCAGGGAAATGATTTATTAGCATAAGAATTATGAAAATGTCTGCCATTTACATTATGAAAATTAAATAGGTCGGTGTTTGTTTAATAGAATGTCAACAGAGCTTTTGGTCAAAAATAAGTTTTTTTAGCCTTTGTGCTATTTATCACAAATGGAGTATGAGGTTTCGTCACTTAAATAGGAAATTCTTTCTAAACTCTTCTGCTTTATAGTTCTATCGTATGGGTGGAAGGAAAGCTTCCAATCTCCTCTCTGAAGATTCACTGCAGAAATGAGCTGACAACAGACAGCTTAACAGGAAAAGAAACACATAGAACAGGCATAAACATGGGAACCAGCTGAAAAATGAGACTGCTAGAAGGGCCGGATGGTTGATGCTTAAAGAGCACCCTCTTCTGAGGGGAGAGGGAGATAGATGGAGATGTAGGCCATTTAGAGGGGCAGCAAATGATTTTTAGGGGAAATGAAAGAGGCCAAGGAACAAACAATTGGCCTGAGACAAAGTTCCTCTGAGGTCATAGGGACGAGGTGACAAACTGCCGGAAGGTGAAGGGCAGAACTGCACTGCGTCTCATGATGCAGAGAAAGCCCCAGAGAATCTCTTAGAACTGCCCTCCAAGAGAATCAATGAAAAGTGTGTCTGGGCAGGGTAATTTTGAATGACATCATTCAAAGTGCATGTTCCCACTTGCAACTGGAGAGAGATCAGTATGTCAAAAGTCTGTACTTGGTAAGAATTTGGCTGCTAAGTTGTGCCATAATTTGTCTTTTGAGCCTTTTTTCCTTTGGGTAAGTTGAGCTCTACATTTTGTCTTGCCATTCATGACAGTAAAAATGTGGTTGTCTGGGGGCTGAACCTCCTTCTGAACAATGATCCAAGATAAAAGTACTAATACCACAATGCTTTTTTATATTCAAGGGAAGAGGAAGTATGTTTCAGTTTTACCACCTAGATAATTACACGTCATTTGGCACTGCCTTTCAAGATATGTAGAAAACAGAAAATATATGAGTTATGAAGATATCTAGGCACATTTAACATTCTCTATGCCACTTAGTCCTGAACAGAGAATTTTTGGTATAAATTGGAGGAAGCTTTTTTTTTTTTTTTTCCTTTTCTCACCCCCGAGACGAGTCTCCCTCTGTTGCCCAGGCTGGAGTATAATGGTGTGATCTCGGCTCACTGCAACCTCCACCTCCTGGCTTCAAGCGATTCCCCTGCCTCAGCCTCTCAAGTAGCTGGGATTACAGGTGCCCACCACCATGCCCAGCAAATTTTTGTATTTTTAGTAGAGTCGGGGTTTTACCATGTTGGCCAGGCTAGTCTCAAAACCCGACCTCAAATGATCCACCCGCCTCAGCCTCCCAAAGTGCTGGGATTACAAGCGTGAGCCACCACGTGAGCCAGGGGAAGTTTTTAAACTTACCACTTTTTAACAGTTCCATTTAGGAAAGTTCAGTTGAGCTGCTGGACTTGGACAACTTCGCACCTCTCATCTTTGTCCTTGTCATCTAGTCATCTATACCATTACCTCCTAAGCAGGGACATCATGGGTGCCATGAAGCATTCATGCGTGATGGCATTTCTTTGCTTGTCATTTCTTCATGTGTTTGACATTTCTCCTAGCTCCAAACTGGGCCAGCTACCTTTCCTGTGAAATCTAGTAGTAGCTGTGGGATTGACGTGGTTGCTCTTTTCATCTTTTTAGATTACCCATTGCTTCTCTCGAAATCCTAGTACATGATTTTTTTTTTTATCCTATGTGCAGAAATCAGGAAAAAACAAATTCTACAAAGAATTTGAAAGATATTATTTCAGGCCAGGTGTGGTGGCTCATGCCTGTAATCCCAGCACTTTGGGAGGCTGAGGCAGGTGGATGACTTGAGGTCAGGAGTTCAAGACCAGATGGGCCAACATGGTGAAACCCCATCTCTACTAAAAAGACAAAAATTAGCCAGGCATGGTAGCAGGCACCTGTAATCCCAGCTACTTGGGAGGCCGAGGCACAAGAATCGCTTGAATCTGGGAGGTGGAGGTTGCCGTGAGCCAAGGTAGTGCCACTGCACTTCAGCATGGTTGAGAGTGACACTCCATCTCAAGAAAAAAGTCATTTCAATGACTACCTCAGGAGATTCATAGGTATCTGACCCACATCTGAGATGGGATTTGCATTGCATTTTCGCTATGATGAGAACAAATATTTAATATCTTAGAAGATTAAAAGCATACTGTGATAATATGGAAATCTTGGTGGGAATTCAGTCATTAGTGAGAATGTTTTGCGTTAAGTTCAAACCAGCCTCAATGAAGCTGATGTGAGGGAAGGGAAAGTGAACTCTGAGTAGAGCAGGGACAGAAGGAAGATGCTCCAGTGCAGATCAGGAAGGAGCAGGGGGTGAAATGTTACAAATTCTAGAACTCAGAGAGCTGAAGGTAATTACTTCCTTTTCAAGTTGTGAAACATGTTAACCTGTGGTAAAATACTTATAAGATGATAATTACCATCTAACCGTGTTGAAGTGTACAGTTCAGTTGTGTGAAGTATATTCATGTCATTTTTTTTTTTTTTTTTTTTTGAGACGGAGTCTCACTCTGTCACCAGGCTGGAGTGCAGTGGTGGGATCTTGGCTCACTGCAACCTCTGCCTCCTGGGTTCAAGCAGTTCTCCTGCCTCAGCCTCCCGAGTAGCTGGGACTACAGGCGTGCATCACCATGCTCAGCTAATTTTTGTATTTTTAGTAGAGACGGGGTTTCACCATGTTGCCCAGGATGGTCTCCATCTCTTGACCTTGTGATTCACCCGCCTCAGCCTCCCAAAGTGCTGGGATTATAGGCGTGAGCTACCGCACCTGGGCTATTTTTTTTTTTTTTTTTTTTTTTTGAGACAGAGTTTCAATTTTGTTGCCCAGGTTTGGAGTGCAATGGCACAATCTCAGCTCACCACAACCTTTTCCTGCTGGGTTCAAGTGATTCTCCTGCCTCAGCCTCCTGACTAGCTGGGACTACAGGCATGCACCACCATGCCTGGCTAATTTTGTATTTTTAGCAGAGACAGCGTTTCTCCATGTTGGTGAGGCTGGTCTCAAACTCCCGACCTCAGGTGATCCGCCTGCCTCGGCCTCCCAAAGTGCTGGGATTACAGGAGTGAGCCACCGTGCCAGCCTCATGTCATTCTTGTGTGTGTGTGTGTGTGTGTGTGTGTGTGTGTGTGTGTGTGTGTGTGTGTGTGACAGAGTCTCATTCTGTCGCTCAGGCTGGAGTACAGTGGTGTGATCTCGGCTCACTGCAACCTCCGCCTCCCAGCTTCAAATGGTTCTCTGCCTCAGCCTCCCGAGTAGCTTGGATTACAGGCGCCCGCTGCCATGCCTGGTTAATTTTTGTATTTTTAGTAGAGACAGGGTTTCACCATCTTGGCCAGGCTGGTCTTGAACTCCTGACCCCGTGATCCACCTGCCTCGGCCTCCCAAAGTACTGGGATTATTTATACGCATGAGCCACCGTGCCCAGCCGTCATTCTTATATTATTATTTCCTAGGTGTCTTTCCTGAAGACTATCTTCTGGTCTCGAAATGGACATGATGGATCCATGGATGTACAGCAGAGAGCCTGGAGGTCCAACCGCAGTAGACAGAAAGGTATGGCTCTGTTGGAGTCCCCATAGTGTGGAAATGAGTTTGCCCTGGAAAGGGAAAGAACAGCTTCTTGACCTCAGGTTTCTCACCTTCTCCTCTCCTCACTCTCACCAAGGGCTGAGGTCCATTTGTATGCACACAAAGAAAAGAGTTTCTTCCTTTCGAGGAAATAAAATTGGCCTGAAAGACGTCATTACTCTACGGAGGCATGTGGAAACAAAAGTTAGAGCTAAAATCCGTAAGAGGAAGGTGACAACGAAAATCAACCGTCATGACAAAATCAATGGAAAGAGGAAGACCGCCAGAAAACAGTAAGATGTGCCTTGACACAAATACTGTTGTATGAACCATGTGCCAATCAAAGTAGACAACTGTAAATTCCTTGAGAATATTTTCTACAATATTTGTGGCAAATTCAGTGGGCTCAAAATTGAGTTTGTCCTTTCTGCTTCATTAGTTTAAGCTGTATAATTCCTTTCCCTTCCTACATTCTTGTTTGTAATTTTTTCGGGGGAAGAGGAGTTGCTAGTACTGGCATTGGTTTTCCTTTCTCTCTTTTTTTTTTTTTTTCCTGAGATGGAGCTTTGCTGTTGTTGCCCAGGCTGTAGTGCAATGGCACAATCTCAGCTCACTGCCTTTTGGCTTCAAGCAATTCTCCTGCCTCAGCCTCCCAAGTAGCTGGGATTACAGGTGCCCACCACCACGCCCAGCTAATTTTTGTATTTTTACTAGAGATGGGGTTTCACCATGTTGTCCAGGCTGGTCTCGAACTTCTGACCTCAGGTAATCCACCTGCCTCAGCCTCCCAAAGTGCTGGGATTAGAGGTGTGAGCCACCACACCCAGGCTTTTTTTTTTTTTTTTTAATTTTGAGATAGAATCTCGCTCTGTCGCCCAGGCTGGAGTGGTATGGTGCAATCTTGGCTCACTGCAACCTCTGCCTCCCAGTTTGAAGCAATTCTGCCTCAGCTTCCTGAGTAGCTTGGATTACAGGTGTGTGCCACCACATTCGGCCAATTTTTTTTTTTTTTTTTTTGAGACAGAGTCTCACTCTGTCACCCAGGCTAGAGTGCAGTGGCATGATCTTGGCTCACTGCAACCTCTGCTTCCCAGGTTCAAGTGATTCTTATCCCTCAGCCTCTTGAGTAGCTGGGACTACAGGCATATGCCACCATGCCCGGATAATTTTTGTATTCTTAGTAGAGGCATAGACTTAGTAGAGTAGTTCTAGACCATATTGGCCAAGCTGGTCTAGAACTCTGGACATCATGATCCACACACCTCGGCCTCCCAATGTGCTGGGATTACAGGCGTGAGCCACCGTGCCCGGCCCAATTTTTGTATTTTTAGTAGAGACAGGGGTTCACCATGTTGGCCAGGCTAGTCTTGAACTCCTGACCTCAGGTGATCTGCCTACCTCAGCCTCCCAGTGTGAGCCACCGCACCCAGCCTGGATTGTTGAATTCAATGCTTGGGTCACCTCCAGATTCATTTTCACAGTCTTTCATGTTTTGGTCATATTACATTGTATTTTGCTGCCATATGACTGATCTCTTTTTGTTAAATGTGAGATACTCGTTAAAAAATATTTAGCAATGAATTGAGGCCTAGTGGCATGTTATCTTGCTGCAGAAGAGATGGGAGTCTACTTCTGGGGGATGGTCACGGGTCCTCCATACAGGCTGCAATTGAGGTCGTCGGTGCAGGCTCAGTCCCTACAAAGGCCAGGGTATTTCCTGTCCACCTCTATTCTGATGCATGACTCTTCTGGGTCTCAACCAGAGCCAGTGGACTTCAGTACGGGTCGCTTTCATTGGCAGACCCTCAATCCACTTGTTTTCCATCTAATCCCACGCATGTGTGCAAAAGCTGCTGTGCTTCTTTGCATCTCAGTAGTTCCTTCTGGAATTCAGCAATGAAACTCAGGGAAATGGGTTCCAAATGCGAGGCTGACTTTCGTCCTGGGTTTCCTTCTTCTCCATCTTCACCTCATGTCTGTTTACTGCCATGTTAGCAATTTGATGTATTCAATCATGGGTTTTATATTCTGTTTGGTGTCCCCCATTGTTCTCATCGGAGATCAGAAGCTTCAGATGCACTTATGTCAACTCAAGAGTAGAATGCTTCCTTAGCTTCCCTCCAGAGTCAGGTTTTGTGTTTCTAGTTCCCAAGTGGACAGCAGGAGTAGTGATGTCCTCACTGGCTTCTCATTTGCATTAAGCTGTGAGCTTCTTTACCGTGGGGACAGGACCCTGCTCCCATTGCATTCTCAGCACCACACCACACACTCCTTGTTGGAGGCCACTCCAGACAGCATGTGCTGAAGGATGCCCTGTGGTCAGAAACAAGTTCATTAACTTTCTCTTTGAAGTGTTTTCGCCCCTGTTTCCTAGCGTTCTGGGAATTTTACACATCCTTCCTATAAAACCAAGTATCAGGTGAGATCCTTAGGATCAGGACCATGAATCAAGTGGTGTGAGGGCAACACAGCAAACTTACCCTTTTTAGGCCATTTCCTTTTTCTGCCCTCAATGTCCGTGAAGTGAACCTTGTTAAAGTCAGTCAACACCAGGGTGGATGGTTTGCCGTTGTCACCTATTTTCAGGACATAACACCCTGACTTAGGAGCCATTCCGATCATTTCTAATTCAATAGATGCGCCCAGCATTCAGATTGCCTTTTCTCTCAACCAGGATCTTTAAAGTCGATGACAAGAGTTCCAGTCCTGAATCATGGCAAAGTGCAGTAGTGAACTGCGGGGTTAATGACACCATATTCTGGAAGGATCTCTCTATGGCTGATGGTCTCAGTTCCGGCATCAGCCTCTGACTGAGAAGCAGGTCTCACACAGGAAGAGTCAGATGAGGAGCAATCCTCTGCTTCCGATGGAGTTAGTTGTGATGAGTTGGTGAGGTCTGGTTTTTCACACTGAACTAAAATGATCTTTCGCTGTGTCAAGCACAAGACTGACCCCAGAGACACACATAGTGCACCTCATAGAAGCTTTTAATAGTCTTTATATTTACTAAAGAATAGGACTAACTATGGAACTATGAAGATGAGCTGGAAATGACAGGTGACTTGCCAGCAGGCCAGAGTGTGATTTTTTTTGGTCCCTCAATGGGAGGTGTCCATTCTCCCTTCGGTTGTGAGAATCAGTTGGTTCATTTGTGGGAAGGTTGCAGGGGGGATCTTTGAATCACAGCCTTCAGATGCCAGAAGGGCAGAGGGAATCCCACATGGACTGGTGGATCATGTGTGTGCATTTCTCTCCCTTCTAACCTGAGGAAACTAAGCATGAAAGAATGTGAGCACGCAGAAAAGGAGAGGCAGGTATCAGAGGCAGAGGAAAATGGGAAATTGGATATGAAAGAAATACACACCTACAAGTGAGTTCAGAAACTGAACCCCACCCTCCTGGGAAACGCCCATTGGAGTGCTGTTTTTAACCTCTGTACAATGTTTAGACCCGGTAAATGCAGAAATAGAAACAAACGGTCAGAAGACATATCGTGAGAGAGAGCGAGAGAGAGTTCACAAAACAGAAAACAAAGTACCTTAATATTTACCAGTGACCAAAAGATGTGAAGTAGCAAAACGGCTCCTGACCCCATTGCCAGCTAGACTGTGTGGAAACTCGGTTCATACCAGCCATTCTAGGGGTGGGGTGAGTTGTTGTCATCCTTAGGAAAGTGTGTTGTTGTAGGATCAACCACATCCTTCAAAAGGACTATGCCTGTTTATAAGCCCAGCTGTTTCTGCCCTGTGAAACACGGTAAGGATATTAATACAAAGAGAATACAGCTTTATGATAAAAGATGCTCAATGAAGGATGAATTAGGGATATACTGAGAATGGGGAAGGAAACTATCATCTCAGAAGTCAACAGGCAGTAAGCAAGAGGAGGAATCAATACAGCAACAGTTTGGATCAGACCGTACAGTTTTTTTGTTTTTGTTTTTGTTTTTGTTTTTCTGAGATGGAGTCTCGCTGTGTCACCCAGGCTGGAGTGCAATGACGTGATCTTGGCTCACTGCAACCTCCGCCTCCCAGGTTCAAGTGATTCCCCTGCCTCAGCCTCCCGAGTAGCTGGGATTACAGGTGCCTGCCACCACGCCCGGCTAATCTTTTGTATTTTTAGTAGAGACGGGGTTTCACCGTATTAGCCAGGATGGTCTCAATCTCCTGACCTCGTGATCCATCCGCCTCGCCCTCCCAGAGTGCTGGGACTACAGGCATCAGCCACCGTGACCGGCTCAGACTGTACTCTTATAGCCATCTGAAATACGTTTTCTAGGTAGAGATAGATTGTGTAAGGGTACAGTTGTGAGGATAACAGAAACATGGCAGATTATTTAAAATCATCCTGAACGTGGTGCTTTATCTGATGAAAGTGATTGTAATCCATAGGAAAATGTTTCAACGTGCGCAAGAGTTGCGGCGGCGGGCAGAGGACTACCACAAATGCAAAGTAAGGAGCTTCCTCCCCGCAGTTGCAGGATAGTTCAGTGCTGATGCAGATGATGCCACGGCTCTTAGACTCTCTCAACATTCAATTTCTCATGTGTTGGCTTTTTCAGATCCCCCCTTCTGCAAGAAAGCCTCTTTGCAACTGGGTAAGTTTGTTTGTTTTCCTTGCTTTTGAACATAGTCTGCCAGGTCAGGACATGGATACATTTTTCTCCCTACAGCTCTGTGCTCAAGCCCTGCAGAGGGAGATGGCAGAGAGGAAGGCTGCCTACAGGCATCACAGTCCCATCCCTGTTGGTAACCGTGTTGTGCAAAAACACCTTCATCCCCACCCAGTGGGGCCCCTGATCTAAATTCAAAGTGTCAGAGGTTCCATATTTGTAATAGCAAATGGGCCCTGACTGTAAATTAGTGAAGAGTGAATGTAACTTATTACCCACAGGGACAATTCCAAATGAAGGCCTTAAATGATGCTCAGCTAAGCTGGTTCTTGTGTGGCCTCTGTACCTTCAAAAGCTGCCGAGTCCTATGATTACACGTGATGGGACTTGTACACTTGAAGTGAAACACAGTTTTAAAACTTGCTTTGTTTAGAATTTCCACCTCATTTTTCCATGGACAAAAGTATTCTTTATGTCCTAGTGCACTTACAATTTGGTATTACCTGGGAGTGAAAAGAAATATTACAGCCATGCCTAAGTGACTTCTTGAGGTGAGATTGTTCTGTCAGAAAACCCTCTCCCAGTTCCCCTGCAGCTCTTCAGGAATCCACATCTCTCCAGAGCTCTTTGTTCTCATGGGTGGCACCTCCAGAGTGAAGAAGATCCTTTGTCAAGAAGGGAAACAGAGGGGAAATGAGAGGGTCCTTCAGGCAGAGCTGGAATCAACTTCCACTCTGCCTCTTGCAAGCTGTGTGACCCTGGGCACAATTTCTCCTTCCTCTGGAAACCTCTGTTTTCTTAGATTTGGAGCAGGGTGGTCACACTGACCTTGCAGAGTTCTGAGAGTCAGAGACAGAACATAAAAGGCCTGGAAAACATTCTCCAAAAAGAAGCTGCAACATGTGTGGACAATGGGCTTTTCATGCCTCTCTTACTGTCTCTTACTGTCTGTTGACCTGGTGCAAGAAACATGCTCTGGTGATGGCTGTGAGGGAGGAATGAGGATAGACATAGACACTCCTGTGTCTCAAACATGCTTCTTTATTACTCTGTTATGACTCTGTCTTCCCTGGGGCAGGACCCCAGCCTGCCTACATTTGCAGACAGACACAGTGGCATGTGGAGACAACAGTGTGTCCCAATGACTTTCCTTTACCCTCCAGCTGTCGGCAGTACTCAGTGGAAGGGTGATATTATGACACTGATACTGCTATTTTGAAACCTGGAGGATGGAAAGGTGCAAAAATCTATCACCAGCAACAGAAGGTGCAGACTGTGTTGGTGGTGGTAATTTTGTCCATCAAATGAATATGTGTGAAAACATTCCCTCCTTTGGCCCTACAGGTCAGAATGGCGGCAGCGGAGCATCGTCATTCTTCAGGATTGCCCTACTGGCTCTACCTCACAGCTGAAACTTTAAAAAACAGGATGGGCCGCCAGCCACCTCCTCCAACTCAACAACATTCTATAACTGATAACTCCCTGAGCCTCAAGACACCTCCTGAGTGTCTGCTCACTCCCCTTCCACCCTCAGTGGATGATAATATCAAGGAGTGTCCTCTTGCTCCTCTTCCACCCTCTCCTCTTCCACCCTCAGTGGATGATAATCTGAAGGAATGTCTCTTTGTCCCGCTTCCACCCTCTCCTCTTCCACCCTCAGTGGATGATAATCTGAAGGAATGTCTCTTTGTCCCGCTTCCACCCTCTCCTCTTCCACCCTCAGTGGATGATAATCTCAAGACTCCTCCCTTAGCTACTCAGGAGGCCGAGGTGGAAAAACCACCCAAACCCAAGAGGTGGAGGGTGGATGAGGTGGAACAATCGCCCAAGCCCAAGAGGCAGAGGGAGGCCGAGGCACAACAATTACCCAAACCCAAGAGGCGGAGGTTGAGTAAGCTGAGAACACGCCATTGCACTCAAGCCTGGGCAATAAGAATAAATCCGTAGGTCGAAAAAAAGAAAAAAATCAAAAAACAAAACAAAACCCACGCTCCAAAAACAAACTAACGAAGAATAAATAAATAATATAAAAATAAAATAAATACTGCAGTCCTTATGTTATTGCTTTGTTTCAATATCTGGTATGATTGCCTGAGGGACCTGAGGTTTTTAATTAATTGTAGGGTTTTTTTTTTAATCTTTAGAAGTGGTTGGTTATGTAAAATATTATTATTATTATTATTATTTTTTGAGACTGGGTTTTGCTCTGTCACCCAGGCTGGAGTGCAGTGGCTCGATCACAGCTCACTGCAGCCTCAACCTCCTGGGCTTCAAGCAATCCTCCTGCCTCAGCCTCCCAAGTAGCTGGGATCACAGATGTATGTGTGCCACCACGCCTGGCCAATGTTAAAAAATCCTTTAACTTTTTTGTAGAGATGCACTCCTGGACTCAAGCGATCCTCCTACTGGTCCCGACCACCAGCCTCTTTCTGATAAACATTTACACTGTTTATTATCTGATGCCATTTCTATCTTCTTCCTTGTCGTCCAGACATCAAAGAATTAGGTTTCTTCAGGGTTTTCTTTTTCAAGTCCTCATTGTTAAAGATCACTCACATTAGGGCCAGACACCACGACTCATGCCTGTAATCCCAGCACTTTGGGAGGCCGAGGCGGGCAGAGCACTTGAGGTGGGGAGTTTGAGACCAGCCCGGCCAACTTGGTGAAACCCCACCTCTACTGAAAAACATACAAAAATTAGCTGGGCGTGATGGTGCATGCCTGTAGTCCCAGCCACTTGGGAGGCTGAGGCATGAGAATCGCTTGAACCCAGGAGGCAGAGGTTGTAGTGAGCCAAGATCACATCAGCACACTCTAGCCTGGGTGACAGAGCGAGACTCTGACTCAAAAAATAAATAAAATAAATATCACTTACATTAGATATACCCAAGGGGTGTTCTATAGAGAGTTGGAAGCAGTGGTTATTGCAACAGGGGCACGGAAGTCATCTGGCTATGCCAGGGTGCCCAGGGGATACTCGGGGTGGGTGGCATGGTGCTGCTGGGGACTCATCGCACAGGACGCTCTGATTGACGCACTGCCAGGAGTAGCGCTCTGTCTTGGGGCTGCAGCCGGCCTCCTCAGCTCGAGTGTAACAACAGTCGTGGCCATGGCAGCACCTGCGGATGTCACATGGGCAGGACAGCAGGTGGGTGAAGCTCTCTCCTGGCCCTCCTCTCTTGCCAGGACCATGGGTGACTGAAGACCCCCAGGGAGGCACAGCATCCTCTTATCTAAGTTTTTTTTGTTTTTTTTTGTTTTTTTTTTTTTTAAGAGACAGGGTCTTTCTCTGTCGCCCAGGCTGGACTGCAGAGGCACAATCATAGCTCACGGCAGCCTTGAACTCCTGGGCTCAAGCGATCCTCCTACTTCAGTGTCCCAAGTAGCTGAGACTACAGGCACACGCCAGCATGCCCGGCTGGTTTTTTAATTTGTATTTCCTTTGAGACAGCGTATCTCTCTGTTGCTCAGGCTGGGGTGCAATGGCTCCATCAGCTCACTTTAGCCTTGAACTCCCGGGCTCAAGTGATACTGCCACCTCAACTTCCCAAGTATGCTACTACAGGAACACAAACTCCTTTTTTAAATTTTTTGTGGATATGGGGTCTATGTTGCCTAGGCTGGTCTTGAACTCCCAGGCTCAAGCAGTCCTCCTACCTCAGCCTCTCCAAATGCTGGGATTACAGGTGGGAGCTACTGTATGCCTGGCCTTATCTAAGCTGTTTCCCTGAAAATCCCCGACTTCGATAATGATTCCATTGGCCCCACCATGCCCTGTCCTGCCTTCCTGGCTGTGCCCAAGCTTGGTCCCTGCCTGCCTGCCTCACTCTCTGGGTCTCGAGCTCCTGTGACACATGACTCCTCTCTCTTCCTGGAGTGATCCAAGCCCTGCCACTTCCTGACTTTGCCCACACTGTACCCTCTGCCTGGGGCAACTTCATGTCTGCCCATTGTCCCTTAGGCCTCAGCCCAGGCACAAGCCCCTGCCTCCGGAGGTCATCCAGGCCTCACCAGGCTACAACCTCTCGTAAAATTGGATTCCCTCCCTTCAGGGCAGGTTTATAATGAAATCCTCCTCAGAGGCCAGGTGCGGTGACACGCATCTGTAATCCCAGCACTTTGGGAGGCTGAGGTGGGAGGATCACTTGAGGCCAGGGGGTCGAGACCAGCCTGGGCAACATAAGAGAGACTCTTGTCTCTATAACAAATTTAAAAATTAGCTCACCAGGCCAGGCTCAGTGGCTCATGCCTGTAATCCCAACACTTTGAGAGGCCGAGGCAGGTGGATCACGAGGTCAGGAGTTCGAGGGCAGCCTGACCAACATGGCGAAACCCTGTCTCTACTAAAAATACAAAATTAGCCAGGCATGGTGGCACGCACCTGTAATCCCAGTTACTCGGGAGGCTGAGGTAGGAGAATTGCTTGAACCCAGGAGGTGGAGGTTGCGGTGAGCCAAGATCATGCCACTGCAGTCCAGCCTGAGCAACAGAGCAAGACTCTGTCTCAAGACAATAAAAACACACAAAAAATTAACTCGCCATGATGGCACATGCCTATAGTCCTAGCTACTTGGGAGGCTGACATGAGAGGATTCCCTTCAGCCCAGGAGTTTGAGGCTGCAGTGAGCCACTATGATTGTGCCACTGCACTCTAACCTGGGCAAAAGCGAGACCCCAGGCTAGAGTGCATGATTTGGGGTCACTGCAACCTCCACCTCCCAGGTTGAAGTGGTTCTCCTGCCTCAGCCTCTTGAGTAGCTGGGACTACAGGCATGTGCCACCACGCCTGGGTAATTTTTGTATTTTTAGTAGAGACAGGGTTTAGTAGAGACCATGGTGAAACCCCGTCTCTATAAAACAAATCTCTACTAACCCCATCTCTACAAAAAACAGCTGGGCGTGGTAGTGCACACCTGTAATTCCAGCTACTTGGGAGGCTGAGGCACGAGAATCATTTGCATCTTGGAGGCAGAGTTTGCAGTGAGCTGAGATCGCACCACTGCACTCCAGCCGGGATGACAGAGCAAGACCCTGTCTCAAAAAAAAGAAAAAGGAACAAACAACAGCAACAACAAAAAAACCTCTGTGTCAATCACAGCCTTCAAGCTAGGGGAGAGGCGGCCGAATTCTGCCCTCTGCTAACTAACTATAGCTTTGTGGAAATGGGTGAGTGGCATGCCCCTGTGAGCCTCAGGGCCCCATCTGTAAAATGGGCATAACTGTCATGCCCGTCTTTAAGAACAGCCTTGGGGGTAAATGAGTGGAACTCATGGAAAGATCTCAGCCCACAACCTTCCACAGAACAGGCGCTTCTCACACAGTAAGTAGCAGGAGTGCAGAGGCTGCAGGCATGAATCCAGCCAGACTGCCTGGGTTCAAGTCCCAGCTCCCACTTCTTGGTAACTAAGTGGCCTCAGACAAGTTACTTAATATTTCTTTTTTTTTTTTTTTTTTTCAGAAGGAGTTTTGCTCTGTCACCCAGGTTGGAGTGCAGTGGTGTGATCTCGGTTCATTGCAACCTCTGCCTCCCGGGTTCAAGCAATTCTCCTGCCTCAGCTTCCTGAGTAGCTGGAATTACAGGCACCTGCCACCACACACAGCTAATTTTTGTATTTTTAGTAGAGACGGGGTTTCACCATGTTGGCCAGGATGGTCTCGAACTCCTGACCTCATGATCTGCCTGCCTCAGCCTCCCAAAGTACTGGGATTACAGGCGTGAGCCACCGCACCTGGACACGTTACTGAATATTTCTGTGCCTAGGTTTCTTCATCTGTGAAATGGGATTGTTGTGAGAACACAAAGGGATTCCCAGGGCAGTTCCTAGTGCATAGTCTGGCTGCCTTTGTGTGTGTGTGTGTGTGTGTGTGTGTGTGTGTGTGTGTGTGTGTGTGTGTGTGTGTGTGTTTGTGTTTAATATAGAGACAGGGTCTCACTCTGTTGCCTAGGTTCGTTTCAAACTCCTGGGCTCCAGTGATCCTCCTGCCTCGACCCAAAGTGGTGGGATTACAGGCATGAGTCAACACACCTGGCCACTTTATATTATTATTATTTTTTTCTTTTGAGACAGGGTTTGGCACTGTTGTCCAGGTTGGAATACAGCGGTGCAATCTCAACTCACTGCAAACTCCACCTCCCGGGTTCAAGCAATTCTCCTGCCTCAGTCTCCCGAGTAGCTGAGATTACAGACGCCTGCCACCACACACAGCTAATTTTTGCATTTTTAGTAGAGATGGGGTTTCACCATATTGGCCAGGCTGGTCTTGAACTCCTGACCTCAAGTGATCTGCCCGCCTCGGCCTCCCAAAGTGCTGGGATTACAGGAGTTAGCCACCGCTCCTGGCCAATTTTTTAAGGCAACGTTTTCAGCCCATGGCCAGGGTAAGGGGCAGCTGGTACCAAGATCTGGCTTCACTGGCCATGTTATCCAAGAGGCCTCTGCCTGCCTGCAAAGTAGTACTGCACACTGGGATCTCCCTGGACCAAATCCCAGCTTCAGTTTTGGGTACTTCCTCATAAGCCTTGACTACCCCAGAGTGTGAGGGATTTTGTAGCCTGGTCCCAGGCATGCACTCACCAGTCAATGGCATCGCAGGGCTGGCCATGGCCTCCCAAGCCACAAAAGGAACCATATTTCGTATAGGTGATGGGAGTCTAGGGACCAACACAACCCACAATTCCTGCCAGTTCCAGGATCCCACGCCGGTGCACACATAATATCCTGGAGGCTGGGGGGTAAACAAAGGTGACAGGCTGCAGGTCAGGGCTTCCCAGACCCCTGGGAAGGGCATGAGCCTGAGAAGAGCCTAGGTGTTACAGCCTGGCTGTCTGGGTTTGAATCCTACTTCCTAGCTGTGTGACCTTGGATGAATTCCTAACCTCTCTGGGCCTTGGTTTCCTCATCTGTGAAATGGGGGATAAGCTGATTTCAACTCATATGAATGAAATGAGATAATGAGTATAAAGCCCCTGGTGCATGAAAAGGCTATTATAATCCGGCTGGGCTCAGTGGCTCACACCTGTAATCCCAAGACTTTGGGAGGCCCAGGTGGGCAGATCACCTGAGGTCAGCAGTTCAAGATCAGCCTGGCCAACATGGTGAAACCCCATCTGTAGTAAAAATACAAAAATTAGCTGAGCCTAGTGGTGCACACCGGTAATCCCAGCTACTAGGGAGGCTGAGGAAGGAGAGTCACTTGAACCTGAGAGGTGAAGATTGCAGTGAGCCAAGATTTTGCCACTGCATTCCAACCTGGACGACAGAGCAAGAGTCTCAAAAAAAGAAAAAGAAAAAAAGGATAACTATTATAATCAAGGTCCTCAAGGTAGCCAAGAAGGGAAAAAAGAGTCGTGCATGAAACGTTTGTCCAGTTCCCTGTGTTGGGCACTGGGCATCACGGATGTGCCTACAGGTGTCTGTCACCAAGATGGGCTCCTCTGTGGCAGCTCCCGGGCCCTGGCACTGCCCTGTGCTCATGACTTCCCCTCCAGACTCAGGGCCCTTGGTATCTCCTCTTATTTTCACTGCCAGACAGGAAGGCCCCTTGGCCTGAGTCCAGCCATTTTTCTAGATCCTGGCACAGCTTGGACATGTAATGGTGCCCAACGCATGTGACTGGAACCCCTGCATTGGACATGAAGGAAACGAGGCCAGCTGGGAAAGGTAACCCCACATTCCCACAGCCAGCAGGAACCCAAGCAGAGGCTTCAACCCAGGCTTCTGACTTGCAAAGCAGTGCTCCTTCCTCCTTACACAGTAACAACAGGGGAAGGTGGCCTTCCGGGTTGCCAGAGCCGAGTGGTACCAGCAATAGAGTGGAAACTCACACACAGGCTTGCCTGCTTCCTGGGTTAGGGTTAGGGTTTATATGGCTCCGGGAGGTTGATGCATTGTGTTTGATCTTCCCCCTTTTTTTTTTTTTTGAGACAGAGTCTCATTCCTGTTGCCCAGGCTGGAGCACAGTGGTGTAATCTTGCTCACAGCAACTTCTGCCTCCCAGGTTCAAGCAATTGTCCCGCCTCAGCCTCCCGAGTAGCTGGGATCACAGGTGTGCGCCACCACACCCAGCTGATTTTTGTATTTTTAGTAGAAACGGGGTTTCACCATCTAGGCCAGGCTGGTCTTGAACTCCTGACCTCATATGATCCACCTGGTTTGGCCTCCCAAAGTGCTGGGATTATAGGCGTGAGCCACTGCGCTCATCCTGATCATCTCGTCTCTCTTTTTTTTTTTAGAGACAGGGTCTCACTCTGTCACCCACACTGGAGTGCAGTGGCACAATCATAGCTCACTGCAGCCTCCAAATCCTGGGCTCAAGCGATCCTCCTGCCTCAGCCTCCAGACATATGGGCATGCACCACCATGCCCAGCTAATTTTTAAATTTTTAGTAGATCTGGGGTCTCACTATGTTGCCCAGGCTGTTCACAAACTCCTGGCCTCAAGTGATTCTCCTGCCTTGGCCTCCGAAGGCGCTGGGATTTCAGGCATGAGCCACCATGCCCAGTCTCATTTCTGTTTTATCTAGAACATGTTTTCATCACACTGACTTTTTTGAGAAGTCCAGGCCAGATTTAAATTCCATTTTGTCTTTTTATCGGTGGAAAAGTAGCATATTTATGTTGCAGGACAAAGATGAATCAAATAGGAAGAAAATGTAAAACACATTTGGGGCCAGGCACAGTGGCTCATGCCTGTAATCCCAGCACTTTGGGAGGCCAAGGTGGGCAGATCACCTGAAGTCAGGAGTTCCAGACCAGCCTGACCAACATGGAGAAACCATGTTTTTTTTTTTTTTTTTTTTTTTTTTTTATTGATCATTCTTGGGTGTTTCTCGCAGAGGTGGATTTGGCAGGGTCATAGGACAATAGCGGAGGGAAGGTCAGCAGATAAACAAGTGAACAAAGGTCTCTGGTTTTCCTAGGCAGAGGACCCTGCGGCCTTCCGCAGTGTTTGTGTCCCTGGGTACTTGAGATTAGGGAGTGGTGATGACTCTTAACGAGCATGCTGCCTTCAAGCATCTGTTTAACAAAGCACATCTTGCACCACCCTTAATCCGTTTAACCCTGAGTGGACACAGCACATGTTTCAGAGAGCACAGGGTTGGGGTAAGGTCACAGATCAACAGGATCCCAAGGCAGAAGAATTTTTCTTACTACAGAACAAAATGAAAAGTCTCCCATGTCTACTTCCTTCTACACAGACACGGCAACCATCCGATTTCTCAATCTTTTCCCCACCTTTCCCCCCTTTCTATTCCACAAAACCGCCACTGTCATCATGGCCCGTTCTCAATGAGCTGTTGGGCACACCTCCCAGCCGGGGTGGCGGCCGGGCAGAGGGGCTCCTCACTTCCCAGTAGGGGTGGCCGGGCAGAGTCACCCCTCACCTCCCGGACAGGGCGGCTGGCCGGGTTGGGGGCTGACCCCCCCACCTCCCTCCCGGGTGGGGCGGCTGGTTGGGCGGGGGACTGATCCCCCCACCTCCCTCCCGGGTGGGGCGGCTGGCCGGGCGGGGGGGCTGACTCCCCCACCTCCCTCCCGGACGGGGCGGCTGGCCGGGCGGGGGGGCTGACCCCCACCTCCCTCCCGGACGGGGTGGCTGCCGGGCGGAGACACTCTTCACTTCCCAGACGGGGTGGCTGCCGGGCGGAGGGGCTCCTCACTTCTCAGACGAGGCGGCTGCCGGGCGGAGGGGCTCCTCACTTCTCAGACGGGGCGGTCGCCAGGCAGAGGGTCTCCTCACTTCTCAGACGCTCCTCACCTCCCAGACGGGGTCGCGGCCGGGCAGAGGCACTCCCCACATCTCAGACGATGGGCAGCCTGGCAGAGACACTCCTCACCTACCAGATGGGATGGCGGCCGGGAAGAGGCGCTCCTCACTTCCTAGATGGGATGGCGGCCGGGCAGAGAGGCTCCTCACTTTCCAGACTGGGCAGCCAGGCAGAGGGGCTCCTCACATCCCAGATGATGGGCGGCCAGGCAGAGACGCTCCTCACTTCCCAGACGGGGTGGCGGCCGGGCAGAGGCTGCAATCTCGGCACTTTGGGAGGCCAAGGCAGGCGGTTGAGAGGTGGAGGTTGTAGCGAGCCGAGATCATGCCACTGCACTCCAGCCTGGGCACCATTGAGCACTGAGTGAACGAGACTCCGTCTGCAATCCCAGCACCTCGGGAGGCCGAGGCTGGCGGATCACTAGCGGTCAGGAGCTGGAGACCAGCCCGGCCAACACGGCGAAACCCCGTCTCCACCAAAAAACACAGACGGCGCGTGCCTGCAATCCCAGGCACTTGGCAGGCTGAGGCAGGAGAATGAGGCAGGGAGGTTGCAGTGAGCCGAGATGGTGGCAGTACAGTCCAGCCTCGGCTCGGCATCAGAGGGAGACTGTGGAAAGTGAGAGAGGAAGGGGGAGGGGGAGGGAGAGGACAAAAAATTAAAATTTAGCCGGACATGGTTGTGTGTGCCAGTAGTCCAAGCTGCTGGGGAGACTGAGGCAGGAGGATCACTTGAGCCCAGGAACTTAAGGTCTATTTAAGTAAAGGGTACAGTGAGCTGTGATTATACCACTGCACTCCAGCCTGGGGAATAGAGCAAGACCCTGTCTCTAAAAAAAGGTAACAAAATAACATGAATGGATTCCATTTTAAGAGAATGAAGCATCATTGTGTAAGACTATGAAATTGGAAGCAAAGAGCATGAAGCCCAAAAAAAAAAAAAAAACCATCTGAAGTCAGGGTGCCTGGGGTCAGAGGTGGGGGGAGGATTGAAGAGGTGCAGATGTAAAAAACTGAAGCTACTGTGACCAGTGGATTCGGGAGTTGAAGGAGTCAAGAATGACACATTCTCCTGACTGGAGGATAAACAAATATGACTGTTTTCAAGAAATAGCTGGAATATTCTTTGTGTTCAGAAGTACAAGAACAGCACATATGGAGGGCGGACTGATACTGAAGTTGAAGAGAAGCCTTCTGATGTGCACTAACTAGATTCTAGACTCAGCTTCTGTCACAAGGAGCCCCAAACAGTGACTCAGCAAAATAGCTTATTTCTCATGTGACAGTTCAGAGGTGATTGGTCCAGGGTTAGGGTTAGACAACAACCGTTATGCAAAATCATCTAGGGACCCAGGGCTGCGCTGTCATGTTGCTCTTGCATCCCCAAGGTTGTCATCTGTGTGGTTAAAGCGGCTCACCAGCCCCAAGTCCTCGTTCAAGCCCATGTAAAAGGAAGCGGAAATACAGGGCCTGGAAATTACACTGATCCCATTGGCCAGAACTTAGTCTCACCTTCTTACCACCCTATATGCGAGACTAAAATGCCTCTAGCTGGATAGTTACATGTTCATTTAAACTTGGGTCATTTTGTTTCTAAATGAAGGGAAGGGGCACAAGTATTAGTCTGTCACAGAAGAGAAAGAACAGAGAGAAAGGTTTTGAAGGGAATGACTTATAAATAGTTACCCGAAGTCTGGTCGTGGCTGACATCAGAGCCAGCATGTTGACCACTTCCATACTGCGTGCTTTAGCTGCCTTATCTCACTTAATCTCAGAATAACCCTATTGTCATTCCCAACTTGTAGATGGGAAAACAGACCCAAAGAGAAGTGATTTACCTTCCACACAATGGGGAAGTAAGGGGGCTAGGTGCACGTCAAGGCAGCCTGTGCCTGGCTCTTATACCTGGTGCTGCTTACATTTCCAGAGGGGGCAGCCTAGAGGAGAGGCCTAGGGACTGGACTCAACGTGCGAGTGCTTGGTGGAAGGGAAGCCAGAGGATCGAGTGGCCAGAGGTTAAGAACCAGGGAGGAGCAGTGATGAAAAGGCTGGAGAGCTTATGCATTTCAGGGCTGGGCTGCCAAGTACCTCACTTGGCCAGTTCAGCATTCTTAGGCAGGAGGCACAGCCATTGTGTTGTCCAATGCCAGGGTATATACCTTTTTCAGTTTCCAATCTACCAATGGTGACCTTTGAACAGCATTGTCAAACCCTTTTCTGCCCAGGGCTAGATAGTATATATTTTAAGCTTTGTGGGCCACACGTGGATTGTCACTCCTTTTCTTAACTTTTTTTTTTTTTTTTTGAGACAGGGTCTCCGCTCTGTCGCCCAGGCTGTTAACTACCGTTAACATTTTAATGCCTCTCTTTCTGGTGTGTGTATATTTATTACTAGACTGGAATCATCCTATATCTATGTCATCTGTTGCTGTTTCCTGTCCCTTTACATAAAGTGAGCTGCTTTCTGAAATTTTATTTATTTTATAATTTATTTATTTTATAGACAGAGTCTTGCCCTGTCACCCAGGTTGGAGTTCAGTGGTGCAATCTCAGCTCACTGCAATCTCAGCCTCCCGAGTAGCTGGGACTACAGACACTCGCCACCACACCCGGCTAATTTTCATATTTTTAGTACAGATGGGTTTTCACCATGTTGGCCAGACTGGTCTTGAACTCCTGGCCTCAAGTGATCTGCCCGCCTCAGCGTCCCAAAGTGCTGGGATTACAGGCATGAGCCACCATGCCCGGCCTCCCCTCCCTTTAAATAACATGAACTGCTTTCCTAAATTTTAGCTAATCCCCTGGGTTGGAAGGTGGGAGGGCATAGGGGCCAAAAGGACAAGGCTCAAGTCAAGATGCCTGGGTTCACATTCCAGCCCTTCCCTTAGAAGCTGCCACCCTTGGGACAATCTCGCTTCTCTAAGCCTCAGCGGCTTCATCTGTGAAAGATCATCTCTCTTTGTTGGAGTTGCTGTGCATTCCGTGAAAGGGCCGTATATGCCAAGTGACCCTCATGCCAAAGGAGCCAAAAAAAAAAAGGAAGCAGACAAATCCAGTTTGTCAGTTTTGGGTGATTTATTAAGGAACTTACACACAAAAGCATGGTCTTGGGCTGCGCCATGACAGATCTCCACACCACAGCCCCAAGACCTACCGCTTATGTCTTGGAGCAAAAGCATAGTGCTCTGGAAGGAATGTATAGGTGGCTACAGTGCTCACAGCCTGTCATTTCTGCAACAACAGGGTGGTTTTGGAGGAAATTTACAATTAACAGACGTTCCTACATAAACAGTCATACATCCACCAGGCATGGTGGCACACAACTATAGTCCCAGCAACTCAGAAGACTGAGGTGGGAGGATCACCTGAGCCTGGAAGGTCGAGGCTTCAGTGAGCTGTCATCACACCACTGCATTCCAACCTGGGTGACAGACAGACTGTCTCAAGACACAAAAGCACGAGAAGAGAAGCAGTTTGAATAAAGTACTGTCTCTAATGAAAAGTACTTTAGGCTGGGCATGGTGGCTCATGCCTGTAATCCCAGCACTTTGGGAGGCTGAGGCAGGTGGATCACAAAATCAGGAGTTCGAGACCAGCCTGACCAACATGGTGGAACCCCATCTCTACTAAAAATACAAGAATTAGCCAGGCATAGTGGTGCATGACTGTAGTCCAAGCTACTTGGGAGGCTAAGACAGGAGAATTGCTTGAACCCAAGAGGTGGAGGTTGCAGTGAGCCACGATTGTGCCATTGCACTCCAGCCTGGGTGACAGAGTGAGACTCCATCTCAAAAGAAAAAAAGTACTTAAAAAAATTTTTTTTTAATTAAAAAAGCCAGACGTAGGCAGGTGGATCATGAGGTCAGGAGATCAAGACCATCCTGGCCAACATGGTGAAACCCCATCTCTACTAAAAATACAAAAATAAGCCAGGTGTGGTGGCACACACCTGTAATCCCAGCTACTCGGGAGGCTGAGACGGGAGAATCCTTTGAACTCAGGAGGCGGAGGTTGTAGTGAGCCGAGATTGCGCCACTGCACTCCAGCCTGAGCAACAGTGAGACTCCATCTCAAAAACAAAAACAAAAAAAGCAAGCCAGGCACGGCTCACACCAGTAATCCCAGCACTTTGGGAGGCCAAGTCGGGAGGATTGCCTGAGCCCAGGAGTTTGAGACCAGCATGGACAACATGGTGACACCCGTCTTTATAAAAATTTTTTAAAAAATAAAAGGTAATACATCAAGACTGTGTACAGTGGCTCATGCCTGTAATCTCAGCACTTTGGGAGGCCAAGGCGAGAATTGCTTGAGATCAGGAATTTGAGACCACCCTGGGCAACATAACAAGACCCCAACTCTACAAAAAAAAAATTTTAATGAGCAGGGGGCATTTGTTGAGCTGGCCTATTGTCCCAGCTACTTGGAGGCTGACAGTTCAAGTGCCAGGGTCCGAGCCAAAAGATGTGGGGTGTAACCTATGGTGAACGGGTTGTGGTCTGTATCACACCAGAGTTCATAGCCTAAGTAAAGGGGAGAGGAGGCAGCGACTGTGCTGCCGGGGTGGGAACCAAACTTCCCTTTCAGTCTCTTCCACTGACCTGACACTTCCCTTGTAGGGCCTCAGGATCCTCATCTTTCTAATGAAGAGGATCGTTTCCAAAGGATGGCAAACTTCAGTACCTTCTAATCAGTTATCTAAATTTTTTTTTTTGAGACGGAGTCTTGCTCTGTCACCCAGGCTGGAGTGCAGTGGCGTGATCTTGGCTCACTGCAGCCTCTGCCTCGGATTCAAGCGATTCTCCTGCCTCAGCCTCCTGAGTAGCTGGGATTACAGGCATCCACCACCATGCCTGGCTATCAGTTATCTAATTTTATTTTACTTAAAATTATTGAGGTGAAATAACATAAAGTAACCATTTTATTTATTTATTTCTATTTATTTATTTATTTGAGATGGGGTTTTGCTCTTGTTGCCCAGGCTGGAGTGCAGTGGCACAATCTCGGCTTACTGCAACCTCTGCCTCCTGGGATCAAGTGATTCTCCTGCCTCAGCCTCCTGGGTAGCTGGGATTATAGGCACACACCACCATGCCTGGCTAATTTTTGTATTTTATTAGTAGAGATGGGTTTCGCCATGTTGACCTGGCTGGTCTCGAACTCCTGACCTCAGGTGATCTGCCCACTTTGGCCTCCCAAAGTATTTATTTTATTTTGAGACAGGGTCTTGCTCTGTCATCCTGGCTGGAGTGCAATGATAGCTCACTGCAGCCTTGAACGAACTCGTGGGTTCTCAGCCTCCATCTCAGCCTCCAGATAACTGGGGCTATGGCTAATGTTTTTGTTTGTTTGTTTGTTTGTTTTGAGACAGAGTCTCACTCTGTTACCCAGGCTCAAATGCAATGGCGAGATCTTGGCTCACTGCAACCTCCACTTCCCAGGTTCCAGTGATTCCCCTGCCTCAGCCTCTCGAGTAGCTGGGATTACAGGCGCTCATTACCACAACTGGCTAATTTTTTTTTTTTTTTTAATACAGAGATGAGGTTTCACCATATTGGCCAAGCTGGTCTCAAACTTCTGATCTCGGGTGATCCACCTGCCTCAGTCTCCCAAAGTGCCATGCCCAGCTAATTTTTAAATTGAGACCAGGTCTCCCTGTGTTAACCATGCTGATCTTGAACTTCCAGGATCAAGTGATCCTTCTGCCTGGGCCTCCCAAAGTGCTGGAATTCCAGGCATAAGCCATCATGGCTGGCCTGATTTTTTAAAAGAAACAGAAATTGGGATTTTATTGTGAAATCTCCTGATCTTAGTATATTGGATTTCATTATTTTTACATCAGGCAGATAATGTGTCAATGTCAAAACAAGGTTTGAGGGAGGTGCAACTCACGCATGAGCATGAAAACACAGTCATCACGTTTATGAACTACAAAAAGATGTGGCTTTAATTATTTGAAAGACATCTTGGCCAGGCCCGGTGGCTCACTCCTGTAATCCCAGCACTTTGGGAGGCCGAGGCAGGTGGATCACCTGAGGTCAGGAGATCGAGACCATACTGGTCAACATGGTGAAACCCTGTCTCTACAGGCCGGGTGCGGTGGCTCAAGCCTGTAATCCCAGCACTTTGGGAGGCCGAGGTGGGTGGATCACAAGGTCAGGAGATCGAGACCATCCTGGCTAACATGGTGAAACCCCATCTCTACTAAAAATACAAAAAATTAGCCGGGTGTGGTGGCGGGCACCTGTAGTCCCAGCTACTCAGGAGGCTGAGGCAGGAGAATGGCATGAACCTGGGAGGTGGAGGTTGCAGTGAGCCGAGATCATGCCACTGAGCTCCAGCCTGGGTGAAAGAGCGAGACTCCGTCTCCAAAAAAAAAAAAAAAGAAAGAAAGAAAAAGAAACCCTGTCTCTACTAAAAATACAAAAATTACCTGGGCATGGTGGTGGGAGCCTGTGGTCCCAGTTACTCAGGAGGCTGAGGCAGAAGAATCGCTTGAACCCAGGAGGTGGAGATTGCAGTGAGCCGAGATCACGCCACTGCACTCCAGCCTGGTGACAGAGTGAGACTCTGGCTCAAAAAAAAAAAAACATTTTACTGGTCAATACTATATAAGACAAGCAGGCCGGGCGCGGTGGCTCAAGCCTGTAATCCCAGCACTTTGGGAGGCCGAGGTGGGCGGATCACAAGGTCAGGAGATCGAGACCATCCTGGCTAACATGGTGAAACCCCATCTCTACTAAAAATACAAAAAAAAATTAGCCGGGCATGGTGGCGGGCACCTGTAGTCCCAGCTACTTGGGAGGCTGAGGCAGGAGAATGGCGTGAACCCAGGAGGCGGAGCTTGCAGTGAGCCGAGATCACGCCACTGCACTCCAGCCTGGGCGACAGAGCAAGACTCCATCTCAAAAAATAATAATAATAATAATAAGACAACAAAACATTTGCTGGCCAGGTGATGAAAGGTGAATTCTGCTTTCATCACAGTTACTGTCAAGCATTCAACCACAATTTATTGAGACTTCCATGCAGAACTTTGTGGAAAGCAAAGCACTGGGGAGAGATTCCATGAACATCATTCATTTAAACACCCATTTGTTATTTTATTTTATTTATTTATTTTATTTTATTTTTTTGAGACGGAGTCTTGCTCTTGTCACCCAGGCTGGAGTGTAGTGGCGTGATCTCAGCTCACTGCAACCTCCGTCTCCTGGGTTCAAGTGATTCTGCCGCCTCCTCCTCCTGAGTAGCTGGGATTACAGGCGCCCACCCCAACACCTGGCTAATTTTGGTACTTTTAGTAGAGATGGGATTTCGCCATGCTGGCCAGGCTGGTCTTGAACTCCTGACCTCAGCTGATCCGCCCGCCTTGGCCTCCCAAAGTGCTGGGATTACAGGCGCGAGCCACCACGCCTGGCTATCTTATTATTTTTTTAATTGAGACAAAGTCTCACTTTGTCACCCAAGCTGGAGTGCAGTGGCACAATCTTGGCTCACTGCAACCTCTGCCTCCTGGGTTCAAGCAATTCTTCTGCCTCAGCCTCCCAAGTAGCTGGATTACAGGCATGCACCACCACGCCTGGCTAATTTTTGTATTTTTAGTAGAGATGAGGGTTCACCATGTTGGCCAGGCTGGTCTCGAACTTCTGACCTCAAGTGATTTTTCTGCCTCAGCCTCTGAAAGTACTGGGATTATAGGCATGAGCCACTGCACCTGGCCTATGTTTATTTATTTTTGAGACAGAGTATTGCTCTGTTGCCCACGCTGGAGTGCAGTGGCGTGATCTTGGCTCACTGCAACCTCCGTCTCCTGGGTTCAAGCAATTCTCCTGCCTCAGCCTCCTGAGTAGCTGGGATTACAGGCACCCGCCACCATGCCCAGCTAATTTTTGTATTTTTAGTAGAGACAGAGTTTCACTATGTTGGCCAGGCTGGTCTTGAACTCCTGACTTCAGGTGATCTGCCCACCTTGGCCTCCCAGAGTGCTGGGATTACAGGCATGAGCCACCACGCCCAGCCCCCATTTATTTTTTAGACTTTTATTATATTTTTTGAGACAGGGTCTCACTGTGTCTCCCAGGCTGGTGTGCAGTGGTACAAGCACAGCTCACTGAAGCCTCCCAGCTCAAGCAATCCTCTCACCTCAGCCTCCCGGGTAGCTGGAATGTGCCATCACACCTGGCTAATTTTTCTATTTTTTGGTAGAGATCGGGGTCTTGCTTTGTTGCCCAGGCTGGTCTTGAATTCCTGGGCTCAAGTGATCCTCCCACATTGGCCTCCCAAAGTGCTAGGATTACAGATATGAGGCACCATGCCCAGACTTAAACACCCATTTATTGTGCACTTTCTCTGCACCAGGCCCTGATCTGAGCCCCATGCACAGATGTGAACAAGACCTTACTCTCCAGGGACCAGGGGAAAGAAGTGCTACTTCTGTGCTCTGGAGAACCGAGTTCTCCAATCAGAAAAGATGAGAATGGAGGCCAGGTGCAGTGGTGACTAACGCCTGTACTCACACTTTGGGAGGCCGAGGCAGGAGGATCACCTGAGGTTAGGAGTTCGAGAGCAGTCTGGCCAACATGGTGAAAACCTATCTCTACTAAAAATACAAAAATTAGCCAGGTGTGGTGCCGTGTGCCTGTAATCCCAGCTACTTGGGAGGCTGAGGCAGAAGAATTGCTTGAACCTGGGAGGTAGAGGTTGCAGTGAGCTGAGATTCCCGCCACTGCACTCCAGCCTGGGGGACAGAGAGAGACTGTCTCAAAAAAAAAAAAAAGTTTTTTAAATTTAAAAAGGCAGCCGGGCGCAGTGGCTCACGCCTGTAATCCCAGCACTTTGGGAGGCCGAGGCGGGCAGATCATGAGGTCAGGAGATCGAGAACCTCCTGGCTAACACAGTGAAACCCCATCTCTACTAAAAACACAAAAAATTAGCTGGGCGCAGTGGCGGGCGCCTGTAGTCCCAGCTACTCAGGAGGCTGAGGCAGGAGAATGGCGCGAACCCGGGAGGCAGAGCTTGTAGTGAGCTGAGACTGCGCCACTGCACTCCAGCCTGGGTGACAGAGCGAGACTCCGTCTCAGAAAAAAAAAAAAAAAAAAAAAAGCCAGTCACAGTGGCTCACGCCTGTAATCCCAGCACTTTGGAAGGCCAAGGTGGGTGGATCACAAGGTCAGTAGTTCAAGAGCAGCCTGGCCAAGATGGTGAAATCCTGTCTCTACCAAAAATACAAAAATTAGCTGGGCGCAGTGGCAGGTGCCTGTAATCCCAGCTACTTGGGAGGCTGAGGCAGGAGAATCATTTGAACCCAGGAGGTGGAGGTTGCAATGAGCTGAGATCGTGCCACTGCACTCCAGCCTGGGTGACAAGAGTGACATGCTGTCAAAAAAAAAAAAACGGAATTGCTAGGACAGTCAAAAACAAATGGAATTGCTAGGACAGTCTAGACAGTTTTCACAAAGCAAGACTTTGGTCCCCTCTTCAGGACTCAGCATGGCCTCAGATCCAGCCACCAGGCCCTGAATACCTTCAAGTTTGAGTGTAGAAGGGCATATTTCGCCTTCTTTTTGTGCTTCCCCTGACACCCTGACGTTCTTGACTCATCTGTCTTCATCTTCCGAGCCAACTTTGCTTACCCACAAAGGGAGGGCACTATTCCCTCACAAAACACAGCCCAAGGCTCACTCTTTCCTCTTTTCCTATAGAAGAGCCAAAGGGCATGACAGTTGCTTCTGCTCCTTTAACCTACCCACTCTTTCCTCACAGCCCTCCTCAGCCTTCACAGTCCATAATGCAGTCTTGAATTCTGGGCTTCATATTCTCGACACACTCTGCAAACAGAATCCCCTAGGAAGCTATATTTATTTCCTTTTTTTTTTTTTTTTTTTTTTTTTTTTTGAGACGGAGTCTCACTCTGTCACCCAGCCTGGAGTGCAATGGCATGATCTCGGCTCACTGCAACCTCTGCCTCCCGGGTTCAAACGATTCTCCTGCTTTGGCCTCCCGAGTAGCTGGGACTACAGGTGCCCACCACCACACCTGGCTAATTTTTGTATTTTTGGTAGAGACAGGGTTTCACTATGTTGGCCAGGCTGGTCTCAAACTCCTGACCTCATGATCCTCACACCTCAGCCTCTCAAAGTGCTGGGATTACAGGCATGCGCCACCATGCCTGGCCTATTTACTTATTTTTATTTTTATTTTGAGACAGGTTCTCACTTTGTTGCCCAGGCTGCAGTGCAGTGGCATAAACATGGGTTATAGCAGCCTTGACCTCCTAGGCTCAAGCAAGCCCCCTGCCTCAGTCCCCCAAGCAGCTGGAACTACAGATATGTGCCACCATGTCCGGCTAATTTTTTTTTTTTTTTTTTGAGGTGGAGTCTCGCTCTGTTGCACAGGCTGTAGTACAGTGGTGTGATCTTGGCTCACTGCAACTTCTGCCTCCCAGAGGCAGAGGATTACTCACACCTGTAATCCCAGTTTAGGGAGGCTGAAGCGGGCAGACAGCTTGAAGCCAGGAGTTTGACACCATCCTGGCCAACATGGTGAAAGCCTGTCTCTGCTAAATAAAAAAATTAGCCAGGCATGGTGGCACATGCCTGTGGTCCCAGCTACTCAGGAGGCTGAGGCACAAGAATCGCTCGAACCCAGGAGGCGTAGTTTTCAGTGAGCTGAGATCTCACCATTGCACTCCAGCCTGGGCGACAAGAGACTTCGTCTCAAAAAAAAAAAAAAAAAAAAAAAGATAATAAAGATGAGCAGAAATAAATGCAGCAGAGAATAAAAAATAGAGGAAGTAAGTAAAACCAAAATAATTTGGTTCTTTGAAAAATCCATAAAATTGATGAACCTTTAGATGGACTGACCAAGAAAAAAGCAGAGGAGACTCAAACTGCAAAACAGGAGCAAAAGAGGAGACATCACTACCAACATTAGATAAGTAAAAGAATTATCAGGGAATACTATGAACAGTTGTATGCCAACAAATTAGATGAAAGGAACAAATTCCTAGGGGAATTTAAACACCAAACTTAAGAAGAAATATAAAATCTAGGCCAGGCATGGTGGCTCACGTCTGTAATCCCAGCACTTTGAGGGGCTGAGTCAAGTAGATCATCTGAGATCAGGAGTTTGAGACCAGCCTGACCAACATGGTGAAACCTCATGTCTACTAAAGATACAAAAAATTAGCCAGGCAAGTGGCGCACGCCTGTAATCCCAGCTGAGGCAGGAGAATCACTTAAACCGGGGAGGTGGAGGTTGCAGTAAGCTGAGATTGTGCCATTGCACTCTAGCCTGGGTGACAGGGCGAGACTCTGTCTCAAAAATAAATAAATAAATAAATACAAAAATTAGCCGGGTATGATGGCATGTGCCTATAATCCCAGCTACTCTGGAGGCTGAGGCAGGAGAGTCACTTGAACCCAGGAGGCTGAGGCTGCAGTGAGCTGAGATGGCGCCATTGCACTCCAGCCTGGGCAACAAGAGGGAAATTCCAACTCAAAAAGGAAAAGAAAAAAAGAAATATAAAACCTAAATTGATCTATTGTAAAGACTTTTTTTTTTTTTTTTTGAGATGGAGTCTTGCTGTGTCACCCAGGCTGGAGTGCAGTGGCGCAATCTCAGCTCATGGCAACCTCCCCCTCCCGGGTTCAAGCGATTCTCATGCCTCAGTCTCCCAAGTAGCTGGGATTACAGCTGCATGCCACCAGGCTCAGCTCATTTTTTTGTATTTTAGTAGAGATGGGGTTTCACCATGTTGGCCAGGCTGGTCTTGAACTCCTGACCTCAGGTGATCTGCCTGCCTTGGCCTCCCAATGTGCTGGGATTACAGGTGTGAACCACCACACCCGGACTATTCTTTTGTGTATGGATATCCAGTTGTCCCACTGCTATTATCGAAAAGGTTGTTCTTTCCCCCATTAAGTGGTCTTGGAACCCTTGTCAAAAATTAATCTTCCATGTAGAAGGTTTATTTCTGGGCTCTCTAATCTATTCCACTTGTGTCCGGAATTGGTGGGTTCTTGGTCTCACTGACTTCAAGAATGAAGCCGCGTACCCTCGCGGTGAGTGTTACAGCTCTTAAGGTGGCGCGTCTGGAATTTGTTCCTTCTGACGTTCGGATGTGTTTGGAGTTTCTTCTTTCTGGTGGGTTCGTGGTCTCCCTGGTTCAGGAGTGAAGCTGCAGACCTTCGCGGTGAGTGTTACAGCTCTTAAGGTGGCGCGTCTGGAGTTGTTCATTCCTCCCGGTGGGCTCATGGTCTCGCTGGCTTCAGAAGTGAAGTTGCATACCTTCGCGGTGTTACAGCTCATAAAAGCAGCGTGGAGCCAAAGAGTGAGCAGTAGCAACATTTATCGCAAAGAGCGAAAGAACAAAGCTTCCACAGCGTGTAACAAGACCCGAGCCAGTTGCCACTGTGGGCGCGGGCAGCCTGCTTTTATTCTCTTATCTGGCCCCACCCACATCCTGCTGATTGGTAGGGCTGAGTGGTCTGTTTTGACAGGGTGCTGATTGGTGCGTTTACAATCCCTGAGCTAGACACAAAGGTTCTCCACCTCCCCACCAGATTAGCTAGACACAGAGTGTCAGCACAAAGGTTCTCCAAGGCCCCACCAGATAGCTAGATACAGAGTGTCGACTGGTGCATTCACAAACCCTGAGCTAGACACAGGGTGCTGATTGGTGTGTTTACAAACCTTGAGCTAGATACAGAGTGCCCATTGGTGTATTTACAATCCCTGAGCTAGACATAAAGGTTCTCCACGTCCCCACCAGACTCAGGAGCCCAGCTGGCTTCACCCAGTGGATCCCGCACCGGGGCTGCAGGTGGAGCTACCTGCCAGTCCCGCGCTGTCTACCTGCACTCCTCAGCCCTTGGGTGGTCGATGGGACTGGGCGCCGAGGAGCGGGGGACAGTGCTCCTGGGGAGACTCCGGCCTCACAGGAGCCCATGGAGGGGGTGGGAGGCTCAGGCATGGCGGGCTGCAGGTCCGGAGCCCTGCCCGGCGGGAGGGCAGCTAAGACCCCGTGAGAAATCGAGAGCAGCGCCCGTGGGCTGGCATTGCTGGGGGACCCAGTACACCGTCCGCAGCTGCTGGCCCGGGTACTAAGCCCCTCATTGCCCGGGGCTGGCAGGGCCGGCTGGTGGCTCCTAGTGCAGGGCCCGCCAAGCCCACGCCCACTCGGACCTCCAGCTGGCCCGCAAGCGCCGCGCGCAGCCCCGCTTCCCACTCGTGCCTCTCCATCCACACCTCCCCGCAAGCTAAGGCAGCTGGCTCCGGCCTTGGCCAGCCCAGAAAGGGGCTCCCACAGAGCAGTGGTGGGCTGAAGGGCTCCTCAAATGCCGCCAAAGTGGGAGCCCAGGCAGAGGAGGCGCCAAGAGCGAACGAGGGCTGTGAGGACTACCAGCACGCTGTCACCTCTCACACTGGTCTAATATATGTGTCTATTTTTTTCTCTCTTTCTTTATTTTTGAGATGGAGTCTCACTCTGTTGCCCAGGCTGGAGTGCACTGGCATGATCTCAGTTCACTGCAACCTCTGCCTCCTAGGCTTGAGTGATCCTCCCACCTCAGCCTCCTCCTCAGTAGCTGGGACTATAGGCGCAGGCTACCACGCCTAGCTAATTGTATTTTTTGTAAAGACTGGGTTTTGCCATGTTGCCCAGGTTGATTTTGAACTCCTGGGCTCAAGCAATCCACTCACCTCAGTCTCCCAAATTGTTGAGATTACAGGCGGCCTTATATGTTTGTCTTTATGCCAGTACCACACTCTTTTCATTGTGGTAGGCTAGTATTTAAGTTTTGAAATCAGGAAATGAGAGACCTGGTTTCTTCTTTTTCTGCAGACCTTTTTTTCCGTCTTTTTTTGTGTTATTTAGGATGCCTTGTGATTCCACATAAATTTTAGGATGAGTTTTTGTATATCTGTAAAATATTAAAAATACCATTTGGATTTTGATACAAATTGCATTGAATCTGTAGATTGCTCTGGGTAGTACCGTCATCTTAACAATATTAAATCTTACATTCAGGCCGGGCGCAGTGGCTCATGCCTGTAATCTCAGCACTTTGGGAGGCTGAGGCGGGCAGATCACTTGAGGTCAGGAGTTCGAGACCAGCCCTGCCAACATGGTAAAATCCTGTCTCTACTAAAAATGCAAAAAAAAAAAAAATTAGCTGGGCGTGGTGGCACGTGCCTGTAGTTCCCGCCACTCAGGAGGCTGAGGCAGAAGAATCACTTGAACCCAGGAGGCAGAGGTTGCAGTGAGCCAAGATCGCATCACAGCACTCCAGCCTGGGTGACAGAGCAAGACTCTGTCTCAAAAAACAAACAAACAATAAATTTTACATTCTATAAACATAGGATATCTTTTTATTTATGTCTCTTTAATTTTTTGTAGTTTTCAGTTACAAATATTTTGCCTCATTGGTTACATTTCTTCCTATTTGATTCCTTTTCATGGCTTTTTTTTTTCTTGAGATAGAATTTCGCTCTTTTTGCCCAGGCTGGATTGCAGTGGTGTGATCTTGGCTCACTGCAACCTCTGCCTTCTGGGTTCAAGTGATTCTCCTGCCTCAGCCTCCCAAGTAGCTGAGATTACAGGCACCCGCCTCCACGCCCAGCTAATTTTTTGTTTTTGTTTTTGTTTTTTGAGATGTAGTTTTGCTCTTATTGCCCAGGCTGGAGTGCAATGGTGTGACCTCGGCTCACCGCAACCTCTGCCTCCCGGGTTCAAGCAATTCTCCTGCCTCAGCTTTCTGAGTAGCTGGGATTACAGGCATGTGCCACCACGGCCAGCTAATTTTATTTGTATTTTTAGTAGAGACAGAGTTTCTCTGTGTTGGTCAGGCTGGTCTCGAACATCCGACCTCAGGTGATCTGCCCGCCTTGGCCTCCCAAAGTGCTGGGATTATAGGCGTGAGCCACCGCACCCGGCCAGTTTTTTGTATTTTTAGTAGAGACTGGATTTTACCATGTTGGCCAGGCTGGTCTTGAACTCCTGACCTCAGGTGATCCACCCACCTCAGCCTCCCAAAGTGCTGGGATTACAGGTATGAGCCATTGCACCCGGCCGCATGGTAATTTAAATAGAGTTGTTTTCTTAATTTCTCTTTGGGGTTATTCATCGTTAGTGTAAAGAAATGCAACTGATTTTTGTGTGTTGACTTTGTATGCTGCAACTTTGTTGAATTCATTTATTGGCTCTAATAGTTGTGTATGTATGTAAGCTTTAGGGTTTTCCACGTATAAAATCATTTCATCTGCAAGTACAGATAATTTTACTTTTTCCTTTCCAATTCAGGTAACTTTTACTTATTTTTCTTGCTTAATTTCTCTGGCTAGAAATTCCAATACTCTGTTAAATAGAAGTGGCCAAAGTGGTGGTTCTTGTTTTGTTCCTGATCTTATGGGGAAAATTTTCAGTCTTTCATCATTGAATATGATGTTAACTCTGTTTTTCATGTATGGCCTTTACCATGTTGAGGAAAATTCTTCTAGTTCTAGTTTTATTTTATTTTTTCCAGACAGGGCCTTGTTCTCTCACCCAGGCTGGAGTGTAGTGGCCTGATAATGGCTCCCTGCAACCTCCACCTCCTGGGTTCAAGCCGTCCTCCCACCTCAGCCTCCCAAGTAGCTGGGACTACAGGCATGCACCACCATACCCAGCTTAATTTTTGTTTTTGGTAGAGACATGGTTTTGCCATGTTGCCAAGGCTGGTCTTGAACTCCTGAGCTCCAGCGATCCACCTGCCTCGGCCTCCCAAAGTACTAGGGTTACAGGCGTGAGCCACCGTGCCTGGCTGAGTGTTTTTTTTTTAAATCTTGAAAGAGTATTGGATTTTGCCGAATACTTTTTCTGCATCAACTGAGACAATTATAAGATTTTTCCCTTTATTCTATTAATGTGGTATATGACATTGATTAATTTTCATATGTTAAAACATCTTTGCATTCCAGGAATAAATCCAACTTGTTCATGGATAAAATACTTTTTTTTTTTTTCCTGAGACAGTCTTGCTCTGTCGTCCAGGCTGGAGTGCAGTGGCGCAACCTTGGCTCATTGCAACCCCCACCCCCTGGGTTCAAGCAGTTCTCCTGCCTCAGTCTCCTGAGTAGCTGGGATTTACAGGCATGCGCCACCACGCCCGGCTACTTTTTGTATTCTTAATAGAGATGGGGTTTCACCATGTTGGCCAGGCTGGTCTCAAACTCTTGACCTCATGATCCGCCCACCTTGGCATCCCAAAGTGCTGGGATTACAGGCATGAGCCACCATGCCCGGCCCCATAAAATCCTTTTAATATGCTGCTGAAATTGGTCCTCTATTTTATATATATATATATATATATATATATATATATTTTTTTTTTTTTTTTTTGAGATGAAGTCTCACTCTGTTATCAGGCTGGTGTGCAGTGGCACAATCTCAACTCACTGCAACCTCCACCTTTTGGGTTCAGGCGATTCTCCTGCCTCAGCCTCCTGAGTAGCTGAGACTACAGGCACGCACCACCACACCCAGCTAATTTTTGTACTTTTAGTAGAGATGGGGTTTCACCATGTTGGCCAGAATGGTCTCGATCTCTTGACCTTGTGATCTGCCCGCCTCAGCCTCCCAAAGTGCTGGGATTACAGGTGAGAGCCACCGTGCCCGGCCATATATATATATATATATATATTTTTTTTTTTTTTTTTTTGAAACAGAGTCTCACTTGTTAACCCAGGCTGGAGTGCAGTGGCGCAATCTTGGCTCACTGCAACCTCCACCTCCCAGATTCAAGCAATTTTGTATTTTCAGTAGAGATGGAGTTTCACCGTGTTGCCCAGGCTGGTGTCAAACTCCTGACCTCAAGTGATCCACCCGCCTCAGCCTCCCAAAGTGCTGGGGTTACATGCGTGAGCCAGTGCAGATATGTTTTGGTCCCCAGCAGGATATGTTTTGGTCCAATTTATGGAGGAGGAGGAAGGAGGAGAGTGAGGAGGAGGCGGAGAAGGAGAGAGGTCCCAAGGAGGCCTCCCATCAAGTTCCGTTCCCAAGGCAATGCTTCCCTGCTGATGCTCAGCAAGCAGTGAAAGAATGCAGCACGCCCAGCCATAAACACTAATGAAATCATGTTCTTCGCTCTGACATGGATGTAGCTGGCGGTCATTATCCTAAGCAAATTAACCCAGGAACAGAAAACCAAGGACTGCGTGTTCTCACTTATAAATGAGATCTAAACATTGAGTACACATTGCCTGGGTGCGGTGGCTCACACCTGTAATCCCAGCACTTTGGGAGGCTGAGGCAGGTGGATCATCTGAGGTCAGGAGTTCAAGATCAGCCTGGCCAATATGGCGAAACCCTGTCTCTACAAAAATACAAAAATTAGCCAGGCATGATGGCAGGTGCCTTTAATCCCAGCTACTCGAGGGGCTGAAGCAGGAGAATCATTTGAACCCGGGAGGTGGAGGTTGCAGTGAGCCAAGATTGCATGATTGCACTTCAGCCTACGCGACAGAGCGCAACTCCATCTCAAAACAAAACAAAAAAAAAACATTGAGTACACACATGGATGTAAAGATGGGAACAATAGATACTGGGACCTCCTAGAGTGGGGAGGGACAGTGGAGAGTAAGAGTTGAAAAACTGTTGGGTATTATGCTTACTTCCTGGATGACAGGATCATTCATAGCCCAAGCCTCAGCATCATGCAGTATACCCAGGTGACGAACCCACACACGCCTCCCTGAACCTAAAATAAAAGCTGGGAGACCAGGCTCGGTGGCTCAGGTCTGTAATCCGAGCACTTTGGGAGGCCGAGGTGGGAGGATGGCTTGAGCCAAGGAGTTTGAGACCAGCCTTGGCAACATAGAGAGACCCCACCTTTACAAAAAATTAGCAGGGTGTGGTGGAACTTGCTATAGCACCAGCTACTCAGGAGGCTGAGGTGGGAGGATTGCTTGAGCCTGCGGGGGTGAGACTGCAGTGACCTGTGATCGAGCTACTGCACTCCAGCCTGGGCAAAAAAGCAACACCCCATCTCAAAAAATAATAATAATATGGCCGGGCACGGTGGGTGCCTCACGCCTGTAATCTCAGCACTTTGGGAGGCCGAGGCAGGCGAATCACCTGAGGTCAGGAGTTCAAGACCAGCCTGGCCAACACGGTGAAACCCCGTCTCTACTAAAAATACAAAAATTAGCCAGGCATGGCAGCAGGCACCTGTAATCTTAGCTACTTGGGAGGCTGAGGCAGGAAAATCACTTGAACCTGGGAGGCAGAGGTTGCAGTGAGCCAAGACTGCACCACTGCACTCCAGCTTGAGCGACAGAGCAAGACTCCATCTCAAGAAAATAATAAGATAAAGGTTGAAATTATTTAAAAAAAAATGTGGCATGCCCTGCGAAACGCAGAGCAGCACAGTACGACCCTCTTCTGGGTCACAGGTGAGATTTCCTCATGCACCTGTCAGACCTCAGGTTTCTCTCATCACTTTTCCCAAGCTCCCCCGCCGCCATTTTTTTTTTTTTTTTTTTTTTTTTGAGACTGAGTCTGGCTCTGTCACCCAGGCTGGAGTGCAGTGGCGTGATCTTGGCTCACTGCAGCCTCCGTCTCCCAGGTTCAAATGGTTCTCCTGCCTCAGCCTCCCTAGTAGCTTGGATTACAGGCATGCATCACCACAACCAGCTAATTTTTTTTTTCTTTGAGATGGAGTTTTGCTCTTGTTGCCCCATTGGCGCAATCTCGGCTCACCACAACCTCTGCCTCCCAGGTTCAAGCGATTCTCCTGCCTCAGTCCCCCGAGTAGCTGGGATTACAGGCATGAGCCACCATGCCCGGCTAATTTTGTATTTTTAGTAGAGATGGGGTTTCTCCATGTTGGTCAGGCTGGTCTCTAACTCCCAACCTCAGGTGATCCGCCCGCCTTGGCCTCCCAAAGTGCTGGGATTACAGGCATGAGCCACCGCTCCTGGCTCTAATTTTTGTATTTTTAGTAGAGATGATGTTTTGCCATATTGGCCAGGCTGGTCTCGAACTCCTGACCTCAGGTGATTCTCCCACCTCTGCCTCCCAAAGTGCTGGGATTACAGGCATGAGCTACTTTGCTTGGCCTCCCTGAGCCTTTTAAAATAGAATCAAAGGCTCTATTTCTCCAACCCTCCTTGGTCCACAAGATGAGAGTTCTTGGGAATAACCACTCCCAAGCTTTTAGGTTATTCTCACCATTGCCCTCAACTTCCTTGTAACCCCAACCTCTCCTAGAATTGCCTGCATATGAGATAGAAGGTCTCAGACAAATAGATGGAAGTGTTTATTTTATTTTATTTTATTTTATTTTTATTTTTATTTTTTTGAGATGGAGTCTCACTTTGTCGCCAGGCTGGAGTGCAGTGGCGTGATCTCGGCTCACTGCAACCTCCACCTCCCAGGTTCAAGCGATTCTCCTGCCTCAGCCTTCCAAGTAGCTGGGACTACAGGCGCGTGCCACCACGCCCAGCTAATTTTTAGTAGAGACTGGTTTTCACCATGTTGGCCAGGATGGTCTCCATCTCTTGACCTCATGGTCTGCCCGTCTCAGCCTCCCAGAGTGCTGGGATTACAGGCATGAGCCACGGTGCCTGGCCAGGAAGTGTCTATTAATAATTGATAGTCCATCTGGCTGGGAGCAGTAGCTCACGCCTGTAATCCCAGCACTTTGGGAGGCCGAGGCGGGTGAATCACCTGAGGTCGGGAGTTTGAGACTAGCCTAACATGGAGAAACCCCGTCTCTACTAAAAATACAAAATTAGCCGGGCGTTGTGACACATGCTTGTTGTAATCCCAGCTGCTCGGGAGGCTGAGGCAGGAGAATCACTTGAACCCGGGAGGCGGAGGTTGTGGTGAGCCAAGATCACGCCATTGCACTCCAGCCTGGGCAACAAGAGCGAAACTCCATCTCAAAAAACAAAATAAATAAATAAAATAAAATAAAACACATTAAACTGGCTGGGCGCAGTGGCTCACTCCTGTAATCCCAGCACTTTGGGAGGCCGAAGTGAGTGGATCACCTGAGGCCAGGAGTTCAAGACCAGCCTGGCCAACATGGTGAAACCCTGTCTCTACTAAAAATACAAAAATTAGCCAGGCGTGATGGTGGGCACCTGTAATCCCAGCTACTCGGGAGGCTGAAGCAGGAGAACCACTTGAACCCAGGAGGCGGAGGTTGTGAGCTGAGATAGAGCCACTGCACTCCAGCCTGGGCAACAGAGCAAGACTCTGTCTCAAAAAAAAAAAAGGAGGCGGGGTGCGGTGGCTCACACCTGTAATCCCAGGATTTTGGGAGGCCGAGGTGTGTGGATCACAAGGTCAGGAGATCGAGACCATCCTGGCTAACACGGTGAAACCCCATCTCTACTAAAAATACAAAAAATTAGCCAGGCATGGTGGCAGGTGCCTGTAGTCCAAGGTACTCAGGAGACTGAGGCAGGAGAATGGCGTGAACCTGGGAGGTAGAGCTTGCAGTGAGCCGAGATCATGCCACTGCACTCCAGCCTGGGGGGCAGAGCGAGACTCCATCTCTATAATAATAATAATAATAATAATAATAATAATAATAATAATAAAGGAGAGGATAAAATCTGTAAGTGGTAGGCAGCCGCCAGGCTAATGAAAACAGATATTTTTTTTCATTTTTTTAAATTCTAATTTTCACTTAAAAAGTAGAATTTTGGCCAGGCGCAGTGGCTCACGCCTGTAATCCCAGCACTTTGGGAGGCCAAGGTGGGAAGATTACTTGAGGTCAGGAGTTGGAGACCAGCCTGGACAAAATGGTGAAACCCTGTCTCTACTAAAAATACAGAAATTAGCCAAGTGTGGTGGCACGCACCTGTAATCTCAGCTATTTGGGAGGCTGAGGCAGGAGAATCACCTGACCCTTCTAGGAGATGGAGGTTGCAATGAGCCGAGATCTTGGCAATGAGCCGAGATGGTGCCACTGCACTCCAGCCTGGGTGACAGAGCGAGACTGTATCTCAAAAAAAAAAAAAAAAAAAAAAGAATTTCATCATTGGTAGCACTGTCAGTTGTTTTTCTTGATGTGACCGACTCAGTTCATTTTTGAAACAATGTCTGCCAGCTACCCAAGTCTGAATAATAAT